>NC_000002.12:86276843-86582227 GCF_000001405.40 Homo sapiens
ATCCCAGACCTACTGGATCATAATCTGCTTTTAAGGAGATCCCCTGTTCATTCATATGCATGTTAAAGTTTGAGAATCACTGCTCTAACGCACTCACAACATTTTTGCTTCTCATCCTCAGACCTCTGATCTCTGCTTCTTAATGACTTTGGTACTTGAGGGATGGATGCTTCCAACAGGGGATACAAAATGGTTTCAATGAAGTGGAAGCAGAGACTTATATTGTCTCCTGGTGGCTTCACGATACTCACGCCAGTAGGAAATAGATGATAAAGGGGCTTATGGGCTTTGAGGTGCTAACTGATCCTAATTATCAAGGGGAACCAGGACTGCTGCTACACAATGAGGCAGAAAGAAGAGCAGATGGAAGTCAAACAGCCTTGGGGGGGCCTCCTAGTACTGTCTTGTTCAGGGGTAAAAGTCAATGGGTTGCTTGGCGTGGTGGCTCACACCTGTAATCCCAGCACTTTAGCAGGCCAAGGTGTGTGGATTGCCTGAGGTCAGGAGTTCAAGACCAGCCTGGCCAACATGGTGAAACCCCCATCTCTACAAAAATGCAAAAATTAGCCAGGCATGGTGCTGCATGCCTGTAATTCCTGCTACTGGGGAGGCTGAGGCAGGAGAATCACTTGAACCCAGGAGGCAGAGGTTGCAGTGAGCCGAGATCGTGCCACTGCACTCCAGCCTGGGTGATAGAGCGAGACTCTGTATCAAAAAAAAAAAAAAAAAGTCAATGGGTCATTACTACAGCCCTACAGAGGCAAAACTGCCAAGACCTCAGATTCCTCAGGAATAAAGATTTGGGCCCCATCACAGGATGAGGAACAAATCCCACTAAAGCTCTAGCTGAAAGCAACGGGAGCATGAATTGGATGGCGGAAGAGGAAAGCCTCAGGAAAACCTGAGAAAGACTTCAGAATGGGTATCCTGTGGAATGCTAGGTGTCCAGCATGTCCTTCTGAATTATCTTGATTCTGCAGGTGTCCTGCTTTTCAATGTCTTTGAGCTATTTTACAACTTTATAAGTTAAAACTGATTGCAATGCATATAGTTTCACCCACAGAGGTGCAAATAAATTTTGTCCAGCAGAGATACAACTGATCTCCCCATCCCACCCTCCAAGTAATCAGTTTAATATTTATTAACAAATCCATTTCAACATTTCTGATTGCCTACATATGTCTGTTATTTGGGGTCTCCTTTGAACACCTTACTGGTTCCCTCATTAGTTCATAAGTTAAGCAAAATCTTCAACATGTGTTCATTTTATATTCATACAAGAGTCATGATTCCACCCTCTAAAAACTTTTTTCTTTTAACAAAAGACACAAATACAGCTATGAACTCATGACCAGTTGCATGAATATGGACTGTATCTTCTATCCATATTTTCCTCCTTTCTAAGTATAGATTTTAATATTTTAAGTAATTATATTTTAATTCTTTCTCTCCCCACTAAAATAGTATGTGAGCTGCATTGGTGACCGTTCACTTAACAATTCAGTGTTCGGAATGCTGAATATTAAGGTTGGGTCTTGTCAGAACCAGAGGAGGAGAAGACTTTGCCCAGGGATACTGGGCCTGGAGCTGGACTCAGCAACTTACGGAATCTGGATTTGACAAGTGAGTGAGTTGTATAGAATTCTTGTTGGAAGCTTGTTTTTAAGCCGAAATGTGGGTAAAGGAATGGATGTGGATGTAGTTTGGGGTAGCCTAAGAGGCAGCTGTATTGGTTATTTTTTTTCCATGACTACTCAGCATCCAAAGCCTTCTAAAATTGGGAGACATCTCCCAACATGAGCATCTTTGTGGGAGGAAAGTCCTGTTATTTGGGCCCCTATCCAGGACTGTGCACTGTCAGGGGATGCCTCAAAAGCACAAGCAGCCAGTGCCCAAGATGTGACTTTGGCAGAGGCTTCCTAATCACACACTTTCCTATGGTGTGAGCTGGGCCGTCAGCACCACCCAGCCTCCTTGGATCCTCCCCAGTTCCTGGGTATCTTTCTCCTGCTACCTAGTTAATTCTATAAATTCCCGTAAATTCCTTTCTGTTTAAGTTTTCATCCCAAAACCTTGAATCCAGGTACAGTAAGTTTGGTTGGAAAGACATAAGCAGCTATAAATGTCTTGAGCAATGTTTCTAAATTGGAGATCCTGTGAAAAATGCCCATTTTTATTTAGGAGAGCTCCCTCTGCTTCCTGACCAGCCCTGGTGGTTCCCCTGTGTGGCCCTACATGGCATGCCATGCCTCCTACTTCTAGGGGAATGTGTGTCAAAAACTCCTTCATGATAACCGTTTCTGTGCCTTCCACAGAAAGACAAGCCTGAGTCTTCAATTCAAGCAAGTTCCCAGGTGATGCAGATAATGCTGGCCACCAACCACACCTTGGGTGTTGAGATTACAGCGCTGAAGACGTGTAGAGAAGCGACTGGGAAGTAGGGAAGAGCAAGATTGAGAAGGGTGTTAAATGCTGTAATGAAGTTTGTGCTTGATCTTGCAGGTGATAAGCAGCCATTAAATGACCCAGGGGAGTGAAATAAATAGACTTTCATTTTTAAATGGCACTGGATGTCATGTGGCAACAGAGTGGGAAAGCAGGGACAGGAGGCAGGAGAACCAGTTAGGAGGTGTGATAGGCACAACAATGGCTCCCCAAAGATGTCCATGTCCTAATCCCCATATGGCAAATGGGACTGTGTAGCATTATTAAATTAAGGACCTTCAGATGGGAAGAGTATCCTGGATGACCCAGGTGGGCCCCATGTAATCACATGAATCCTTAAAGTGGAGAACCTTTCCCAGTGAGCCTGAGGGAGATATGGTTATGGAAGAACAGCCAGAGAGATGCAATGTTGCTGGCTCTGAAGGAGGAAGAGAAAGGGGCACAAGCCTAAGAATCCAGGAATGGCCTCTAGGAACTGGAAAAGGCAAGGACACAGCCTCTCCCCTGGAGCCACTAAACGGAGCACAGCCCTGCTTGATTTTAACCAAGTGGGACTCATTGGACTTCTGACCTTCAGAATTATAAAATAGTACACAGGTGTTTTAAGCCACTAAGTTCACGGTAATTTGTAATGGTGACAATAAAAAACTAATATAGGAGGCTACTGTAACCTTCTAGGGAAAATAGTGAGAATCTCATTTCTGAGAGTGGCAGCAGAGAAGGACGACAGACCTGGTTTGGAAGATTATTCAGGCGACAGGGATGAAGGGACATGGTCACCAACTGGGTGGGGCGTGGGTGTGGGTGTGTTAAGGAAACTCGCAGGTTTCTCTCTTGAACAAAATGGGCGCATTAGTCGAAAGGACTGCAGGAAGGAAACACAGGAGTGTGAGTGCAGAGAAAGGCAGTTCCCTCCTGATACTACTCGGCTTGTTTCTTCAGATTCCTTTTTTACCAAGAAACCTAATCTAAACTCTTGCACGTTCCCTACTGGGAAAAGCATGTGCTCAGCAGCCAACACAAACAGCTGCTCTGCTCATCAATTATGGTTTTCACTCTAAATTAATGAATTGCCATTCTAGTCATAAACCAGGCTTCTGTGAGTTTAGTCAGAGCAAAACAATTTACCAGGGTTTGATCTCTCTCAGAAGAGCTGACAGAGTTGTTTTCGCCCCTGCAAAGTGAAGGATTAGACCTTATACCACAGTGATCCTGGTAAGGCCTCCTTCTCTGGCACAGATTGCAGGCGGGAAAGGGTTGGGAGAGGGAGGGCTAGGAGAAGCTGCTTAATGCTTTGCCCTGTGCCAAGTCAATTGAGAATCAGGAGGTTCTGTGCTTGCAATTTAACAGCTATTTATAGCGTGCATTCTGAGATTCCCTCACATATACCACAGACCCAGTCTCCAGAAGAAAAATCGCTCCCCTCTGGAACTCCCTGCTTACGAACAGCAAGGTGCAAGCCCAGGCAAGTTGTTCTGGGAAAGTGGGAGATTGCGGGGTGGGGTGGGGGGTGAGTTCTGGTTGCAGTTGATCTAGAGATGGTTGGTTTCATCATAAAGACTTCTTGGGAAATCTGAGAAAAAAAATACTGACTTTCTAAGCCCACCTTGAATTGTTTCTTTACCTTCGCCAAACCTGCCAAGAGACATCTGAGTAAAAGAGGCAAAGGCATGGCTATTACCCACCCCACTGTTCAGATGAGGACACTTAGGCTCTCGGAAGTTTAAGCTACTTAGACCAGCACTGCATCATTCAAATGTCAGAGCCAGGACTTGACCAACCTCGGTCTTCTGATGCCAAAATCCACACCTTTTGCATTTTGAGTTTGTGTCCTGTGTGGGGAAGGACACCCTTCCCTCACCACCCACCCAGCAGGTCTTTCTCAGTCAGCGGTGGTCTAATGGTTCTCCTGCCTGAAGGTGCCCAACACATTCAGAACTGGTGACTAGGGCACCCAGATCATCCAACAGTAATTGAGATTATCCTCTGACCAGTAAGTCCTCCCAGATCCCCTTCCTATGTGCTCACCTTCTGCAATGTGCTACAGGAAACAGATATAGGGGCCGGGCACTGTGGCACGCCTATAATCCCCGCTTTTTGGGAGGCCGAGGCAGGCAGATCACGAGGTCAGGAGTTCGAGACCAGCCTGGCCAACATGACGAAACCCTGTCCCTACTAAAAACACAAAAATTAGCTGGGCGTGGTGGCACACACCTGTAATCCAAGCTACTTGGGAGGCTGAGGCTGGAGAATCTCTTGAACCCGGGAGGCGGAGGTTGCAGTGAGCCGAGGTTGTGCCACTGCTCTCCAGCCCAGGCAACAGAGTGAGACTCCGGCTCAAAAAACAAAACTATGAAAACAGATATAGGATGATAAAAATCCTCTGCCTTCAGAAGGTTATAGAGCAACACAGCCTGAATTGTGGATTTGGAATGAAAGAAATGGAATGGGGGCAGAGCTGCAGAACCAGGAACCAAACCCAGGTCTGCCAGACTCTAAAACCTGTGCTCCTGCCTGCGATGCTGGACTTTTTCTCCATCACGGTGCTTTAAGGTCTACAGAGTGTTTTCCAGACAAATAAATCAAGGCTGAGAGAGGTGAAGTCACCTGTGGCTTGTGGCACAGCTGAGAAACCTCCAATTCCAGATGCCACAGCCTCTTGCCGTATCTCCCTGCTTTTCTCACCTCAACGCTCTAGGTCTAGGCAGGGGAAGGTCTAGACAGAAAAGAGGACTCCTGAGATGTCTCATGAGAACTGTGATGAAGGAACTCCTTTTCCCTGCTTCCAGTGCCCATAGCACGGAGGGCATCCCCTTCTCCCAACATTTCACACCTGACCTGACTCCAGCCAACCCGCTCGAAAATACACAGTGCTACTTACATATTCCTTAATGTCCTTTGATTTCACAGCCTTGTAGGAATAATACGCAGGGTAAAGGGTGCCAAATATAAGCCTGGAGGGAAGAGAGACAAAAATAAATACGATTTTTCATTTATCTTATTTAATGGAAAATGTCTGTCTTCAATGCCAAGAGCAACTCTCTAAGCTACAGAAAGTGCTGCTGTGGGGCTTGATTTATTTTTATGAATGCCCTGAAGGTGTTCTGCTCGTGGCTGGGGCATCCTTGGGCACCTCTATCTTCTGTTAAAGCCCACACCCACCTCCCTTCAACCTGTGGTCTGGCAACATGGAAGGGTGGTTGGGGGTCATGGAAGCCAAAAATGGGGATGTGAAGGCACCAAGACCCCTGAAATTAAAGGCTGCCTTTCCTCTCCTGCTGCTAACCCCCCTCTGAAGCTCTGTTAAGCCTGCAAACACCTCAGGCTTCTTTCTCCATCAAAACCTTTCCCCTCAAATTTCACTCCCCTTGGACTTGATCTCAGCATCCTGCAGCTAGAATAAACTCTTCACATTTCATATTGTAAATCCAATCAGGCCAAGCCCTCCTCCCACCAATACATCCCATCTTGCATTAGCCTGTTTCTCATTGCTCTTAAGATGAAGAAGCAAAAATACCAGCAATGTGACACTGTTTGGGCAGCAGCTCTCACTGATCTATGCTCAGGGCTGCGTTGGGTCACTAAATGATCTTGTGCTCAGCCCTGCCTCTCAGGACCTGAACGGCAGAGTTCCACCTGCCCTCATTCTCTCCACCATGCACTATCCCCCACCCAGAAAGCCTTTGCCTGTGCTGTTCTCTCCTTCTGGAGTCTTCCTTCCCCCTTCTTTATCTGGTTAATGCCTGTTCATCCATCATATCCCAGCTCCAATATGACTTCTTCCCTGGCCTCCCTAACTAGCTCAAACCTCCCCACTACACTCATAGCACAGTGTACCTATTATCAGGGTGTTCTTTTATTGTTGTTTGTGTAATGTTTTGATTGACAGCCCTCTTTCCACAGCACTGTAAGTGCCTTGAGGGCAGATAATGGATCTGTTTTGCTCAACACTGTGTTCCCAGAACCTACCCCATAGTAGGCCCTCAACAGGTATTTTTAAATAAATGAATCGAGCTGGAGGTTTAATCTTTTCACCTGACAGATGAGGTCACCCCAGGTGCCAACTTAAGGCCAAGCTGACTAGGTGCAGGAGTGGGCCTGGCCCAGGTACTATATGAGCTGACATCTCCTGTGACAACCCCACAGACGGAGCTTTCAGAGTCCCTGCAAAGAGCCAGCCTAGTTACAGAAGACACCACACTGAAGAAACCCAAAGCTGTAGTTCACTGGGTATTGAGAGAACTCCTAGTCCAGAAGCAATTTACCAAGCAGGGGTCAGCTTTACCATGAGCACTGTTGCCAGGGAACACCCTGACATTCCACAATCATCAGGTTTCCAGGGAAAACAAAGTTAACTGAACCAAGTCCGTTTCTGGCACTGAAAGGGAGAGGGCTGTTAACTCTTGACTCACACATACCTTGTGCGAAGTGCTTTAGAGCTTTATCCCACTTAGACTGCCTTGTCCAAGGGAACCCCTTTTACAGACAGGACTCCAATGCACGGAGCAGCCAGTCACTTACTTGTCTAAGGCCTCATGACCAGTGAAGGGTAAGGCAGGTGCTGGAGCCCAGCCAGGCCAGCCTCCTCCAAGCCTGGCTTCTTGCGATCACTGTGCACTACCTTGGGGAGCAGCCCACCCTCCAGGAAGGCTGAAATGACCTGTGTGAAGAGCAGGATGAGCCACTGGGGGGATGAGAGAGTAGTGGAAGGAAGGGGAAAAAGTAGGCCTGGGGGTGAGGGGGAAACATTTAAGAGAGGGTAGTGCCAAAGACAGCAGGCAGGCCAAGGGGGAGGTGGCTGGGGAAGCCTGCTGGGTTTGGTCATCGCCCCCTTGGTGAGGAAGGTCCCCACACTCCTCCACACTGCCTCCTTGCCTGCCCCCTCCTAAGCATTCTCAGGTATCCAGGAGCCTCACTTCCTCGGGGAGGCCTTTCCTGACCTGGTCACCCCCCCTGACGATTGGGCTCCTCTCCGTTTTTAGCTCCTGTACCTGCCCCTTTCTTAGCTCTTGTCCACTGTATCCACTTGGTCAGCTCAGGGTGCGTCTCTCCCACAAGACTGTGTTCCACAAAGCCAGAGATGGTGTCCCTCATTCATAACACACCCCTGTGCCCTGCACAGCAGGAAGGGCTCAGTAAGTACGTGTTCACTGTGTGAAGTATCAGAATGGGGAAGCCAAAGCCAGCACCATCCAGGGAACGCTCGTGACCTTGGGACTGAGGTCTCGGTAGCGAGGTGGACGCCAGACAGCACCAGGCTGATTCAGCAAAGCCTCGGGCACAACGCCATGGACTGGGGGGAAATAAATACACCACTCCTCAGGCACAGGTGCCATGGTTATTACCCATGTCTGCCAGGATGGTTTCCAGCCCCTGCCCTGGGACAGCATGTGAGCAGCAGAGGAGAGACAGGTGGGAAGTACAGCGCTACCCAGGAGCTGATTGATGGGATCCCCGTGAACCCGTGGGTCGTGACACCCTCTGAATGGTCACAGAGCAGGGAAGGCAAGACAGGAAGGCCTGTGCTAGGTCAGCTGGACTCTTCTGGAGTGAGCTGGTTGCCAGCATCCTCCGCCTGGCTCCTGTGTTATAGCACAAGGTCCCTACACACAAGTTTGCTTTTCGGTTTCTAAAAGCTCAGTAACACTTAGCATCTCACTGCCCTGGGGAAGGGGAAATGGGATGAAAATGGTCAGTTCTTCTTAACCTATTTTGGAAATAAGGAATAATGAAGGAAGCAGGCTCAAGCCAAAAGGGCTTGGTACTTCTGCTCCTTCAGACCAAGTACCCCTACACGGCCCTTCTCCACCGGCCTCACTGGCCTTGCTTCCCACCCCTCCCTCAGCCTTGGGTTCACAGAGCCAGCAGCTGTCCCCTGATTAAGCCACATTCACTTGCAATCTGTGACTTTCTGGCTGCTCTTTCTTCTGTCTGAATGTTAGCACAGGATCTTTCCCAATCCCACAACTCTTTTGTTTTTCCTGATAAAGCGCCACTAATCCTTTAAGACCCATCTCAGAAATGCCACTTCTTCTGTGAAGCCTTTGGTTACTGCCCCCTCAGTTTTCTTGATACTATTTAAGCCTGTGACAGGCCTTATGTAGTAGCAGCAATAATAAAACATTTAAAATAATATTATTATATCATTGAGTGTTCACTAATGCCAGGCACTGTTCTACAAGCTGTACTCACTCTTTCAATTAATCCTCTCAAATACATAGGGAAAAAGAATTCTTACTACCCCATTTTACAGACTGGGACACCGAGGCTTAGCATCATTACTTACCCAAGGAGACACATCAGCCAGGTGCAGAGCTGGGATCTGAACCCAGGCAGCCTGACAACAGAGCCTGCCTTCTCCCGGGGCTGCCTGTGCTGGCTGAGTCTGTCTCCCTAGTCAGATCATATAGTCCTGGGCAATCAGGAGGGTCCCTCGTGCCTGGCACAGCACCTCCCCCTTTAAGTGGGTGCTTGAAATGTCTGTTGAGTAACAAGCAATTTCAATCTGTCTCCAAGGAACTCAGCCCACTTGCTAGACTCACGTAACTTTCTAGGAAGTCAGAAAAAATGTGGTAAGATAAGAGGGTCTAAAGCTCCTTTAATGCTCAAGCTGGGCTCAAGCAGAGGGAAGATGGAAGGCTGGAGTGCCATCCTCCAGAGAGACCAGGCTCTGCACTAACACACTTCTCTCGGTTATCTCTGAACGGAGCTTGCACCTCACAGCTCTGCGCCCACCCTCTCTTCCCCCCACTGTCATTAACTGTTACCCTGAAGCCCCGACTCTGTGTAAAGGCTCCATGGATCTGCCTGCAGCATTTCCCTTATCTTTGCCCTTCACTCCTCCTCTTGCTCCAAGTTAGGGGTCTTCATTCAGGTTGCCTCCCCACCCACCTCCTCCACAGCTGTGGCATCGAGAAGGGAGCATGAGCCTCGTGTGAATACTACACTCTGATGCAGTGGTTCCCCACTGGGGTGATCTCGTTTCCCAGGGTAATCTGGGCAATGTCTAGAGACACTCTGGTTGTCTGAGAGGGTGCTACTGGCAGCCAGTGAGTAGAGGCCAGGGATGCTGCGAAACATCCTATCATGCACAGGACAGCCCCTCTCAACAAAGAATCATCCATTCCAAAATGTCAATTGTGCCACTGCTGAGAAACCCTAGTTTCTAGACTAGTGTGCTGTTTCCTGGTCTTTGGGCCATGGACTCTTCACTAGACCATCAAGGGTCATTTTTTGAACCCCAAGGTTCATTTTTTTGAACCCCAAGAGCTCAAAAAATGTCCAGTGTCCCAAGAAAAACTGTAAATGCTCTGATAGTGGGGGATGGCCCCAAATGGTAAAGACCACATACGTAGCCTGCTGGCCAATGTCAGCGAAAACACAGCTCTGAAGTTGCTTATCAACTTCCTGGAGCTCTGGCCAGAAGAGAGAGATTGCTGACCTAGGGCATAACTACAAGCTGTGGCACTGCTGTTGCTGACCGTAGCCAAGTCCTCTGCAAACCATGAAACAAACTAGTATTTTCCACAGTCTTCTCAGGCATCCTAGAGTTGCACCAACATGTCCCAATCCCAAATTGTGCTAAAAATTTAAAAATCAATGCTGGCAATATATTTTTCTAAGATTAATTTTTTAAAATGTAAGAGGAATAACAAGTGTATTTATACAGCTCTTTATACCATTAAAAAACAAATCACACTGAAGAAATTGTATGTCACACAAGGGCTTCTGGAATGCTGTGTTTCTTGACCTGAGCACTTGCTTTATAATGACAAATATATATAAAACTGTACACATCTTATTTCATAATTTTTTTTTGAGACAAAGTCTCACTCTGTCACCCAGGCTAGGGTGCAGTAGCATGATCTCTGCTCACTGCAACCTCTGCCTCCCAGGTTCAAGTGATTCTCCTGCTCGGCCTCCTGAGTAGCTGGGATTACAGGTGTGCATCACCACATCTGGCTAATTTTTGTATTTTTAGTAGAGCCAGGGTTTCTCCACATTGTCGAGGCTGGTCTTGAACACCTGGCCTCAAGTGATCCACCCGCCTCAGCTTCTCAAAGTGCTGGAATTAAAGACATGAGCCACTGCACCCAGCCTTATTTCATAATTTTTAAAAATGATGTACAGTACCCAAGAAAATAAATTTGCACAGTCTTCCAATTCATGAAGGCACAGTGTTTCATCTGAGCATTAAAATGTATTAAAATTTACACTATGTTTTGTGCTTTGTGTTCTTAATAAAAATATAATTTTGAATTATGTTTTCTGAAGATACTTTCTAAAAACATATAAATCCATTTTTATCACTTTTTATGAGCATTAATCTCCAAGACTGTTTTCGCTGTCTAACAGAAGAATGCTCCTTGGTTCTTCAGCTCCTTTTGGCATTCCAATAAATATGCTATAATTCTTAATCTGGAGAAAACTGTAACACACAGCAGATATATTTGAAATCCCCTATATGTACTTTCCTGATACAATCCTTTTCCTCCTCCCCAAAACTCACCACTATCCTGAATTTGGTGTTTATCATTCTCACTATGTTTTTATTAACTACATGAGCCATGCATAAACAGAAAAAAAGTGTTTATACCTGTTTACATCTTCTACAAATGGAATCACACTAGATGTATTCCACTGTGATATGTTTTTTCATTCAAACTTATGTTTTTGAAATTCAATCCATGTTGACACTTGTCTTTCTAGATCATTTTTTAAAATTATTTATTTTATTTTTATTATTTTTTTGAGATGGAGTCTCGCTCCCATTGTGCAGGCTGGAGTGCAGTGGCACAATCTCAGCTCACTACAACCTCCACCTCCCAGGTTCAAGGGATTCTCCTTCCTCAACCTCCTGAGTAGCTGGGATTACAGGCGTGAGCCACCATGCCTGGCTAATATTTGTATTTTTAGTAAAGATGGAGTTTCACCATGCTGGCCAAGCTGGTCTTGAACTCCTGACCTCAGGTGATCCACCTGCCTCGGCCTCCCAAATGCTAGGATTACAGGCGTGAGCCACAGCACCCAGCCTAAAATTATTTATTTGTATTGACACAGGGTCTCGCTACATTGCCCAGGCTGGTCCCGAACTCCTGGATTCACTGATTTCCCACCTCAACCTTCCAAGTAGCTGGGATTACAGGTATGTGCCACCTGCATCCAGTTTTTTTAGATTCTTTTTAACTACTGTGTACCACTTTACTATATGAACATATTATAGTTTATTCTGTTGATGCATACTTAGGTTCCTTATTTTTCCCCTTTACAAACAGGGCTGTGATGAACATTATTATACATGTCTCCTTGGGCACATTTGAGACCTTCTCTAGGGTATCTACATAGTGTGGAACTGCTGGGTCAGAATTTACAGCATCTTCCACCAGATAATGCAAAACCACTTGCCAGAATGACTGTACCAATTTATACTCCTTCCTGCAAGTGTCTAAGATTTTAATACTCCCCATTCTTGCCAAACTTATATAGTCAGACTGTTAGATTTTTGCCACTGTGATGGGTATGGGTGTAAAATGGTATCCCATGTTTGTTTCAATTTGCATTTCCTCAGTGGCAGGTGAAGTCAAGCAACTTTTTATGCCTTTTGGCCATTTGGGCTGCTTAACTACCCTGTTTATATCCCTCCATTAGTTTATCTTGTTCTTAGTGATTTTTAGGAATTCTTTGTGAATTTTGGGTATAAATCCTTTCTCGGACATATGCATTACAAATGTTTTTCCTCAATATAAGCTCTCTTAACTTGGTTTGTGGTGCATTTTCTTGCTTTCTAGCTTTAAATTTTATATAGACAAATATATCAGTCTTTTCCAGATTTTTTCTATCTTGTTGAGAAAATCCTGGTCACGTATATTTTCTTACAAGAGTTTTAAACTTTTGCTTTTTCAATACTAGATTTTCATTCATTTGGAATTGATCTTTATGTATGATGTGAGTTAGGAATTCAATTTTATTCTTTTCTATATGGATCCCAATTGTCCCATCCCACTGATTTGCAGTGCTACCCGTCATACATAAAGTTTCCAATAGGCATAGGTATTATTTTCAGCTCTCTATTTGACTGATCTACTGTCTAACCATGCACCTATACCACGGTGTCTTTATAATAACCATAATATTAACAACCATGACTTTATAATGAATCCTGATATTCTTAAAATTGTCTTGGCCATTCTTTTTTTTTATTAGAAATTTCAATGTAGAATCTTGGCTATTCTTGACCCTTTGTTTTTCTATATAAATTTCATGATAGTTTGTCAAGTCCCACATAAAACCTTATTTAGATTTTGATTGGAATTTCACTGTATTCATAAAATTTACTAGAAGAATCACCATCTTTATGGTTTCAAGTTTCCTCTTTGTGAACATGGTGGCCTCCATTTCCTCATGTCTTCTTTAATGTCTTTTTATTATATGTTGTAAATTTCTCCATAAAGATCTTGTACATGTTTTGTCTTACTGCTAGGCACTTTAGGTTTTGGGGGTTTTTTTGGTGGCATTGTGGATTTTTAAAATTAGATTTTCGAGTGGTTATTCATGGTATATAGGAATGCTACTGACTTTCCAGGCTGCTCTCAGAACCACTAACCTTTCTGTGGTCAAAAGCATTTGGAGTCTCAAATGCATTATGGTGAGTGAAAGCAGCAAACTCAAAGGGTGACATGTGTTAATGACTCCATTTATATGCTCTTTCTTTCTTTTTTTGTTTTTTGAGATGGAGTCTCACTCTGTCACCCAGGCTGGAGTGCAGCGGCACAATCTCAGCTCACTGCAACCTCCATCTCCTGGGTTCAAGCTATTTTCCTGCCTCAGTCTCCTGAGTAGCTGGGATTACAGGCGTGCACCACCACGCCCAGCTGATTTTTGTATTTTTAGTGGAGACGGGGATTCACTATGTTGGCCAGGCTGGTATACACTCTTCTGAAAAAGGGAAGTTTACAGGGAGAAAAACCAGATAAGTCGTTGCCAGGGTTAGATGGGGAGGTGGGAGGTTGACTCCAAGAATGTGAAGGAATTTTGGGGAGGGATGGAGCTGCTGCATACCTGACTGTAGTGCTGTTTACACAACTGTATAAGTTTGCCCAAACTCAGAATTAAAACCCACACTAAAAAGAGTGAATTTTACCAATTTCACCACTATACACCTGACCTTTAAAAAAACCAAAGCATTCAGAGGAATTCACACTCACAAGTGAGGTGTGTCGTGGCTCTCCAAAAGTGGATCAAGTTGACCTGAGCATCAGCCTCCAAGCTCTGAGACAATCAGTACCTTCCTGATGTCAGAAGGTCCATGTGTGGCAAAACAAGCCTTCCCAAAACCATAATCCATCTCCAAGACCCACTGATCCTCTAGCCCTGAAAGGACTGTCTCAGATACGCTGTGGGCCTGGGATCTAAGTGCTTGAGAAACTCTGACCTTTACCATACTGCCCCAGGGAACATCGTCACTCACGATGGTTCTCTAGAAGCTTAATCTGGGAAAAGAGATCCTCCGTCTGAGCACACAGCTCAGGTTCCCATAGCACAGCAAACCACTTGGGCTTTGGTTGCCATGGGTCCCAACCCCTGGGCTTCTGCTTACTCACAGTGACTTTCTAACAGGCTGGAGGGAGAAAATAGGAAAACAGCAGAACTGGCCCACTATGCATTTTGGTTCCCTAAAGACTGTATTATTGTGACTTATAAGCCATTTATTTTTGAGTGCTCACTTTTAACCTTCATGTGAGACAGGTATTATCATTTTCCTCATAATAATGAGAAAACAGGTTTAGTGAAAATAAATAATTGAGTCTCACAATTAGGGGAGGAGGCCAAAGTCAAACACATGTCTAACTCCACTGCCCATCTCCTCACTGCTATGACACACTGCCTTCCTGACTCTGCAGTACATGGCTGAGAGTCTGCAGCTGGTCTCTGAATGAATGAATGAGGAGTAGGAGAGTGGGAGGAAGACTGCTGCCTGCTTCGTTGCCTAATGAAATTCCACTCTGGCCCTGAATTATAGATTTACTGACAACAGGTGACAGTATAATTTTAGGGTTTCAAGCACATAAACTGTTCACATAAACGAGGTTCTCTCCCGACCTGAGCTGATCTTGGGAAAACAGAAACGAGACATGTTCTTCTTTTTCACCTTGGCATGTGATTCTGCCAGCCTCTCTGTAGTCTTTCCTTTCCCAGTTGGCTTCAGACCCTGCTCCTCTCTGCAGATTTGAGAGAGTGAACACATACACAACTCTTCCTTGGGTAACCCACCTCACAAACATCTCATTTGCTTATTTCCTCATCTGATCTGCACTGTACCCCTCCGAGACAATGGGATTACTTTCCCAGTTTACAAATAAAAAAAACTGAGCCTCAGAGTAGTTGAGGGATATTCCAAAGCCCTTCTCCTATCCAACAAGACGCAAACCCAGGCCTCCTGTCTCCACGTCCCTGGCCATTCCCCGTTCCATACTGCCTTTCTTAGCATGAAGAGGCAGTTGCATTACTTATTTAAAGCTGTCTGTAATGTGTGCTGCAAAAATCCCATTTTAAGTTGGATTTTTATGCTCCCAAACCCAACTTAGGAAAGCACAAAACAGAAAAGTCTGATGCAAGCAGGAACAAACATTCTGTAAATTTCCAATTGATACTGTTCCACTCCACAATCCAATCCACACAAATCCCTCAACCACAAATGTCTGCCTAAATCTGTTGTTTTTGTTTGTTTTTAAGTCTTAATTGTAGAGATTCCTATTCTTAAGCAACCCAGCTTTATTGTGTGTGGTAGAAAGAGGCTGGGCTTTGACTTCAGACCTGAGTTTGAATCCAGCTCCAACCCTGACTAGCTGTGGAGTGGCAAGCATGCTTCTTAACTACTCTGAACCAGTTTCCTTGAGTACAGAGACCAAAAACACCTACTTTCAACAGCCACTATGCAGATTAAATGAGGAGACTGTAGGTACAAATTTAACTTACCAGAGACACTCTAGATGAATGACAAATATCAGTTCCCCTCCCTTCTACAGAAACAGTAACTGCAAATGCCAATTCTTTTAACCACAAAATGTTTTTCATTCAATCATTAAATATGTGCTGAGCACCTACTGTGTGCCCTGGGCCATCTGATAGGAAAGGCAGGCAGCAAGCAGATAATTATACAAATAACTGGTTATTGTCATCACAATAATTGTGATGAGTCCTGCTGAGTCTGTTTTGAAGAAGAGAGAAGATTCACTTACAATGACTGTCCTGTGGTTGCCTATTTCCCAGCTTATGCTCCCCTCCCCAGACCTCAGAGCCAGAGACCTGACCCCCAGCCAGAGGGTTCTGTGCTGAAGGGTTATGGTTTTCTCCTTCTGGTGGGCTTCATCTAAAGCCCCCTACATGGTATATATTTAGGCTGAGAAAAGGACTGCTGGGCCTTCCTATGTGCACCATGAAAAAGGGGTGGGGGGAAAGAGTGAGGAGCTCTTTGAGATTGACTGGCAGGTGGTCAGCGGGTATCTGTGGGGTTTTCTGGGGACTTGTCTGCTCAGCTGGTGCCCTCCTCGCTCTCACACAGCAGGTACTGATGTCCTCTGCCAGGGCCCAGCCAACTTTGAGTGCATGTGTCGGTCTGGCAGAGGGTATCAAAAGCCCTGGGGAAGGCCATGGGAACAGGACAAACCTTTACTAATGCCCACCAGGCACTGTACAAGGCACTGATCCCCACAGAAGTCAGGTGAGGCAACTACTATCCATTCCCTCTTACACAGGAGGGACCTGGGACATTAAGAGGTTAAATTCATTCATTCATTCATTCATTCATTCATTTGTTTGTTCGTTCATCCAACAGACATTTATTCAGTCCCTACTCTGTGTCAGATTCTGAGGCCAACACAAGGTCACAGAGCTGCTAACTGAATGAGCTGGATTCAAATGCTCTATCTGGCTTCAAACTCTGCTCTTCTAATCCAACTTGATACCTCAAAGTCAGAGGTTTTATCTTCAGGGAAGTCACAACATGGCCGGGGTGCCAGGTGTATCAGAACAAGAAAGGTGGCAGGCAAAGCTGCGTGTGCTAAGTATGGAAGGAAAGACAAATGATGATGGGCAAAACTACGGAGATAGAAAACAGATGAGCTGCCAGAGGCTGGCAGTGGGGTAGAAGAAGATGATGACTACAAAGGGGCATGGAGGAAGTTTTGGAGGCAATGAACCTGTTCTATATTTACACTGTGGTTGTGATTACATGACTGTATGCACTTGTCAAAGCTCACAAAACTATACAGTAAAAAGGGTGAATTTCACTGTGTGCAAATTATTAGGAATTTATACAGAAAATTTAATCAGGAAAATCAAGATTTGAATTCAAATTATACAGGAAAGTTCAGGTTTTTCCAGCCCCCTCACTCAGCTGTACTGAGGCTGCATCGCTTCTGTTTATAGTCCTATGACACCATGTGAACAAACACTGCCAAGTGAGGCTGGTCTTATACGTTTAGTTACTGATTTCCCCATCTGTTAAAATCAGCCAAGTTAACAGAGTAGAATGGTTATGTCTCAAAAAGATATTTGCATACCCATGTTCATGGCAGCATTACTCACAATAGCCAAAAGATGGAAGCAATCCAAGTGACCATCAACAGATGAATAAATAATGAATATTATTCATCCTTTCAAAGGAAGAAAACGCTGACACTTGCTAAGATGGATGAACTATGAGTATATTATGCTAAGTTAAATGGGCCAATCACAAAAAGGCAAATACTGAGTGATTACATTTATAAGTGGACTACTCTAGATAACTCAACTCCTTAACTAGATAAGTAAAACTCATAAAAATAGAAAGTAGAATGGTGGTTGCCACAGGCTGGGGGGATATAGGGAGTTGATAATGGGTGTGGAGTTATAATTTTCAGTTTTGCAAGATGGAAGCTTCTGGAGATTGGTTGTACAACAATGTGCAATAAATATACACTACTGACTGTACATTTAAAAATGGTTAAGATGGTAAATTTTATGTCATGTGCTTTTATCACAATTAAAATAAAATAAATTCATGACATTTAGGAACCAAAAAAATATCTGCATGAATATTTGTTCAAAATCATCCATAGTTAAAAATTTTATAAAAACAGAATTTACTTAGTATAGGTCATTAGTTCATTTAATCCATAAAAGATTACTTCTAAAAAAGTTATAAGAAAACAGAATATATAATCTTTCAATTTATATCTGTTTGATGCGACAATGCTATTTTGTAAAATTTACTAAAATTTTCAAACATCTCAATTTATTCAATCCATTGTAATGACATTTAAGATGAGTGAAAATTAACAAGTAATGCAAGTAAATATATTTTTTACTGGTTCTGGTTGTAGAGGAAAAAACATTGCTGTATATTATGTTCTATTAAGAAGTTACACTATTAAAATGTTTCTGAGATTTATATTTTAGATAGATAGATAGATAGATAGATAGATAGATAGATAGATAGATAGGTTTCTAACTTGTTCCAGAAAGGATCTGAGATGGCTTGGTTATAAATAATTGTGTGGCTCATAAGAAATTACCATGATTCCAGGCCACTGGGTTTGTCTGGCAGCAGAAGGGCTCAGAACTGCTAACAAAAGCACGGTTGTTACCTCACTAGAAGGGGAGGGTGGGACTATGTCCCACCTGCCCACAGAAGAACAAGGATTGTGTGAAACAAAGGATGTTTGGCTCAGGTCCAGCATGGCACCCTGATTAGAACACAAAACCTATTTTAAAAAAAAAGAAAAGAAAAGAAAAAAAGCAAGCTGGAAAACAGCAGCTTTACTTCAATGAGCAAAATTTAAATTCTGAGAGAATTTTCAGCACGTGTCTTAATTATGAGTGAGTCAGGACAATCAGGGAACAAATGCAGCTCGCAGCTGCTAAAGTGCGCTTCTGGCTGGAAGTTCTGGACCTTGCTCCCGAGTTGGCCAACCTGGGGAAGAAGGAAGCAGAGAGACTGGGGCGGGAACCCACCGTATGTACCTCTCGCACACCTGCCCTGCAGATGACTTAGGAGAGCCACTGCTGGCTGCACAGCTCCAAGGGCCCTGGCCACCATGTGCAATACAGACCCTGTGTAAGGAAGGTGAGGTCCTCCTTTGGATAACAATTTTTTATGTTTGATGCTTTGAAGGGCAATCCTCGGTAATGCTCTAAAAAGTATGGTGGAATACTGCACAATAGTTAAAAAGTTAAAATATAACAAACAGCTGCTTTGTGTTTTGTTTTTGTTTTGAGACGGAGTCTTGCTCTGTCACCCAGGCTGGAGTGCTTCGGTGTGATCTCCACTCACTGCAAGCTCCGCCTCTGCAAGCTCCGCCTCCCGGATTCAAGCAATTCACCTGCCTCAGCCTCCCGAGTAGCTGGGACTACAGGCGCCCACCACCACGCCCAGCTAATTTTTTGTGTTTTTAGTAGAGACGGGGTTTCACCGTGTTAGCCAGGATGGTCTCGATCTCCTGACCTCGTGATCCGCCCGCCTTGGCCTCCCAAGGTGCTAGGATTACAGGCGTGAGCCACCGCGCCCAGCCCACAGCTGCTTTGTTTAGAAAATAAAGATATTTCTCTCAACTACCACAGAATGAGAATTCCTCTTTAACAACTGTGCCATTTGCTTTTGCAGATCTGAAGAGAATAGATAAAACTAGGTCACTAAGGAGAAAAAAATTCCAAGACAATAACAGAAAGAGGTAGCTCTGAGCATGGAAATGTAAGAAGTTTTATTTGCTTCAGAATGAAAACAATATACATTCTTTCCATTTATGAGCCTCAAATGGCCACAATCATAGGTGACCATAAGGGAAAGTCCAAGTGAAGAATGTCCTATTATCCAGGAATCAAGACTAAAAAGGAAAGCTTCACACTTTGGGGAAAAAAAGTTACCAGTATAGCACTCCTCAGTAATTAGCACTGGTTACAATACAATGCACGCTCTGTACACAGCTTTTAGCAGTTTATATCCATTTGCACATACAAAAACTCTACGAAGTAGACATGATTATAATTTCCGTTTCACAGACTGGAAATGTGGATCAGAGAAGTTAAATAGTTGGACTAAGGTCACACACCAAGTTTGTAGCAGAGCCAGAACTAGAATGTGAGATTTCAAAGCTTAGGTACTAAACCATGGATGCTCCAACTTCTTTGATCGCACAAAATTAGTAAAATATTTTGATCACATGTATTTGTATTACCACAAGTCCTTGGCTTTGCTGAGGAAATACTTTTAAGTCATCATGAGGACTGGTTTAAAATTGGATTGTCTAAGGCCGGGCATAGTGGCTCATGCCTGTAATCCCAGCACTTTGGGAGGCTGAGGCAGGCGGATCACCTGAGGTCAGGAGTTTGAAACCAGCCTGGCCAATGTGGCAAAACCCTGTCTTTACTAAAAATACAAAAATTAGCCAGGAGTGATGGCAGGCACCTGTAATCCCAGCTACTCAGGAGGCTGAGGCAAGAGAATTGCTTGAACTGGGGAGGTGGAGGTTGCAGTGAGATGAGATCACGCCACTGCACTCCAGCCTGTGCAACAAGAGTGAAACTCCGTCTCAAAAAAGAAAAAAAATTAGATTGTCTAATACATCAGTTCATTTAACAAGCCTCATGCAAATTGTAACACAACTTGGGTTCTGCTGAAAACAATCAAAACAGCGAGGGACCGTGTTGCTCCCTCCATGTCGTGGATCTACCCCCTCCCTCAGCATCTCCCACCAGAACATGTGCCACGTTGTGCACGTCAGGCATGCAGACCCAGAGCCCCTTGCTGAGGGCCTACTCCAGGCAGGCACTGTGCTACCAACCACCCACATGGTCTCCTTCCATACTCAACATCCAGAGGCTTCCCCTGCCCAGAGAGCTGGCCAGCACTTGTGACGAGGGTGTGGCCCCTGTTCTGCCTGGCTGTGAAGCCACTCCAAGCTGCACCATGGAAGGAGGGACCACCCAGGAGAGCTTGGAGCTTGGGGACCTTGGTGCTGGTCTTTGCTATACCACTTACTAGACATGGGTTCATGGACAAGAGCCCAGAAGCCTCACTTGTTTTATCTCCTCTGCAAAATGTGGTGTCAAATGGGATAATATACGTTATGATACTTGAAAATGGAAATGCTGCACAGACTTGCAAAAATGCTTTTCCTACAAGGGAAGCTCTGACCAGAGGACCATGGACTATGGTGTCCCACCACTGGAAGGGCTGACATAGGAGCCATCATGGGAGTCATTTACCCAGTCCTGGGGTGGAGTTGGTACAAGCCCTGGTACCTAAAAGATGCAGGGATGCCACCTAGCTGGGAGACCAAGAACAGCCACTACCTGCAAGAGAGATTCTCCCCGGGGGTTGGAGGGAGGAAGAGAACACTTACTTTTCCAAGGTGGATGTTTTCTGAAGCCATGGGGAGGAGCGTCACTGTCTCAGTGGAATCATAAAAGCAACCTACCTCCTCATTCACTGGTTCTGGGTGTGAGGGAAATGCCTCTTCCCAGAAGACTCTGGGGGATCTCAGAGGATGCCTAAGGTCCAGCCTGGGTCCCTCTCAAAATAAAAAGAGAAAACAACTGACAAGTTCACACTGTTCCCTTTCCCTAGATGTGTTTGAGCCAAGAAGGCCTTACTATAAATAGTATAATTTGGCAAAAACTTCAGCACCATATAGGGTCGCATGCCCCACTTCCCACCCCAACTGGTCCATTAAGAAATGCCTGAGTTGAGGCATCGTCAGAGACATCCTGGGGGAAGTGGATAACCACAGTAACTAACTAGCAGTCTCCAACATTTTAGTGTAGAGTAGTTTAACAGCTCTGTGGCCACTGGCAGCAGGTAGGGAAGGGCATGCTAGGCTGTTTCCCTGGGTTGATGGATTGGTTGGTTTGGGGAATGGTGGAATTCAAGGAATGGGAGAAGTTTGGAGAACAGGGTGCTGGCTAAAGGTGCCTGGCCAGGACCCAGGATGATAGCACCAGGTCCCTGGGCATGGAAGGGCAGATGTGGCACAGGGATGGGCTCCCAACTGGGGGTCAGGAATCCTGGTTCCAGGTTCAGCTCTGATCCCAACAGGCTGGGTAATCTTAGGCCATCACACCCGCTCCCTGGATCTGTCTCTTCATTCTTTCATTCAGAAAACATTCACCTAGTGCCTACCAGTATGGGTGTGTAACACTGTTCTATTGCTGGTGAGGCAGGAGTGAACACATGAAGAGAGCACCGTGTCGAGTTCTGGGGTGCCCTCCCCTCCACAGCTCAAGCATTGTTTATCCCCATGCCTGCAGTCGGACCCAGGTCCAGCCCTGGCCTCTGCTGGGCTGTTTCTACCGTGTGGACGCTTTGAGCATGAACTGGGCCCTCTACCCTCCACCCTGCATCCAGAGATAGTGTGAGGATGTTAGTAAACACTCAAACAACGGTGCGCAGAGCAAAGCTGTTATGGGGCCAGCAGAATAGTCATGGACAGTCACCCTTGCCATGGTACATTCCTGGAAATTGCAGCAGGAAGGAGAATGGTCAAAAGGGGATCGCTTTTTGCTGTATCCCTTTGTCACCAGCAGATGGGAATCCTGGGTCAGCAAGGCAGAGTGCTGACCGAGCTTTCCTCTGGATGGTGGAAAACAAAGAGTGGATAGGCTGGGGAGAAAAACAGGAAAACGGGTGTGTTTTCATCTTTGTGGCTGTGCAGATGAGCAATCAATGAAGCAAAGCTGGGATGTTAAGAACTGACTCTATTCTTGATAGAGCTCAAAAGATACCATTGTTCCCTACTGCCCAAAGAAAAACGTCCAAGCTGCTTATGTTGATATCAAGGGCCTCTGCCACCTAGCTGCAGGTGTCCCACCAGCTCCTTGGGCCCTCTGCTAATTCCTGTCTACTCATGCATTTCTGCCACTGTGCTCAGTCATCATTCTCTTGGCCTGCAGTGCTCTGCCCCCAACTCTGTCTGCCAAAATCCTATGCATTCTTCTAATGCATTGGACTAGAAGCCTTGGCACTACTGACATTTGGGGCCAGACAATTCTTTGTTGTGAGGGGCTGTCCTCAGCATTATCCCTGGGCTTTAACTATTAGATGACCCCACTCCAAGTGTGGCAACCAAAAACATCTCCAGACACCACCGAATGTCCTCTCAGAGCAAAACAGCCCCTGCTTGAGAACCACTGTTCTATGCCTAGATCCAGGGCTATTCTTTTTATAAAACCTTTTCCTGAGCTCCTTAGAACAAGGGTTATATGTGTGCCTTCTACACACTTGGTAATGTTCTATTAGCACTTAACTAGCCTTCTTCCAGCTTGCATTATGTGGTTATATCATACCTTCCTCATTAGGCTACAAGTTCCTTAAGAGCAAGGACAATACTGCGTTCATCTTATACAAGCCACAACACCATCTAGAGTAGCAATTAATATTGGCTACTATTTATTGGCTACTAATAAAGTAGTTATTGGCTACTAATAAACTATGGTTTAACTTCTTACTGTTAACATAAGCACAACTCATCTATGTTGATTGTAGAAAAATTTTAAAATATGTAAAAAATAAAACAAAAATCAAAATCATCCACAATCCAACACCCAGCAACAACAGTAGTTAAAATACTGGTAGACTGAATATGGCCCTCTAATACAAGTACACCAGTAAAATACCCTCCAATCTTCCTTCTGTGAGTGGAGAATCCAAGGAAAATATCTGCAGCAGAGGCAGCAGCCCAGGGCCAGACTGACATGGCCAGGGGGGACCATGAGAGCCATCTTGTCCACCCCAGCAGATGCTTGGATCTGCTTTAGAATGCTGTTCTGGACTGTTTGAACCTCTGCACATACAGGAACTTGCTATCATCCCACGCAGGCTGGTCCAGCTTGGGCCACCCTAAGGAGCTCTTTGTTTTACTGACTTAAAATTTGTTACCTGGGATTTCACTCCTTGGTCCAGTCCAAATTCTGCCTCTTTAGCCAAATCGGTCCACTCTCTCTATTTCCCATCGACAGGTCCTGCCCTCCTTCCTCTGCGCTGAGAACTGTGCCTCTCATCCACTAGGATGGGCCCCAGAAGCCAGTTTCATACCACACAACGCTTCCAGGCCCTCAACAGTCAGGTTCTGTCTCACAGGAATTGGCATTGGTACTGAGAAACTTGAGTAATTCCTGCTGGATACTTGAACTAAAGGAATATAAACTCAAGAGTGGGGACTGCAACTGTGCATGGCCGTGCTTGGCCATATACACATGAAAAGTAGAAGTCTAGGGTGAGAGAGAGTCAGAGAGAGTACCAGACACACAGAGAGAGTCGAGCAGATGTGGCCAAAGAAACAGATAAGTGAGACCAGGGCCCAGGGAAGGCTTCCCAACTGCCTTCCAGGTCCCAGGGCCGCATGACTCAGCTGCAACTCCCTGCCTCTTTACAATAAAGAGTTGTTGTTTTGGCTCATGCTAAGGCCAGTTGGTTTTATCTATCTTGGTTCATGTAACCAAAACCAAAAAAGCTTAAAGAGGACTTGACTCAGATACAGCCCTCAAAACCTCTGACAATGGATGCCCTAAAACTTGGGTCCCCTTAGCCTTCTCTCCATCTTGAACTTGCATCCACTGGGGCTGGCCAAGTCCCCTCTGATGAAAAATCATGCATCTCTGTGTACAAAGCCCTTCACGCCTCTGGGTACCACTGACAAACCCAGGTTGCGCTGGCACCAAAAGGTGAGGATCCAATTCAGAAGCTGTCAGAGCCAAGAATCCAATTAAGCAGTATCCAGATGTGAATGAGGTGACCACCAAACGTGTATGTTTGCGTAAAAAGTCACATCACACCAACTAAATACAAGCACCCACAGTGAAGATGTGAGACCAGAGAAGCTGGGAGCTGTCCAACTCCTTCATCCGCATTCTCTTTGAAGCTCCTTGGAGCGGGCTCTAAGTGCTTCTCAGAGCTGATCACAGCACCAGCGGAAACCACAGCAGGCTTTTCCATGGGCATACAGCCCCCACTTCCCTAGGAGCAGATAATGGCAGCCAGCTTGCAAGGTCTTCCTTCCAGTTCCTGCCAGGGTCAGGGGCAAAACAACTCCCTGCATACCGGGCAGGGCATGGGCTTTGCAGTCAGACATAGATTCTCATCTCATTTCTACCACGTATTAGCTTTATGACTTTGATTAAGTTACTGAACTTCTCTAAGATTCAGTCCCCTCATCTATAAAAATAACTAACAACAATTCCTATTTTGAGGATTAAATGAAACAAGAGTTTTCAAGAGACCAGCGTGACAATACCAGAAATACTAGTTTCCTATCTCTCGTCATGTTTATATTAAACTCTTTCATTCATTTTCAAAATTTACTAAATGACAATGTAATGTCAATTTTAAAATATCATTTATGAGAGAGCATCCTCACCACATATGATCAGTTGGAAAATAACAACTTGATTAGGGCTCACTTTATTTTTCAAAGTGTCCTCTAAGTTGCATCAATTCCATAAATGTCGAAGTCAGCAAAAATAAGCGAGAGTATACTTAACACTTCAACAGATGCACCTGTCCAAGAGGCTGCAAGTTTGGTTCCCAGGCAGGTCCAATTCCCTGTAGGCAGATGACTAACCTCTTAAAACCCACATTTGCTGCTGGGATTAACTGGCCAGGAGGCCCCATGCAGATGAATGCCCAGTCATGACCTCCCCCCACCATGACAGCAACAAATGCTTCATCCACACTCCCTTTTCCTTTAATTCCCCATAGGCTTTATAAAGCCAGCCCAGCTTCCTGAAGCTTGACTTCCTCATTAATGGATGTGCAGCTAATGGAGTGCTGCCTGCAGCTTGTGCCCAAAGGTCACCAAGCAGCTTCCTTCCCTCCCCTATTCCAGAAAGCTGTGCAGTCTCTTCAGGAGGCTCCCGGGTCCCAGACTCCAGCCTGGAAAAGGACAGGGAGGCTGAGAACACGGGCCCTTGTCACTGAGGGCCAACCTCCCAGCCTCTAGGGCTGCAATGGGACAGGTTTTTCTCTACAACCTGGCTCCTATCACAAGAAAAGCTGCCGTTTCCTCCAAATGGAAACAACAGCCAATGAAGCCATTGGTGCTTCGGTTTTTTGCTTCTATCTCTTTAAAGAATTCACAAACCCATCCATCAAAAACTGAGGATGAGAGTAGAGACTGGCACAGTCTGGGGAGACAATTTGGCATTATTTCTCAAACCTTAACAGTGTTGCTATCCTCTGATCCAGTAATTGCACTTCTGGGAATCTATCCAAAAGAAATCATCAGAGGCAAACAAAGATTAACACATAAATATGTTCCATGGTGTTCTTATGTCCAAAGCTGAAAATGATATAAACATCCAACAATAAAGAAAGAATTGGCTATAAAACATTAAAAGGTCACTAAAATCTTATCTTAGGACTCTTGTGGGCAATAAAGTATTAATATATTAATGTTAAGTGGAAATGCAAGATACACAGTAACTTCAATCATAAACTTTTTGTATTCAAAAAGTCTTAAGGACCCCTCCAAAATGTATCTCCAGGTAATGGAATTATGAGTAATTTTTATTTTCTTCTTTATCCTTTCCTTTTCTTCCCCATCCTATTGACCACAGTAGCATTTGACCCTTCATCCATGACAGATCCTTTGTACTGTCATGATACAAAGATGAGTGGGACAGTCCTGCATCTCACTGAGTTCAAGTGTAGCTACGGTCCACTCGAGCAGATCATCACACCCATAATGAATGCTCTGAAGGCTGAAGCTGAATTGCTTTTTAAAAAAATATTTTTATTTTTTAGAAATGGGGTCTTGCTCTGTCACCCAGGCTGCAGTGCAGTGGCACCTTCTTAGCTCACTGTACCTTCGAATTCCTAGGCTCACGTGATCCTCTGACCTCAGCCTCCTGAGTAGCTAGGACTACAGGAGTACACCACGATGCCCGGCTAATTGTTTTTTTTTTTTTTTTTTTTTTTGGACAGAGTCTCGCTCTGTTGCCCAGGCTGGAGTGCAGTGGCATGATCTCGGCTCACTGCAAGCTCCGCCTCCCAGGTTCAAGTGATTCTCGTGCCTCAGGCTCCTAAGCAGCTCAGACTACAGGCCTGCATCACCAGCCTGGCTAATTTTTTTTGTATTTTTAGTAGAGACAGGGTTTCACCATGTTGGCCAAGCTGGTCTCAAATTCCTGGCCTCAAGTGATCCTCCCAATTCAGCCTCCCAAAGTTTTGTGATTACAGACATGAGCCACCACGCCTGGCTGCCTGGCTAATTAAAAAAAAAAATTGTATAGAGATGGGGTCTTGCTATGTTTCCCAGGCTGGTCTCAAACTCCTGGGCTAAAGTGATCCTCCTGCCTTGGCCTCCCAAAGTGCTAGTGTTACAGGTGTGAGCCCCACACCAGGCCTAAGGCTGGACTTCCAAATCAGCAACTTCTAAGGGCAGGAGATGTTCCAGCAGATCTTGAAAGGTGAGCAGGGATTTGGTAGGTTCTGGAAGAAGGTAGGGTAGGGGAGGCATTTCAGGAGGGGAGAACAGCATGAATAAACCCCAGAAACATGAGAGAGCATGGTGGGTTTGCAGCTACAAATGGCTCAGTGCAGCTGGGTCAGGCAGAAGCTAGGCTGAGGGGAGGAATCACCCCCAGAGCACATCTGACAGCATCCATCCAAAGGGTGAGAAGAGGAGGAAAAACTGAAGAGGAAGGTGGCTAGGCTGGTGACTGAAAATATGAAGCCGACCTACTAGCACAGGGTGCGACACTTGGTAGATATGTAGTAAATAGGAATGATTGAATGAATGTACGAGTGGTGAAGGTACAGCACAGAGGTTACAAAAGCAGTTTACAACCCAGGCTGTGAAGGGAACCAGAGAGTTGAAGATCCCCTCTAAGGAAGGTGGGTGAAGAGCCATTCGCACAGGTGCTCTTATGGTCTCCCAGGACTCATCAATATTCCAGCAAAACAAAGGAACAATTTCTGTAAAACCATTAGCAACCAAGCCCTCGATTTCACAGTGAAGAAAGATGAATGTATCCAAATTTGTCACAGCAGTAACTAGATAAAAGATGAGTCTACTCTGGATAAGGGGAAAGACTACGGATGCCACCACAATTCCCTTCCTTCAGGTTCAGCTGCCCGAACTCTGTTGTTTTATTTCCAATCGCAGACTCTCAGGGTGGGAGGGGGACTTTAAAGCTTATCTACCTACCCCCTAAAAGAAAAAAGCAATGCTTCAATCCTTTGCATCCACAAGCTCCTCCCTTCTAATTTTCATTTAGCAGACACAAACCCGCATTCCCCTCCCAAAGCCGCTATCATTGCTGGAGTGCTTGTTAAGAAGTTAAGCAAACAAAGACCATCTCCCTGCTCCAGCTTACATCAAGGATGAAAACAATGCCCCTGAAACACAACCTGTTTGGCATAGCTATGCTGCCCAATCCCTCTGTTATAAAGACCACCCACCTTCACCCCCACCCCTGGGCACCCACCACAGGACTCTGTCTCCAGCTAGAGGTGATGTGACCAAAGTTGGGCCCAAAATGCTCTCAGATTTTTTTCCCCAGGAATATAGAATCATGGCTGAGATGTCTGCAGGTTACTTAAAACAAAGACTGTAAACTTAAGCAGCTATGGGGTGGCCACATCTGGCCAAATGCTCACCAGAAGAGAGACGGATGTCTCCAGAGAGAAGATTGAAACAGACAGAAGCAGAGACACTTCATGCTAAGACAGACAGGCAGACAGGCTCTATGGGCAAAGTCAAGTCTTCATTTTTTTTTTTTAAGCTTACCATTGGTACCTAGACGAGGTACCTTGTTAGATGTTCAACAGATATACAGATATTGGTTAAATGAATTAAAAGGGGGAAAGGAGAGAGAGACAGACAGACACAGAAGCTGTGTGGGTTCTGCGCCCTCATGAGGCCCAGATGGTCCCTCTAGTCTTAACAGTCCAGGAGCTGGGCCAGTATCCTTCCCATAAATGTCCTCGCTTGCTCAAGCTGGTGTGAAGCAGGCTTCTGTTACTTGCATCCAAAGGAATCTCCCTGAGACATCCCCAAGTTTGGCCCCAGCCCTCTGCCTTTCTGTGTACCCGTTTCCTCCCTCAGGGCAAGCCCCTGCACTCTGGTCTGCACCAGCTGAGCAAGCTCAGCATCCACATCAGCCCAGCTGCTCTCCTGTCTCTAACAGCCTGTGGGAGATTTCCTCTTGGATCACATATCCTTGCCTTAAGCCAATTTCCCTATTCCAGGAGCTCTCAAACTTGAGAGGCATGAAAATCACCAGGTGGGCTTGTTAAAACACAGATTGCCAGGCCCACCCCCAAAATGTCTGATTCAGCAGGTCTGAGGTGGGGCCTGAACATCTGCCCTTCTACCAAGTGCCCCTGGTCCCCCACTGAAGACCCCTGCCCTCTGTACCACCATCTGCCACTCAGATTTGCCTCTTCCTTCCCTCCCTTGGCACCTGCAGCCAGCAGGCTCCAGGCTTTGGACTTTTCCTCTGTAGGAACTTTTCTCCTCAGCCCTTCCTTATTACTCTCACAACTCCAGCCCTCCTCATTGCATGCCCGGAGGACTCGAGAAACTTCTAACCAGCTTTCCTCCCATTTTGGCTCACCTAGCGCCTCACTGCCAGATTCCTCTGCCTGAGGTACAGTTCTCCTCGGGCCACTCGCCTGCTCGTAACCTTTGGCTATTACGAAAAAGGCTGCTAAGAATATTGGAGTAAAGTCTTATGTGGACATATGTTTTCATTTTGCTATGAAAGAGGATAAGTATATATTTAACCTAATTTTAAAACTGCCAAACTTTTTTTTAAGTGGCTGTACCATTTCATTCCCTCCCTCCCCATCACCTTTGAATGACACCATATGGACTATTAAATTTTTTCCAGATTCCGGGGCTTGACTTTCCAACATCTTGCAATCCAGCCCATACCTGCTGATCCAGCCAAAACCAACATACCACATAAATTCTAACCCAGTCTTCAGTATGTTCATGCTGTGTCCTCATTCTCTCTTAACCCTTCTGAAATCCCAAATCAGGTCTCTCTTCTGTGAGACCTTCTCCACCACCCTA
Organism: Homo sapiens; assembly: GCF_000001405.40. Taxonomy (NCBI): domain Eukaryota; kingdom Metazoa; phylum Chordata; class Mammalia; order Primates; family Hominidae; genus Homo; species Homo sapiens. The sequence goes on from NC_000002.12 coordinate 86,306,339, forward strand.
GCCTAAAAACACAAAGGCTCCTCTTCCCAAAACACAGAATACACAAAAATATTTGAGTCAAGATAATCTAGCTCTCCATCCCACCCTTTTCTTGAAAAAGTATGATAATAATAAAATACTCCCAGTTTGCTCAAACTGTTACCTAGTCTTTACTCATCCATCAGAAAAAAACACAAAGACAATGGAAGGATTTTATGTAAAACTATCTACAGTACTGCAATAAGCAACATTTTTCCAGAGGCTGGGGACAAGCAGTTACTGTAACCTTATCAAATGAAAGAACAAAATGCATTTCCCTGTCCTCTGATGAGCGTTATCTGATCTACAAATTGGTGTTTGGTAGTAGTTCTCCTAACAGATCTCAAAGACCCTAATAGAACACATGTATTTACTCTTACACATTACTTATTCAGAGGCCAGGGCAGAGATTCTTACAGGCCTCACACTGCTGGTCCCCATGGTAGGGGGAATAAATCAGTACTCTGTGTGAAAAGCAACATGATGGCATGTACCAAAAGTCCTTTGATAGTTTCCTGTTGGGAGCCAAAAGAAAAAAAAAAAAACCCTTTTGAAAAGCCACACCTGGCCAGGCACAGTGGCTCATGCCTGGAATCCCAGCACTTTGGGAGGCTGAGGTGGGCGGATCACCTGAGATCAGGAGTTCGAGACCAGCCTGGTCAACATGGTGAAACCCCATCTTTACTAAAAATATAAAAATTAGCCGGGCATGGTGGTGACCGCCTGTAGTCCCAGCTACTCGGGTGCTGAGGCAGGAGAATCGCTTGAACCTGGGAGGTGGAGGTTGCAGTGAGCCGAGATCACGCCATTGTACTCCAGCCTGGGCAACACAGCAATACTGTGTCAAAAAAAAAAAAAAAAGTCACACCTATTTATCCATGTTCTACTTTATGGAATCTAGCATAAGGAAAAGACCCCAAAAAACAAATGAGTAGACCATACCATTACCTATAGTCACACACACAAAATCAGAAACAACCTAAATGTCTAACAAATAGAGGCATGGCTCTTACATTTCCTTTATTTATTTATTGTCCATTTGTGCCCAAAAGGATTTATGATACACTTAAGTAAATTGTGTTCAACTTACTAGAATGGATACAGCCATTAAGAATGATATTTAGGGCTGGGTGCAGTGGCTCATGCCTCTAATCCCAATACTTTGGGAGGCCAAGACAGGAGGATCACTTGAGCCCAAACGTTTGAGACCCGCCTGGGCAAGAGTGAGACCCTGTCTCTACAAAAAATGTAAAAATCAGCTGGGCGTGGTGGCACATGTCTGTAGTCCCAGCTTTGCAGGAGGTTGAGGCTGCCATGAGCCGTGATGGCGCCACTGCACTCCAGGTCTGGGCTACAGAGCAAGACTCCGTCTCAAAAAAAAAAAGACAAGAAAAGAAAAAAATGCTATTTACAAAATGTTTGAAACAGAAGACTTTCTATTACGTTACCAAGAGAAGTGAAATACAAAATTCTTAATATGTATAATTACAATAATATATTTTTACAAATTAAGTTGACAAATAGAAAACTAGAAGAAAGATTCTCTACAATGTTATTGGCAGTTGTGGTAGGATGATGGAAAGAGTGATAACATTTCCTTTCCATATAAATATTTTCCAATTAATTGGCTCATTTAAAAAACATGTCTTAAAATAAATATAGAAACTAAACAGGGGTTGTCAGGCATTCCCTATCATACAGCTCAGAGAAAATCACCTGTCCTTGAGATATAAATATGGGTCAGATCACTAGAACAAAAGGAAGATAAATGCAAAGAACTCACGGAGGCATGGGAAGATCCTGGCCATCAGCCAGTGCACACTGCTAAGAATCTCTTAGATGCAAGATCCAAAGGCAATAATGCAAGTGGTAAAGGCTGAGCTATTCCATTTGACAGCATTACAGAAAAAAGGGGGCAAGCATATTTGATGTGTGAATGGCACTTTTAATATGACAGAACACAGACCATGTTTTAAAAGGTTGATGCCCAGACTAGGCAACATGGTGAAACTCCATTTCTACTAAAAATACAAAAAAAAATTAGCTGGGCGTGGTAGTGCACGCCTGTAGTCCCAGCAGTCTCAGCTATTCAGGAGGCTGAGGTGGGACGATCGCTTGAGCATGGCAGGCGAAGGTTGCAGTGAGCTGAGGTTGCACCACTGCACTCCAGCCTGGGCAACAGAGGGAGTGGTAGAGGAGTAACAACTAGGATTTCTCCTTGTGGTTTCAGAACCGCCCTGGGTCTGCTTCCCTAAGGAGCTTGCCGTGACAACTGGAAGGGCATGTACAGCAGGGAACTGGTCTGAAGAGCTGGAGTGAGGCTTGAGCGCTGTCACTCACCAGTGGACCCTGGGCAGTCACTCAGCCTCTCTGCTCTTCTGTTCCTCACTTGTAAAGTGGGAAGTGTCTTGGTAGAGGTTCTTTTGGTTATAAGTAACAGAAATGGACTCAAACTGGCATAAGCAGTAAAGAGAATTTGTGGGGAGGACACGGGTGCAGGGAGGGTTTAGCATACAAACCCCAAGGCAGCTGGGCCTTGTAACAGTCTAGAACTAGGGACTGGAGAGTCCTGGAAGGCCAGGCCATGTGTCTGCCACCTCGGCATTCTCCAGTGTCTCCATCACTCCTCCTCCTCTGCTGACCCACCTCCCACACTGTCATGAATTTGTTTAATATAGGTGCTGCCTTGGCATCCACCTTTAGGCCTGACATGAGTTATCTGAAACACAGTAGCACTCTGTCACCTTTGGCCTAGTTAAAAATACCCCTCGCTGTGGGGGAATTACATTTCTCTCTCTCCAGCCCGCTCCTGTCACTCCCTGGGTGAGCTCCCTGCCACTTCCAAACTTCCCCTCGGCCTCCCGTCAGCACCCCTAACCTCTCTGGACCTGTAAGTAATAAATGTCTTCTCTTTCACACATTTTGGTTTCACCTCCTCACTGTATTTCACCTGACTGGCAGACCCAAACCTAACTTCCCCCTGGTCAAGGCTATCTTGGCTTACAGCCACTCTCAGGAGAGACCTGAAGACCAACTTTGAAAGAAATCACAACACACGTGCTCTTCATGTAAACTGCTCTTCAATCCACACGGCCAAACACGGCCTTCACACCTCTTGACTCTTACTCTTTACAGCTCCTGCCTCTTGAATTCGTCAGCTCAGGCTGCCATAACAAAAAACACTACAGACGGGATGGCTTAAACAACAGAAATCCATTTTCCCACAGCACTGGAAGCTGGAGGTCTGTGATCGGGTGCCAGCATGGTCAGGTTCTGGTGAGGGCTCTCTTCCTAGCTTGCAGACAGCCAGCTTTTGGCTGTGTCCTCACATGGTGGGAAAAGAGAGGCAGGAAAGCTCTCTAGTGTCTCTTCCTCTAAGGATACTAATCCCATCATAAAAGCCCTACCCTCATGATCCCATCTAAACTTAACTATCTCCCAAAGGCCGCATCTCCAAATACCATCACATTGGGAATCAGAACTTCAAAATACGAATTTGGGGGGGCAATTGGCTGCCTCTGAATCTAACGTCTGTGTTTCCAGGAGGGGGAAAATATAATTGGCTCAGCTTGGGTCAGGTGTCCATGTGTGATCCAACCAGCCATAGCCAAGTGGAGAGGGCAGGTCGTGCAGCACAAACAAGGCTGCCGGGGGCCTACCATGATCACCAAGCATGTCTGTACCTTGCCACCATAATGAAAAGCCACAGGGAATCAGGTCAAGAAGTAGTTACTTCCCGTTTTCCCCACAAAACTAAGCACTGGATAAGGGTCATGTCTGTCTTATTCAGCATCGCCTCCCCATGGTCCATCACAGAACTGGGCACATGCATGATGCTCAATGGCTCTGTTGTCCTTTTACAGACAAATGAGGCTGGACTTGCTCAGAGCATAATGATGTTTCAACAATGGACGGCACATACAACAGTGGCCCCATAATTATAATACTGCATTTTTACTGTATGTCTTCTATGTTTAGATACACAAATACCACTGTGTTACAACTGCCTACAGTATTCAGTATAGTAGCATGCTGTGCAGGTTTGCAGCCTAGGAGCAATAGGCCATACCATGTAGCCTAGATGGGTAGCAGGCGGTACCACCTAGGTTTGTGTAAGTACACTCTATGATGTTCACACAATGAAAAAATCATCTAGTGACACAGTTCTCAGAACATACCCCTATTATTAAGCAATGCATAACTGTATATAGACATATCATCACCTTCTAGGGGCCAGAGCATGCTTTCCACCCTAAAGATCAAGATTCTCCTTCAAGTCAACCTTCAACCTTTCTAATCTTTCCTAGATGAGGAAAATTATCCTCCATCATTACTTCTCTCTCCTCCCCTTTCTCTCTCTCTCTCTCTCTCTGTGTATGTGTGTGTGTGTATGTGTAGTAATAACAATGTACGGTGTATAGAGGATAAAAGGAAGCAAAAGACAGGCTGTGTGCCTTCAAAGGACTATGATATAAACTTAAGAGGCAAGACATAAACACTGGTGAAGTTAAAAGAAACAAATCTATGAGTTAAGAAATACAAAAACACACATGATACCTCTGGACAGCTATGTAGGTCATTGTCCAATAATTGGTGCTAGCAGTGTGTGCTTTGAGGTGGCAGAACAAAGAATCTACTTCAGTCTAGAAGGGTCTAGGGAAGAAAAAGTAGATAGATACAGCTAAGGGAGGGAGGAGAGATGGCACTCTGGAGAGGGTAGTGATGATTCAAGCCAATTCACGGAAATCAGGAATAGTCATAGGAACTGAAGTTCCCCTAGGACTAAATTATGGGGTGACTGAACACCAATGCAAACTTCTAGATGGAATTATTAAAATAATTGTGAGCACTAGAAAGGAAAGAGAAAAATACCGGGAGCCTGCACCAGTCCTGCCAGGTTCTGCCCGCATGGTGCCAGGCTGCCCTTATTTCCTCCTGCAACAGGGGGGCCAGCAGGGGCCGATGGGTTTTTAAAGGTAGTGGACACTGCATTAGTTTCCTAGGGCTGCAGTAACAAAGTACCATAAATTTCCTAGCTTAAAACAACAGAAATTGTTTCTCTCATCATTCTGCAGTCTAGAAGTCTAAAATCAAAGTATCATGAGGGCCACGTTCCCTCTGGAGGATCTAGGGGAGGATTTTCCTTGCCTTTTCCTAGGTTCTCACAGCTGCTGTCAATCCCTGGAGTTCCTCGGCCTGGACGGGCATCACTCCAATCTGGCTCAATTGTCACACAGTATTCTGCATGTCTCAATCTGTGTCCAGATTTTCTTTTTATAAGGATACCAATCACTGGATTGGGACTAACCCTAATCCAGTATGAACTCATCCCAACTTGATTACATTTGCAAAGACTCTATTTCCAAATAAGGTCACATTCTAAGGTTCCAGGTGGACATGAATTTTGGAGAGACATTATTCAACCCAATGTAGACACTGAGTATCTGTCACCCCTATGTGCTGGCCTTAGAAGCTACCTGCCATGTAAGATCCCGTTCTACCATCCTGCACTGGCAGTGACTTGATGCACAGCTATCACAGAGGTCACCAATGGAGGAGTCCCTGTGCTGGGACAAGACGGAACTAGATGACTTCTAAAATTCCTTCTGATTTGCACATGTGTGGTTCAAGTCCTGCCGATTGTTCCCATTCTACTGATTTGCCAATGCAGCCCTCTCTTTTCATTCTCACCGCCAAGACTCGGGTTCAGCCCTTGTTGCTTCCAACTTGACACAGACACACTGCTTTCACATCACTCCTCCTGACAAACCCTCACCAGCTCACCCCTGCCTGAAAGCAAAGTTCTGTATTTTGACCTCAACATCTACCTTTACCACCTGAACTCCTAAGATGACACTAATTTTCAGGCCAGTCTGGTCCTTCAAGTGGCACAATCTCACCATCACACATAACTTCATACTGGCTGCAGAAGGGAATCCAAACTGTGTTTGGAAGACCATTTACTCCCCTTCCATGCACCCTCCCTGGACCAGCCAGTCCAGCCCACAGCACTTCTGCGTTTCAACGATTCTTCCTGCTTGCAGAAGCACTGGACCCTAATCTCATTGCCCTGCACTATAAATGATCCATTCATGGAGATGGGGCTGCAGCAACACTTAGGCAAAGACAACACAAGAGCTGTAAAATCAGACAGATTTGAATTTGCTTCACGGCTCTAATATGTAATGTTTAAGAACTGAACAACAGGAGTTTGAGGCTGCAGTGAGTGCTGATCATGCCACTGCACTCCAGCCTGGATGACAAAGTGAGACCCTGTCTCCAAAAAAAGAAAAAAGAGCTGGGCAAATTCCTTACCCTTTCTAAACCTCTGATTGCTTATCTGTAAAATGGAAATAATAGTACCTACCCCATGGGGCTACAGTCAGGGTTAAGAGAAATAATGTATGCAGACTTTCAATGCAACATCTGACATAAAGCATACTTGTAAATTATGTGTCAACAAACATACTTATTTTTATTATGGTAAATGGATCTAAGTTTTGCCTTTAGGTCTGGGAATCAAGGCACAGATCCTGTGTTCCTCTGGCACCTAGCAGCACACTGCCAATGACTACTCAGAGTGACAGACATCAGTTCAGACGGGAACCCCAGAGAGCATTTAGCTACCATCCTTCTTCTTCTGCTTTTTTTTTCTTTTTTAGTGTGAACAGCCAATTTTGCTTAAAATTCTGGGACACAGAGCAAGTTTATATCACAGAAAAGCAAATGGATTAAAAGAATATCAGAAATTATTTTATTTTCTTTTATTCTGAGACAGAGTCTTGCTCCGTCACCCAGGCTGGAGTGCAGTGGCACAATCACAGCTCACTGCAGCCTCAACCACCTGGGCTCAAGTGATCCTCCCGCCTCAGGCTCCCTACACCCTGAGTAGCTGGGACTACAGGCATGTACCACCATGCCTGGCTGGTTTTTCTTTTCTTTTCTTTTTTTTTTTTTTGGTGTGTAGAGACAAGGTCTTGCTATGTTACTAAGGCTAGAGATCCTTTTAAAATGTCTTTCTGCTAAGTTGTTGGGCCATCACCTCTCCTTTGTTTCCTTCTCCTCTCCCAGCTTCTCTGGATTCCATCTGTTTCTTATACTGAGAAGTTTGCTACCTAGCTAGCCCTCAACCTCTTTGTTTTATGAATGGAAAGGCTGGGACCCAGACAGGGCAAGTGACTCACCCAGTGTCACAGAGCTGTTAAATGGCAGAGCCATGATTGAATCGGGCCATGACTACTTTCCTACATGACATATTGAAACCAGTTTGAGCCTCGGTTTCCTCTCTGGCAAAACAGAGATACTAATGCCCACCTCCCCAGTTTGCTTTGAAAATACAGAATCAAGGGCCAGGCCAGTGATGGAAAAGACCAGGTGTGAGATGAGACATGGTCACCACCACAGCCTGCAGTAACTGGGCCAGGTGGGGCTAGGCAGATCAGGGAGCACAGGCCCTGGGAGCAGCCACCCCTCAGCTTGGCTGATGCTGCCCTGATGGAATCATCCTGCAGTGCCAGATCTTCTGACTCTTCAAGAGAAGCCCAAAATTTGAATTTTGGTGCCACATCTCTCTATTTAAGTAGATTCAAATTTAAAACACCACAAGCTAAACAAGCAACATGCAGGCTGATTTCAGCCAGGAGCCACCACGTTTGTGACTTTGTATCCAACCACAGATGTGAAGCCATTTGCAAACTGCCAAGTAGCAGACTAATGGGAAGAAAAGGCTGACCCACAGTGACTGGAATGATCTATCTACCCAGGAAGCTTCTGCAAATTCTCCCGGGAGCAGTGCTCCCACCTGAGTGACTTCACCAAGCCCCACAGTGCCTTACCTCCTGCCAGGAAGGCCACAACCACAGCTGATCTCATCCTGCTGCCAGCCCAGTGGCAGCAGCTTGGATGCCTGGCTGTCAGCTGAGAAATTTGCCCATGCCCTATAGGGAAACCACCTCCCCACCTGGAGTCTCATTAAACTGGATGAGTTGCCTCCAGGAACATGCTGAGCCTCAGTCTCACCCTGGAAGGCACTGCAGGGCTGGGCTGGCTCAGACTGACCTCAGAGTTTGGATCCCAGCCTCTCTTGAGCTAAGGCAGGCCCAGGTGGGGTGAGCAGGCTGGCTGGGGTGAGCCAGCTAGGACAGGAGGCCTAGCGACAGGGCTAGACTGTTACAAAAGAAGATGGAAAAGAGCCTCTCCAGCCACTCCTTAAAGGTACTCTCTTAGGTCTGGGCAGGTAGAAGCCACAGGAACGGACCAGCCAATTCTGCACTCCTCACCTCCTCTTCTTCCCCAGTGTGCTTTTGGGGAGGCAGTTTTTTCTTTTTTTTTTGAAACAGGATCTTGCTCTGTTGCCCAGGCCGGAGTGCAGTGGCGCGATCTTGGCTCAGGAGGCTGAGGTGGGAGGATTGATTGAGCCCAACAAGCAGATGCTCAATCAATCTTCCCACCTCAGCCTGCTGAGTAGCTGGGACTACAGGCATGCGCCACCATACCCAGCTAATTTTTCTATTTTTTCTAGAGATGAGGTCTCACTGTGTTGCCCAGCCTGGTCTCAAACTCCTGAACTCAAGCTATCCACTCACCTCCGTCTCCCGAAGTGCTAGGATTATAGGCATGAGCCACTGTGCCCGACCTGGAGGCAGTTCTTAAGGCTCTGGCCTCTTTCCTCCTTGGTCTCCTGTCCTCATGAGCTCTTCACCATAAACATCAAAGACCCTGCAGGGCCCTTGAGACCCTGGAGGGTCTAAGAGGGTGTATCTAGCTCAGAGTAGCCGGGACTCTTAGAGACGTAGAAGATGGGATGGTATGAACAATCAGGGAAGCTGCCTGCCAGGAGGGTGAGCCCCTCCCTGCTCCAAGGACCCTGGGAAGCACAGTCCCGTAGCCAAGGTCACTCAGCTCAGCAAGGGCTGAGTGACACCCCCAAGTCACATCCAGTCCGGGGCCAGATAGTGTTGCTGGCACTATGGTGCTCTCGTTTGTCTGGCTCCAGCCCCTGGCTTGCTGGGTAACCTGCACAGCCTGCCTAGCTCCAGCTTACAATTTTATCATCTGGGGAAGAGACAAGTAATGTCCACCTGTACGACTGCTGCATTAATTAAATTATTAGAGCCTTACATGAGAAATGCTGTGAGGCAAAACTCCAGTTGTTTCCCTCAGTGGTGACCCACATCTGGCTCACAGTGCCAGCTCACTCAAGACCAGATGATAGAGTGCACCTGCTGAGTGAATAAAGAACGGCATGGCACAACAGCTGCTGCACAGGGGGTACTCAGTAAAGTGTTTTATACCCTCATGGATACCAAAACTCTTTGGTGGATGTTGGTGGTTTTGGATAGCCCACAGGTCCAGTTGGCTTTAGTATTGGTAAGAGGACCCAGATGCTCTCTGGGTCACCATCCCAGTGCCATGTGCTTGGACAACTGATCTTATTCCCAGATCCAGGGTGGGTCCTGGCTGGTTTCAGTCAAACACATCCCATGCCCATGCCATAGGGAGTGGCTCAATGACAAGTATGTGACCAAAATCAGGAGAGCTAAAGGCTTGCTAGGGACTTCAGAGGAAAAGCTTCCTTGTCTCCCATAGGAGATGCTCTCTCTCTGGGAGAGATGCCTTCTTTCTGCTGGACACACAAGAGGGCTTCAAGGCTCCTAGAAGCCGCCAGCAGCCAGGGGAGCCAGGCTTAATCTGAAACAGGCACCAACCAAAGAGTACAGACGAGACACCAGAAAACCTGATGCTCTGGTGACAATCTTGAGCTGCCAGATCAAGCCTCACTTGAAATCAGCACCATTCTAGACTTTTAAGATGTGTGAGCCAGCCTCAGTTGTATTACTTTTTCTAAAACCAAAAGAATTTTAACTGATATACCTGCAAACCTAAAAAATAATCTAAAGGGGCCAGGTGCGGTGGTTCACGCCTGTAATCCTAGCACTTTGGGAGGCTGAGGCAGACGGATCACCTGAGGTCAGAAGTTCAAGACCAGCCTAGCCAACATGATGAAACCTCATCTCTACTAAAAATACAAAACAAAAAAAAATTAGCCGGGTGTGGTGGTGGGTGCCTGTAATATCAGCTATTTGGGAGGCTGAGGTAGGAGAATCACTTGAACCTGGCAGGCAGAGGTTGCAGTGAGCCGAGATCGTGCCATTGCACTCCAGCCCAGGCAACAAGAACGAAACTCTGTCTCAAAAAAAAAAAAAAAAAAAAATCAAAAGGGCCAGGCGTGGTGGCTCATGCCTGTAATCCCAGCACTTTGGGAGGCCGAGGTGGGCAGATCACCTGAGGTCAGGAGTTCGAGACCAGCCTGGCCAACATGGTGAAACCCTATCTCTACTAAAAATATAAAAACTAGCTGGGCGTGGTGGTGCATGCCTGTAATTCCAGTTACTCAGGAGGCTGAAGCAGGAGAATCACTTGAACCCAGGAGGCAGAGGTTGCAGTGGGCCGAGATCGTGCCATCGCACTCCAGCCTGGGGGACAAGAGTGAAACTCCATCTCAAAAAAATAATAATAATAATCAAAAGGAGACCATGGTTTCGGGCAGTATCAGACAAGATACCCTGACTTACTGTCCCACTGAAAACAGTAAAAAATTCTGGATTCAAAGAAATTGTAAATCTTTTACCAAGTGGTTGAGTTTGCCATCACCAATTGTGAGACAGTCTGACACTCTGACCTCCTGACAGGAGGCGGTCGAGGGTGCACCTCCTCATCAATGTGGTGGTGTTGCCACAATTGTCAGACCTGGGTCTAATCATTAGGATGAGTCCGACACATGCAGAACACTCTCCACACAGCCGACCCGGACTCTTCAATAAATCGGGGCAACTGTTCTAGGTTGGTCAAAAGACATAACAGCCAAATTCAGTGTGTGAACTCTAATTGCATCCAAATAGAAACAGGAAAAAAAAACACCAATAAAGGATTTTTTTTGACAAATTTGGGTTAATCTGAGTATGGACCTCATGCTGGATAAAGGTGTGGAATTAGAGTTGAATTTCTTAGGGTGGTAATGGTTTTTTACTGTACAGAACAGTGAGTGATTCTCTGTATCATCTACAGACTCCTAGGGGATCTCAAGAACCTTTCAGGGGATCCCTAAAACCCCTTCAGAGGGTCCATGAGGTCAAAACAATTTCAACAATATTACCAAGACATTTGCCTTTTCGCTGTGTTGAATTTGCACTGATGGTGCAAAACCAATGAAAGGTAAAACTGCCGCTAGTACTTTGCATGAATCATGGCAGTAGCACCAAACTCCACCTGTCACCACTGTGTTCTTCACCACAATACAATAGGGAAAACAAAATCCTGTTCCATTTAAGAATGTCATAGATGATATAGTAAAAATCATCACTTTCATTAAATCCAGACCCTTGAGTATGGATGTTCTTATCATTCTGTGATGAAATAAGTAGCACTCATACAGTGTTTCTGCTGCATACTAAAGTATAATGATTGTCTAGAGGAAAAGCACTTGTGTCACTGAGTTGTGTGCTGAATTATCCGCTTTTTTTCATGGAACACCAGTTACTTGAATGACTGATGAACTCCGGTTATTCAGACCTGGGTATCTTGTAATCCTTTTCTAGAAAAATGATTGATCTCATCAGAAAAAACAAATAGTATTTGTTACCAATGATGAGATTTGATATTTTAAGCAAAAATTAGAATTTTGGACATTTTTATCCTACCATTAACTTAACAGTATCCCAATACTTGAAGGCGTTTCTGATGAAATCAACAGTGATATTAATGCATATGGATTTTGGATATTATACAATAAAATGTGTCAACATTTGAAGATCTGCATCTATTTGGTGAACCAAGTTTCCAAATGACCAATGCATAATGTTAAAAATCATACAGAAAAGATCCACTCAAACTGTAAGACAGACCAACCACCACTAATAAGGTTTCAGATTCCACATTGAAATTAACCTTGATACAAAAAAGACTTACAAAAATGTACAGTACTCTCTTCTTGACATTATTTTGCTTTTTTTCTGGAAAAAGTAGTTTTCTTTTCTTTTCTTTTCTTTTTTTTTTTTTTTTGAGATAGAGTCTTGCTCTGTCACCCAGGCTGGAGTGCAGTGGTATGATCTCGGCCCACTGCAACCTCCGCCTCCCGGGTTCAAGCAATTCTCTGCCTCAGCCTCCCGAGTAGCTGGGACTACAGGTCCATGCCACCAATCCCGGCTAATTTTTGTATTTTTAGTAGAGACGGGGTTTCACCATGTTAGCCAGGCTGGTCTCGATCTCCTGACCTCAGGTGATCCACTTGCCTTGGCGTTCCAAAGTGCTGGGATTACAGGCGTGAGCCACTGCACCCGGCCGAGACCAACAAGTTTGAGAACCACTGGTATAGGAGAGTAATCTTGTCCTTGAGCGCCATACTTTAGTATTTGGGGTGAGGTAGCATGATGTCTGCAGCCTCCTTTCAGATGGTTAGACAAGAGGGAAATGTTTGTATTTATATAAAAAAAGATGGAGCGGATGTGCCAAGGTAAGAATAATGGAAGTATTTTTCGTACTGTTCTTTCAACTTTTATACAGGTTTCCAAACAAAATCAAAAGTGTAATCAATATAAATAATATTTGTAAACATTGATATTCGATATCAGTGTAAAATGCTTTAGAGGCCAAAAGCAAAGTAAAAGCGGAGCCCCAGAAAGGTAAATTAAGGGCGCTTGCTAACTGAAGCACTGAATTTCACATTACAGGGCTTGACAGAGTGTCACGCACAGGAGACATAGTTGAGGGCAATGCTTCTTAAACTTCAGCCTGCATAAGATAGCCTGGAGAGTGTATTAACACACAGATTCCTGGGCCCTAACCTCAGGTATTCTCATTCAGTAGGTCTGGAGGGGGCGAGGCTGAGAATTTACAGTTCTATTAAACTCCTAGGTGAGGTAATGGGATGGTCCCCAGACCACATTTTGAGTAAAACTGACCCAGGGCATCCTTCTATAAAGCTTGGACCATGGTATGCATTAAATTGTTGCTCAAAAAGATATGTTGAAGTCCTAAACCCCAATAACTGTGAATGTGATCTTACTTAAAAATAGGGTCTTGGCGGGGCAGAGTGGCTCACTCACGCCTGTACCCCCAGCACTTGAGGCCAGGAATTCGAGACCAGCCTGGCCAACATGGCAAAACCCCGTCTCTACTAAAAATACAAAAATTAGCTGGGCATGGTGGTGTGCACCTCTGGTTTCAGCTACTTGGGAGGCTGAGGCATGAGAATCACTTGAACCTAGGAGGCAATGGTTGCAGTGAGCCAAGGTTCTGCCACTGCACTCCAGCCTGGGCGACAGAGTGAGACTCTGCCAAAGAAGAAAAGAACGAAAAAAAAAGAAGAAAAGAAAAAGAAAAGGGTCTTTGCAGATATAACCAAGCTAAGGTGAGGTCATTAGGTTAGGGTGGCCCCTAATCCAATATGACTAGTGTCCTTATAAAAGAGGAAAAAAGACAGACACAGGAGAACAGCATGTGACAATGGAGGCAGAGATTAAAGTGACGCATTTACAAGCCAAAGAAGGGCGAGGCTTGCTGACAACCTCCAGAAGATAAGAGAAAGGCAGGGAACAGATTCTTCTCTACAGCTTTCAGAGAAAGCATAGTACACCCTGATTTCAGACTTCTAGTCTGCAGAACTGTGAGAGAATAAATTTTTGTCAGTTTAAGCCACTCAGTTTGTGGCACTGTGTGCCAGCAGCACTAGGAAACTAATTCAGACCCCAAAGCACTACAACATCAGTAAAAGGGTGAAGAGAGAGAAGCCTGCTGCAATCACTAAAGGTTAAAGTAAAAACACCCATTCTCTAGTCATAGCAGCAGGTGAAGAGGAAACCGTATTTCCCCTGAAAACTTGTAACCACTAACCTCATCCTCACATAAGTTTGCAGCCCAAATTTACACTACCAACGTGGTCAAAATTTTAAAATCTCAAGAAATTACTTTTCAGTAGTCCAATATTGGTAGTGTCCCTAGACACCTAACCGAAGCAAATGCAAATCTTCCCTGGAGGAATTCACCTTTGACCCAGGCCTAAAGAACTCCTACAGATGAAATTCCAAGGAATACAAGCTCACAGTGAAAGAAAAGAAAAAATTACAAGACACATAACGCACCTTGATTGGGAGCCACCAGAAAAAAAGAGATCTAAATTGCCCCTGAAAAATAGTTTAGATGCTAGAATTATCAGACTCCGAACATAACATAAATATGTTTAATATGTTTAAAGGAATAAAAAGGAATTTAAAATATGTAGAAGGAACAGACATCATAAAATATGGCCAGTTTTGAAACAGAACTAAATAGAATTTCTAGAATCTAATAATTAAAAAATTGTAAATCAACGGATATGTTTAGCAGCTGATTAGACATGGCTGAGGAGACAGATGTGCACACAATTATTCATAATGCAGCAGTGACAGAAAAATAAATCAGAAATAAGAAATGAAGAGACTTTTTGAGAAAGTTTCACTCTTGTTGCCCAGGCTGGAGTGCAATGGCACGATCTCGGCTCACGGCAACCTCCGCCTCCTGGGTTCAAGCGATTCTCCTGCCTCAGCCTCCTGAGTAGCTGGGATTACAGGTGCCCGCCACCAAGTCTGGCTAATTTTTCTATTTTGTAGAGATGGGGTTTTGCCATGTTGACCAGGCTGGTCTTGAACTCCTGACCTCAGGTGATCTGCCCACCTTGGCCTCCCAAAGAAGTGCTGGGATTACAGGTGTGAGACACCGCACCCGGCCAAAATGAAGAGACTTGAAAGACAGAGTAGGAACATCTAACACATGTCTAATGAGAGTGCTAGAAGAAGAGGGGAGAAGGAATAGGGTGCAGAAGCAATATTGTTAACTAAATAAATTTGAAAAATTACAGAAATGAATTAAGTCCTAAAATAATATTGATCTGAAAAGATCAAATAAACCTATAACTATTAAATACATTGAATCAGTAGTTTAAAATCTTCCTGTTGAAAAAGCCCCTGGCTCTGAGCAGTTTACTGGCAAATTCTACTAACCATTTAAGAAAGACATCCAATATTACACACACTATCTCAGAGTACAGAAAAAGATGAGACACCCCCAGCTTAGTTTATGAGGCTAGCACAATCTTGATACCAAAACCATACAAAAATAACATAGCCAATACCACTCACAAACATAGCTTAAAAAAAATCCTAAATATTAGCAAATCGCCTCCAGGATCATTTTAACTAGAAAAAAGAAAAAACAACTTCATGACCAAATTGGGTTTATCCAGGAAGGCAAGTTTGGTTTAATGGTAAAATTAATTAATGCAATTTACCACTTAGACTAAAGACCAAAAAGAAATCACATTGTCTCAATGAAAGTGTTAGATAAAATATAATATCATTCATTATGAAAACTCTTAGCAAACTATCACTTGAGAGTGACAAAATATATTTCTGAAAACCCTACAGCAAGCATGATACTTTATGGGAAAATGTTGAAGCATCCCTTTTTAAGTCAGGAACAAGACAAGAGTGTCTGCCTCACCAATTTTAGTCATCATGCACTGGGAATCCTAACCAGGGTAAAATGGGGAAATAAAAAAGAATAATGACCAGAAAGGCACAACGCCACACTGTTCTCAAATGACATGACTATTTATCTGGAAAACCAAAAAGAATCTACAGGTAAGCAAGGTTGTATTCTTCCAACAGTTGGAAGATGAAATTTTATTAAGATACTAAATACACTGGCATCAACAAATATCAAATACCTGGGAATAAATCTAACAAATGATGTGTATGACATTTATAGCAAAATTATAAAATTTTATTGAAAGTCATTAAAGAAGACCCAAATAAATAAAGGTAGATACCATATACATGGAGTGCAACAAACATATTAAGAACATCAATATCAGCCAGGCATGGTGGCTCATGTTGGTAACCCCAGCACTTTGGGAGGCCGAGGTGGGGGGATTGCTTGAGGCCAGGAGTTCAAGACCAGCCTGGGCAAAAGAGATAGAACCTATCTCTAAAAATAAAAGATTGTTTTTTTGACAGAGTCTTGCTCTGTCACCCAGGCTGGAATGCAGTGGCACCATCACAGCTCACTGCAGCCTTGACTTCCTGAGTTTAAGCATCTTTCAACCTCAGCCTCCTGAGTAGCTGGGACCACAGCTACTCTTGACCTCCTGGGTGCAAGAGATTCTCCTGCCCTGGCTCAGCCTCCCAAGTAACTGGGACCACAGGTGTGTGCCACCATGCCTGGCTAATTTTTGTATTTATTTTGGTAGAGACAGGTTTTCAGCATGTTGTCCAGGCTGGTCTCAAACTTCTGGGCTCAAGGAATCCACCTGCCTCAGCCTCCCGAAGTGCTAGGATTACAGGCATTAGTCACTGCACCTGGCCCCCAATTTTTTTTTTAATTATCTGGGCGTGGTGGTGCACACCTATAGTCCTAACTACTCGAGAGGCTGAGACCAGAAGGATCCCTTAAGCTCAGGAGTCTGAGGCTGCAGTACACTTCCCCACTGCACTTCAGCCTGGGCAACAGAGTGAGATGTTGTCTCTAAAAAAATAAAAGGCCTCACACCTGGGAGGCCAGGCAGAGGTGGGAGAATTGCTTAAGGTCAGGAGTTCAAGACTAGCATGGGCAAAATAGTGAGAACACAGTGAGACAATGTCTCTACACAAAATTCAAAAATTAGCCAAGCACAGTGGCGTACACCTGTGGTCCCAGCTACTTGGGAGGCTGAGCCAGGGCAGGAGAACCTCTTGCACCCAGGAGGTCAAGACTGCAGTGTGCCATGATTGTGCCACTGCACTCCAGCCTTGGCAACAGAGCCAGACTCTGTCTCCAAAAATTAAAAATAAATAAAGAACATCAATATTCTATTGTTTCGTACATTAAATGCTAGTCCAATAAAAATGACAACAGATTTGTGTGTTTGTGTATGTGCTGTAACACATAACTCTAAGCTAATTCTAAACATGTATTATGGGAGAAGAAAGCACTAAGGCAGGGCCCCCAACCCCTGGGCTGCAGACAAGGACGGAGACTGGTCTGTGGTCTGTTAGGAACCTGGCTGCACAGCAGGAGGTGAGCAGCAGCATTACCACCTGAACTCCGCCTCCTGTCAGATCAGCAGCGGCATTAGATTCTCATGGGAGCACGAATCCTATTGTGAATTGCGCATGTGAGAGACTTAGGTTGCACAGCTCCTTATGAGAATTTAACGAATGCCTGATGATCTGAGGTGGAACAGTTTCATCCTAAAACTGCCCCCCAACCCCCATCCATGGAAAAACTGTCTTCTATGAAACTAGTCCTTGGTGCCAAAAAGGCTGGGGACCACTGCACTAAGGCACTCTTTAAGGAGAACAAGGTGGGGAACTTGCCACGCCAGACATCAAGACTTTTCATAAAGTTCTGGTACTAACACAGCGTGGCACTGTGGCAGGCAGACGAACTATTCAATGGTACAGAATGAAGGGCCCAGAAACAGGCCTGCACATTATAGAAACTCACTTTATGACAGGGCAGGGCACTGCAGGTCTGAAGAGAAAGCATAAACTTTTGAATAAATAGAGCCAGGAAAACTGGCTTTTCATGTGAAGAAAAAAGAAAAAAAGAAAAAAAATTAGACTGCTGCTTCACATCATATATAAAAATCAACTCAAGGTAGAGTAAGAAATTAAATGTGAACAGAAAAACTAGAAAACTGCTAGGAGCAATATGGAA
This sequence comes from Homo sapiens, assembly GCF_000001405.40. NCBI lineage: Eukaryota > Metazoa > Chordata > Mammalia > Primates > Hominidae > Homo > Homo sapiens. The sequence continues at coordinate 86,324,087 of NC_000002.12, forward strand.
GAATAATTTCACAATTTTATTTTCCTAGGACACAAAAAGCAAAAACTATAAACGAAAAAAAAAATGCTGTCTATTGCATTAATATTAAGAACTTCTGATTATCAATGTAGACTATAAAAAATGATAAAATAAATCACAGACTGGGAGAAGACATTTGTAACACATAAATGACAGAAGTTTAGCATCCAGAAGAGTTAAAGAACTCCTACAAATCAATAAGATAAGGACAAGAGAAAAACTGGCAAGACTTGAGCAGGCGCTTCACAGAAGAGAGAACATGAATGGCCAATAAACATATGAAAAGATGCTCAGTCTCATGAGTGTTCAGAAAATGCAAATTAAATCCATAAAGAGATTACACTTGGTACCCATCAGAATGGCAAAAATTCTAAGTGTGAGAGTATCAAGTGATGGTAAAGACACTGTGCAAATGGAATCGCACCCACTGCTGAAAGAAAACGGGTTTGGAGAACAGTTTATGAAGAACAAATGGTGGAGCACTTGCCAAGCCGGACATCAAGAATTTTCATCACGCCACGTAATTACAACAGTGTGGTGTTGGTGCAGGGTCAGTCAAAGTGATCAATGACACAGGATAAAAAGCCCCAGGATAGGCCCCCTTTTCTATGGAAACTTAATTTATGTTATCAAGTAGAAGATGCAACTGTCCTCTGCCTCAGCCAGACTAACCCTAACAAAACCTGTGCAAAGGTATACCAGGAAACACACAAGAATGCTCACTGCAGCGCTCTTTCTGAGAGAGTGCAAAAGAAAAATCTAGAACAACCTAAACATTCATCAACAGTTTGCTTGATAAGTACATTATGGTATATTCATACAATAAAGGTAGTGTTCTAGTTCTTAAACTGGCGATGAGTAAATGAGGGTTCACTGTACTATTATCCATTATCCCCTCACCACCATTTCTTTATAAATAGTCTTTTCTATTGCCTCATTAATTACTTTTTGCAAATCAAGGAGAGCCCAAAAACGGAGACAAAATAAGATGTTAGAAGCCAGGTGCAGTGGCTCACACCTATAATCCCAGCAACTTGGGAGGCTGAGGTAAGAGGATTGCTGGAAGACAGGAATTCAAGGCTGAAGTGAGCTGTGATCTCACCACTGTACTCCAATCTGGGCAATAGAGTGAGATCCTGTCTTTTAAAAAAAATTTTAAAAAAGATAAAGACGTTAGAACATCAAAGTGTTCCCTTGTGTGTTTCCCCTTTCTTTAGGTTGTTCTTAGATGAACTCCCCTCAGCCTGGAGGCAGTAAGGCCTGTGATCTTGGGTGTGGTCAGCTGAGTAATGGCCTGCAAAGATATCCAGGTCCTAATTCCTAAAACCCGTGAATGTTACCTTATAAGGTAAAAGGGACTTTGCAGGTAGAATTAAATTAAGGATTTTGAGATGGGGAGATTATCCTGGATTATTCAAGTGGGCCCTATTTGATTTGTGATTAAATGTGATTAAATGTAATCACAAGTGTCCTAAGAGGAAGATGTAAGGGCAGAACAGAAGACAGTGTGATCACAGAAGCAGAGACTACAGTAATGCAGCCACGAGGAATGCCGGCAGCCACCAGAAGCTGGAAGAAGCAAGGAATGGAGTGTCCCCTGGAACTTCCACAAGGAACCAGCCTTGCCAACATCTTGATTTTAGCCCCAAAAGAGTCATTTCAGACTTCTGACTTCCAGAACTGCAAGAGAAGAAACCTCTGTTGTTTTAAACCACTAAATTCATGGTTACCTGTTACAGCAGCAATCATAGACTAAAACAGTGGGAAAGGATGCTTGACTTCACCCACCTCTTCGTCTCAGATTGTTTCCCACTTAGCACACCCTGTCCTCTGCCTTCTCTTCTCTCCAACATTGGATGCTACAGTGTCCCCCCGGTAGGAAGACAAAGCAGTGGTTTAATTCCTTCATATGTGAGATGTACCACTTCCCCTGCTGAAAGGACTTATCCCTACAATTTCCAACCAAAGCCAGACAAGTCATTCACACACACCCACAAAATATCCACCCAATGGAAACAGCACTGGGCAGGCAGAGGGACACTTGAATTCAAGTCCCAGTTTCCCAGTGACTGGTTATGTGACCTCATAAACTTCTCAAAGATGGAATCAGAACTTATTCATCTTTATATCCCTGGTGGCTGGCATGCATCAAATGGTCAAAAAAATGAGCAGTACATCAATGAATAAATTGACCAAGCTATGAATCAATCAATCAGTCTTGAGCAAGGACAGAAGTCCAATCACTGAAAAAGGAAATATTTTTAGTGGTTCTTCTCTCTCTCTTCCTTAACCAGTATAAGGAAAAAGATTAAAATCATAAAGTTTTGGTCAGGCATGGTGGCTCACGCCTGTAATCCCAGCACTTTGGGGTGCCAAGGCGGGCAGATCACCTGATGTCAGGAGTTCAAGACCAGCCTGACCAAAATGGTGAAACCCCGTCTCTACTAAAAATACAAAATTAGCCAGGCATGGTGGTGCATGCCTGTAATCCCAGCTACTTAGGAGGCTGAGGGAGGAGAATCGCCTGAACCCGGGAGGCGGAGGTTGCAGTGAGCCAAGATCATGCCATTGCACTCCAGCCTGGGCGACAAGAGTAAAACTCCATCTCAAAAAAAAAATAAAAAATAAAAAATCATAAAGTTTTAGGGTTGGACAGTTTTAGGGTTGGAAGCCAGGAGCTCCCTGCCTCACAAGGCAGCCCAGTGCTGTCAGTGCCAACTACTGGAAACCTTTTCCTTCCAGCAAGCCAAAGATTTATCTTCTAGCCACCCACAGGTTCTAGTCCAATTCTCTACCCATATAAAACAAGCTTACTCTCTTTCCCACATTAAAACATTTTCAGAACATGGACACCTGGCCTTAACTCTTGGCCTAGCCAATCGGGCTAGTGATTTTGACAGATCACCTATCTCTGTGGGTCCCCATCTTCCTTGTCTGTCGAACAAGGGCATGACATCACCAAGACTCCTTCTAGCTCTAAGATGCAGTGTGAAAAACACTACCTTCTTGGCATTCAATCCTTCACTGTTTTAACCTAGTCATTGGATTTTTAATGTCAACACTTTATTTTTTACTTCCAGAAGTGCTTCTTTTCCACATGGGCTTATTTCCCTCCCCCAGGATATGCTGTTTTCTTATATTTTCACTTCTTTGCTTTATTTGTTTTTTCATTTTAAAAAAGACTTATTCTAAGGTCTCTAACTGGTAGCTCTATTATAGAAATAATATATATTATTAATATATGTATGTGCAAAGGGTGCTGGATGGGACAAGCTTGCCACCTTCTAAGAATAGTGAGGAGGCTGCAGCTGAGTGAGAGAGGGGAGGCCACTGCAAGGTAAGGTCAGAGCGTGGGCAGGAGCCAGACCTTGGTGAGTGTTGTTGACAATGGTAAGGACTTTGAGTTTTACTCTTAGTGAGATGGAGCAGTTTTTAAACAGCAGGGGAAAGATGGTCTATCTTACTTTTTTTTTTTTTTTTGGAGATGGGGCCTCGCTCTGCCGCCCAGGCTGGAGTACAGTGGCGTGATCTCGGCTCACTGCAAGCTCTGCCTCCCAGGTTCACGCCATTCTCCTGCCTCAGCCTCCTGAGTAGCTGGGACTACAGGCACCCGCCTCCACATCCGGCTAATTTTTTGTATTTTTAGTGCAGACGGGATTTCACCGTGTTAGCCAGGATGGTCTGGATCTCCTGATCTCATGATCTGCCCGCCTCGGCCTCCCAAAGTGCTGGGATTACAGGCATGAGCCACCGTGCCTGGCCCTATCTTACATTTTAATGAGATCACCGGAGGGACAGGAATAGAAGCAGAGAAAACAGTCAGGAGGGTTTTCAATGGTCCAGGAGAGCAACAGTATTTGGTTGGAGCAGGGTGGCAGTGGTGGAGGTGGGAGTCATGGGTAGACAGGCGAGTATTTTGAAGGCAGAGCTAGGAGAACTTGCTGAGAGCCTGGATTCCACAACACGCAGCCTGAAGTGTGCACAGATCCTGCTGGATCCTGCAACTCCCTCAGGAGGGGCACGTGTGGACTCGTGGTTCTCAGCTTCAGGTGCTCATGAGAAAAAGTCCTTGCATGTTCTTGGAAATCCAACGTGAATCTCCAGCATCAGCTGGCCAGGCTCACTAGCCTCTTTCTCAAGGTGGGTTGTATTCCCTCTCCTCTGAGCAGCGTGACCCACTCAGCCCAATATTCTGTCTCACAGGCATAGCTTTGGCAGTCTAAGCCCTAGTTGTGACAAGACTAAATTTTACACTGATCACAATTAGGCAGCCAATCTGTGAAAGTAAGAAAGGAGGCCAGGCCCAGTGGCTCATGCCTGTAATTCCAGCACTTTGGGAGGCCAAGGTGAGGAATCACGAGGTCAGGAGATCGAGACCATCCTGGCCAACATGGTGAAACCCCGTCTCTACTAAAATACAAAAAATTAGCTGGGCGTGGTGGCGGGCACCTGTAGTCCCGGCTACTCGGGAGGCTGAGGCAGGGGAATTGCTTGAACCCAGGAGGTGGAGACTGCAGTGAGCCAAGATGGTGCCACTGCACTCCAGCCTGGCGACAGAGTAAGAATCCATCTTAAAAAAGAAAAAAAAGAAAGTGAGACAGGAGGGCTGCCTTGACCCCTCTGTGGGACTTGTGACAGGGGTGTGGCTTGCTTACTCGGCCTGCAGTGCTCAAACCCCTTGCAGGAGGGGAAGCATGCAGGTGAGCAGGTGCCAGGGCTGGGGTGAGCACTTTTGGGCTCTGGTCCCGTGGCAGCGTCTAGGGGTGTGTTACAATTAATGCTGTTTTAGCAGTTGCCGTCTGCAGATGGCTGTTAACCAGCTCAGTGGAGAGTCAGGGTGACAGTCTTTTATACCCTGCCCTCTTGGTACCCGGGTTCCAGGAAGAACCCGGCATCCTGGAAGAATCAGGTCACACAGACTTGAAGGATGGTGAATGCAGAGATTTTATTGAGTGATGGAGGTGGTTCTCAGTGAGATGGGGAGCTGGAAAGGGGATACAGTGGGAAGATAATCTTCCCCTGGAGTGCGGCCATCCCTGGCCAAACTCCTCTCAACGTTCAGATGCTTCTCTTCTCTCCTCTGCCATGCCACTCTGCTTCTCTGCCAGTGGAGTTTGGGGTTTTTATGGATACAGGATGCGGGGTGTGGCGAGCCAGAGTGGTTTTGGAAAAAGCAATATTTGGGCAGGAAAACAGGGATAACTGTTCTCATTTAGGGCCGCAGTTTCCAGGCTTGAGGGTGGGGCCTTTGCCAGGGAACTGCCCTCTTCTATCCAGTGTTTCCCTGCCTCCTGTCCATATCAAAAGGTTCTTGGCTGGGCACTGGGTTGACAGAGTCTAGATATGCTATTTAGAACTCATCATAAAAACTTGGGGTCAGAACCTCTCAGAACCAGAAAGCATGAATGACAGTCTAGCACAAATGGTGGCTTGCAATTGAATCCCAGGTCCAAGGTCCACAGACAATAATGAAAACCTCAGGCAAGTCCATCTCTTTTCAATTCACAGGGGACATGATGGCACCCTGTCTCCTGACTCAGCCCTTCTCAGGCTTTATGGGGATCTTGTTAAAATGCAGATTCACCAGGCCTGGGACTCTGCATTCCTAACTATTCCAGTAATGCCAATGCTGCTGGTGCACAGACCACACTCTGAGGAGTGAGGTCCTGACTCATTCACCACCCAACACGCACTCGCTGGGCACCTACTGCATATGAGAAACTATAAGGGAGACGAAGCAGATGTGGTCTGTAAGGGGATATCAACGCACAGACCACTATAGCACCAGGAACAAAGTGACAATGCCACTCTGGAGACCCAGAGGACAGAAATCTTTCTTGGTTAGGGGACCTAGGAGAGGCTTCATGGAGAAAGGTAGAGACATGTATGGAGAGTGTAGTGAAAGCCAGAGGGCACCTTCCAAGGCTTTAGCTATGGAATGGCATCGGTTCTTTGTAATTGCTAATTTCTCCTCAGACTTAAGACCTCCTTTCTTGACTCACGAACAGAATAAAGGGACTAAAAGGGAAGTGAGAAAGATATTTCTAGTGTAGAGATTGAAGGAGTATGTCAGGATTCTCCCAGTTGCACAATACCATATTATGCCAAGGACATTTCTAGGTTTGCAAAGCTGGTTAGGAGTCATTCATTCAACATATATGCTGGTCATTAGGGCTGTTCTTTAGTGAGGAGTGTAACCACTTGAATTCAGGTTTGGCCAATGACATGTGAGCAGAAATGGCATGTTATCATCTCCAGGTGCAGGTACTTATGAGCTAGTATGTGACTCTCCCTACCACAGTGAATCCTGGTGTGTGTGTGTGTGTGTGTGTGTGTGTGTGTGTGTGTGTGTGTGTGTTAAGACAGGGTCTCACTCTGTTGCTCAGGCTCAGTGCAGTGGCATGATCTCGGCTCACTGCAACCTCCAGCTCCCAGGCTCAAGTGATCCTCCCACCTCATCCTCCAAGTAGCTGGGACCACAGGTGCACACCACCATGCCCAGCTAATTTTTGTATTTTTTTTGTAGAGATGGGGTTTTGCCATGTTGCCCAGGCTGGTCTCAAATTCCTGGGCTCAAGTGATCTGTCCACCTCTGCCTCCCAAAGTGCTGGGATTACACGGTCAGCCACCGTGCCCAGCCAGAATCCTGATGTCTTATAACGATAAGACAAAGGAAATCCAGTCAGCCTGGGACTCTCAGTGAATGCGATGAGCAGAGTACCCCTGCCAACCCACAGTAACAGGCAGCAGAAAGCAAGAAATAAACCTTTGTTTTCTTGAGCCACTGGGATTTGGGAGTTGTTCCTGCAGCATACCCCAGTCCATCCGAACAACAAATATTTAATGGATTATAAGCAGCATTTAAAGTTTTCATTCTAGGATATCGGACAGTTCATGGCATCAAAAAAGCAGCTGCAGGAACTGGGGCCCGAGCAACCAGAACCAAGATTCTCTTGTGCCAGCCTCTTTCTCTCACCCAAGTCTCATCTCCATTTATTTTTGCTTTGTTGTATTCTTCACTTTTACTTATGGACTTTCTCCACGTATGCCAGGGGCTTTAGATGCCTCAGCCCTAACTTCATATCTTCCCAACTCTGGAACCCATAGGCAAGGCTATTCTCCCTCAGCTCCAAATCAAGAAACCCTGGGGAAGGATCTCAGTTTGGGTCACCTGCCCACCTCTGGACCAATGTCTGTGCCCAGGGAAATGCATATCTAGGCCTGGGTCACATGCTGACTTCTGTGGCTGAGTGAAGGGAGGCAGGATGCAGCATGCTACCAGAAGGGAATGGAAAACTAGTTTTGCAGCCCAAAGTACTATCCAGAGTCCCCTACAAAGAGGGGGAAAGGATATACACACCTAAGTATGCAGGAGAATGCCTAAGGCAGACTTTGAGCTGTGATCAGTGAAAGGAAAAAAAAAAGGTGGGGGGGCGGGGAATGTAGTATAGATACGCAGGATAGTCCTAAGAGGAAAGAGAAGCAGGGCAAGACAGCCTCTAGGCTGGACAGCTACCTAGAGTGGGAACAGGAGGCACCTTTGTCCTAGAACTGCCAGGTGACTGACAAGGCCACGGGGAGAGGGAGAGATAGGATGTCAGGAGGAGATGTTAACTCAAATAACAGATGCTCTCTGTTTACTAATCTAGTAAATCTGACAATGGGGCAGACCTTTTCTGATCAGGAATGAGCTAAGTGTGGAAGAGCAAATACTGAACCAACCCATGTGCCCCATTGCCATCTTCCCTGCATAAAGCACTCTTGGGACTCCTTCCCCACTGAGCCTAACTCAGCTTCTTGCTCCTCAAGACAGTGTCCTAGGCAGCCTCACTTGCCATCCTGGTCTGGGTACCCACGCATGCTTGAAGGCCTATACCAAATTACCTTTCAAGATTCCTTCTGAAATCCCTACTGTGTGCCCAATAGTTGGTCCTTGATCTATATTTCCTTTTTCCCTGTATTCCCAGGGAAGCCCCAGTGTGACTTAAAAATCCCAAAGTGAAAATAATGTGCTTCTGTATAAAGACAGATGAGATCTGAAAATTCAGAATAAATACTCTGAATATAATGATCCAACTTCCAGTTCCTCAAGAATCCCAATTCCCTTCCCAAGGCCCAGAATCGAGAGGAGAACATCCTTAGTGCCCAAGTGCACCCCCCTCTCCTTACTTCTTTTCGGGGGTTGGAAAAACTCCCCCAGACTAAGAATTCTGGTAACCAGCTGGGCATGTGTGTGGCTCATCCCTGGCAGTGAAATTCTAAAGGTGCCACGTGCTATGGCTGCTGCACTGCCATATCTCTCCTTTCCCTAGCCTCCCTAACTTTCCTGGAAACACACACACACACACACACACACACACACACACACACGTTCACTCACATACACTCATACGTACACAAAACAGCAGCCTCACTAAATGGCCAAAGAGGACCTGAGTCCCCCTTCCCTCATTCTCCCCAGGGCTCCTCCTCCCCCGACATAATACACCCTCCAAAAAAGATAGCGGGCTTCAGAAGGAAGTGGGGAGACTGACCCAGTAATAACTAGGTGAGACCCTCACTTGTCAGCTAACCTCAAATAAGACACAGTGGGAAGAAGTGCATGAAAGCTACTTCTCAGCAGACAGGCAGGATTAGCAAACAAAGAAACAGGGCAGCTCAACAGCGGAGAAATCTAAGCTAGTATTTTTCACTTCCTTGAGGATACTCCTCCTGTTTATAAATAAATGTGATGCATACAGGCCAGCTGGGGAAGGAAGGGACCTAGAGGAACACTGACTCTTGGAGCTCTTAGGACCTGCAAGGTGACTGTGGCCAAAAACCTGTCTCTTAGACAGGGAGCTGGCCCAGGTGGGTGGGAGTTGCCCTTAGGACTGTGATAGTGAGTCAGACCAGCACTGGGACTAGAACCCATGTCTGCTGCCTACTAGCCTAACATCTTTCCTTTCACAATTCAACCGAAACATTTACCCAGCTCCCACAGTGTACTACAGCACAGTGCCAGGAAATCAATCCTCAACCAACTGGAACCCTCCATTAACTGAATCAGTTTCCTGCATGCCACATTTTAAAAGCAGGCCCCAAAGAAAAGCTAGCTTATATTTAAGGATTTACGATATTTTCTTTTTTTTCCATTTGTTTTGCAACAGTTGGGGAACATCTTGAGGACAATCCACATTCCTCCCAGCTCCATCCATTTGCACATCCCTGACCCAGGACAGACTTCATGCTCCAAATCCCAGTCCTGGAACTTAGCCAGATCTTCAGCCATCAAACTAAGACTCTGTCTTGATCATCACACTGTATTTTCTAAAAACTAGTATTTTTTAAAATGTGCAATGTGGAAATAAAATGTTTTCTGCACAGCCATTAGTTATTCAGAAAATTCTGTGGACTTAGAACTCTCTTTCCCCCATGTAGTGAGCTGGGGTTTTAGTCTACTAATCCCATAAGGGGTGAGAAGCTCTTGATCCGTTCAGCCAACATTCTGGGCCTTGGCCAAGACAATGAGGCAATACCTGCTCCTTAGAATAATGCTTCAAAATGGCATATTCTTCCAAGAAGTCACAGAGCAACGTTGGTATCCCCCCTCCAAAAGGGTGCACAAAAACATGCTCTCCCCAGTTTGAAATTCATTCATGCCTAGGCCTTGAGTTGTATGTAAAGAAAATGAAAGGAGGCAAGCAGGCAAGTCCTAAATAAGCCCCTGTGTCCCATGAAGGTATCAACCTGGTTCTGAGTGCTATTGCACTGAGTATCTCTTCCTTAATTCTTTACAGGCTGAGCCAAGGAAGTTAGGAGAAAGAGAGCTGGCAAGAAATAAGCATCTCAAACTGGTCCTCACTCTAAGAGCCTTGCCCGTGGGCACAAGCCTGTCTTGATGCCTGCTGACCTCCGTCCCCAGGGGACAGCAGTAGCCAGCCACTCTGCTTGTCCCCAGGGCCTAGGATTTCCTTCAACACAACCAACCTTCACTCAGTGCATTCAGGTGCCAGATACTTTGTGAAAGACCCATGGCAGGGATAAAGCGGTTGTAAAGGGAAACAAGCCACAATTGCTTTCTTCAAAATGCTCACGGCCAGTAGCAGCAGAGACAACCACGAGCACTGGCTGGCTGTCCCTGGAGGCCATCAGCTTGTTGTGATACCTCTGGTCGGATGGTTGGGACCACACAAAGACAGGAAGACACTCCCTCTCTATCCTCACAACACAGTGATAGGTCTTCCTTACATGTTCTTTGATGTGACAGAGGCTTACAAAACCATGAAAAGATTACTTATACAAAACGTGACTCGCGGATAAAACCATAGGATGCTCCCATACCAGAGGTCTAGGGAGCTTGAAAGAGATGTTTTTCTCAGTGGGGAGTGAAGGTGGAAAAAGCACTGGACTGGACTAAAAATCCAGAGCCTGTTTTCTTCACCAGCTCATCTTGTGTCCCTGAGCAAGGCATATTTCCTCTGCAGTTTTACAGATGAGGGGGAGGACTAGATCAGTTGTTTTTATTAGCAGTAAAACACATATATTTTTCTGAATTGTATTTTATCTAGAACCCCAATATATAAGACAAACAAAAAGGGAACTGCTTGGGTTGAATCAGGGATGAGGAGCCCAGAGCCCATCTGCTCAGGCTGGGTGGCCCTCAGGGAACCCAGTTTGAAAACCACAGGAGTAAATTAAGTCTGAGAGCCCCTCTCATAGGGTTCCCGGGGAGGACAGAAGGAGGGACTCATCATTGATTTAGTGCTCTCCGTGGTGCTTGGCAATTTATATATCAAGTGTCATGGAAATCTTTGCAACAGCAACATGAGGTTAACTAGCTGTGGACTAGCATCTGCTCTGATCTGAGTTGTGAACTGGGATCTTCTGGCAAGAGGCAAAACTGGGATTTGAACCATGGGCGTTCTGACTCCAAACACAGTATTCCTCCCCTTGATAAGAAGTTCCTCAAGGTATGTGGAGTGTAGAATATTGGGCTGAATCAATAATATCCTTGAATTACAAATATATGTACATATATGCAATACAGGAAAATTTCTTGAAGAATATGCCCTCCATCATTATTATTAGTTATCTCTGTGTGGTGGAAATGTGGATGATTTTCAGTTTATCTTTTCTAATTTTCCTGTAATTAACAAATATTGTCTTCATGAAACAGGTATTGCTTATTAAAAATGATGTTCATAACTCATAATCAATATGCTTATGCTAGGTTTCTACAGGGAATTAGGGACTGGGGGATAAGTGGTATCCCTGACCTTTTGGACTTGATAGTGGAAGTAACAATCCCAAATCCCATCAACTCTCCTTGGGCCACATAATGCTGTTCATTTAAATTCTCTGAAGTCTCGGTTCTAGGGAGTGTGGTTGTTTTAGAAAGCAACAGCACATCCCTGAGACACCTCCCAAATATATGCCTCTCCTCTCCACCCCCATCAGTTGCTCATTGTAAAAAAGGGGGAGGAGCCGGGCGTGGTAGCTCACGCCTGTAATCCCAGAACTTTGGGAGGCCGAAGCGGGCGGATCACTAGGTCAGGAGTTCAAGACCAGGCTGGCCAACATGGTGAAACCCCGTCTCTACTAAAAATACAAAAATTAGCTGGGCGTGGTGGCAGGCGCTTGTAATCCCAGCTACTCGGGAGGCTGAGGCAGGAGAATCGCTTGAACCCAGGAGGCGGAGGCTTCAGTGAGCCGAGACTGTGCCACTGCACTCTCCAGCCTGGGCGACAGAGCGAGACTCGGTCTCAAAAAAAAAAAAAAAAAAAGGGCAGGGGTGAGGGAGGTGCTAATAAAACTAATGATAGTCACATGACCCAGTGCTAATAAAACTAATGATAGTCACATGACCCAGGATCAGATGCCCTCACTCCCAGCCCAGCAGGACCTACAGAGAGCCCACCAGCCAGGCCAGCTCAACTCTCCAGCCCCACCCTGAGGGCTTCCCAGAAGCCACTGGCAATATCGATCCCAGAGAGGAAACACCACCCTGAAGGCAAGACAGTGTTGGTCAGGCATGAGGCTGGGCAAGGCGTGTCAGCCACTTTCCTGTATTATTCATGTCGGCTCTGCCAGCAGAAATCTTCTAAATATTTAACATGCCACCTCAAGGTGCAGCGCAAACACCCCGCAGTCAGGAACAGCTGTGGAGAGGCCTTCACGGAATGACTTGGGGGCTGAGAGGCACAGACACTGGCTTTGGGAGGAAAGCCCTGAATGGTGGCGGGAGACAATGCTGAGATCCACTTCGGAAGGGAAAATCAGTAAAGAAGGGAAGGGAGATGGGTGGTGTTTCAAAACGTGGGGAGTGATGGTGCACAATCACTGGGGTCCAGAGCCCCGTGTTCTCAGACAAAGAAAAAGCCCGAGGTGCCTGCCACCCTCCTCCCCGCCTTAGACTCCCCACACCCATTTCAGCCCCTGCTAGCTACAGCAGGTGGCAAATCTGTTCTGACTCAGGCCAGGATGGTTAGGGAAGAACAGGGACTTGGAACAGCCACGTCTATCTCCAAAGGAGAATAAATCCACCGGGGAAGCTCTTCAAACGCCTACAGGTCCTGGGGCTTGAAGGAGAAAATCGGCCCCCACGCCCACCCCCAATGACTTCACACAGACCTCACCCTAGATGACTCTGCGCTCTCCTGCAAGGCCTGGGAGGTGTCATCGCCACCATGCGGGTGGCTGTCACTTGAAAATTTCCCGTGCATTCCTGGAGGTACCTGCCCCTGTCTCTCAATCCCCTGCAAAAGGAGTCGGAGCCGGGGGCTCCAGGCGTTTACTCCAAGATTCACATGCGTCTTCCCATGTCCCAGCTGCCTTTGCCGCTGTCGATGCAGACACCTAAAAAGGAGGATTTTTCCAACCCCACTGGGAGCCCCGCCTCTGCCTCTCCACCCGTTCCGCGCTGACCCTCCAGGCAGCGCCCCTGGTTCGTCTGCGCTGTCCTTTCCACCTGACAAAAGCTGGGGCGGCGGGGCGCGGCGCCGGGCGACCTCACATTTCTGCCAAAGGAGAGAGACGCGTGTCCGCGGTGCGCCCATTCGGGGCCTCTGCAAATCGACCGAGCTGAGGAACAAAGCGGCCAGCGCGCGGCGAGACGCAGCCCCCACGGAACCCCCGAGCGCCCCAGCCCTCGCCGTCCCGGCCCAGCCCCCCGCAAGCGGCCGCCGGCGCCGGCTGCCTCCTGGGCAGCAGCCGCGTCCTGCGCCGCCCGTCCGCCCGCAGGCGTCCTCGGCGGCTACTGTACCTGCTAAATTTAGCTGCGCCGGGTATTAATAGCCCGAGCCACTGGGACCGGGCGCTGTAGGGGCGCGCGCAGCCCGGGGCCGGGGGCGGGGAGGGAGGGGACGGAGGGGCGCGGGGGAGAAGGCCACTTACACCACCAGCCTGGAGATGATCCATGACACCATGGCGGGCAGGCGGGCGGGCGAGGCCCGGGCGGCGCGGCTCGGCTAGGCTGCGGGCGGCGCGGGCTGCTGCGGCGTTCCCGGAACGTCAGTCAGCTCACGGCAGCCGCCGCCAGACTGAGCGCGCCCGCCGCCCTGCCCGGCGTTCGCGCGTTGGCGCAGCCGCGGCACGTTCTGGCGGCGGCGGCGGCGGCCCCAGCCCCCCGGGGCTCGGCGGGCCCGCAGCGATTGGGCGGTGAGCTGGTCAGGGCACCCGCGGGCCCGCCCCGTCCCGCTCGCCCTGGCCCCCGGCTGAAGGCGGGCGCGTCCTGCGCGCTCCCCGGGGCACCGGCCCCGCCAAAGGAACCCTGCAGCGGCCCCGTTTGCAGGGCAGGGACCCGGGTGCTGCCCCACCCTCAGCGTTCCAGCGGAGAAACTGAAGTCCGAACCTGAACCTCGGGAATCTGTCTGCACCTGTCTAGGTGGGATGCTGTCATCCCTCATTCAGCTAGTGCGTTAGCCTCATAAAGGGTTTACCTGGATCCAGACCTAACCTCTTCAGTCTGTCCGTTGCTCAGCACTTTCTGCATAAGAAACAAACCTGGGCGCTTGCCTCCCTACTTAAAATTCTACAGAGTCCCTATATGATCGTGGTACCTGCCTAGAACCGTGTTGCCAAGACCATTCCCCCAAATAGTCCTCTAGCTCTTTTCCCTCCAGGCATCTTGGACTCAAATATTTGCTGTTTCTTCTTCCCTGTCAGTACACGCCACGCCTCATCGTCCTGCCTTGGTTTGATTCAGCTCCTTCTTCTAGGCTGGGCTGAAGGGCTACTTCTTCCTAGGGAAGGCCTTTCCTTGGGGGCTGCTCCGGGCCCTAGGAGGAGACTAGAAGCTGCGACTGCTTAGCACCAGTGCCCCGCTGAGCCACGTTGAACTCTTAGGCAAAAGGGAACTTGTGCACCCTATATAAACGTTTTTATGTATTTTTTAAAATACCGTATTAAATATTATGGTGGTTTTTTTTGTTGTTGTTGTTTTTTTATGAGACAGAGTCTCGCTCTGGGGTGCAGTGGCGCGATCTCGGCTCACTGCAAGCTCCGCCTCCCGGGTTCAAGCGATTCTTCTGCCTCAGCCTCATGAGTAGCTGAGATTACAGGAGTGCGCCACCACGCCCAGCTAATTTTTGTATTTTTAGTAGAGACGGGGTTTCACCATGTTGTCCAGGCTGGTCTCAAACTCCTGACCTCGTGATCCGCCCGCCTTGGCCTCCCAAAGTGCTGGGATTACAGGAGTGAGCCACCTATTATGTATTTTAGTTGCTGAATTTTATGGCACCTCTTAAATGTTGCACCCTCACTGAGCGCCTCACTCTGCTCACCCTAGTCCCGGCCGCAGATAGTACATTATTCTGTTACACTGGAAACGCTTTGTCCTCTACTCCTAGGCTCTGCTGCTGCTTTTCCCACCCTCCAATAGCTTAGGTTCTGCGTGGTGCTCCCAGCGCCCTGTCCTTTGCTGATGATGGTGTCATGTATAATTCAGTGTCAGATGTGAGAAGCGCAGGAGACAGCTTAGTACTCTCAGATGTAGCAGAATCTGTGCGTGCGTGTGCCTGATATAGTCAGAAGAAAGACTTCACGGACAACAAAGGGACTGCAGATGAGACATGCTCTCATATCTCAGGTCTCCAAAGAACCCATAAAATAGCTGTAATGTAGCAGTTTTTTCATGCTGCCTTGACCCAGTTTTGAGGCTCAGGCTGGAGGCTGGTCAGTTCCCCTTCTCCAGCAGTCTATTAACTGCATACCCCCAACCACTTCCGTTAGCAGGCTCTCACACGCGGGACACTATACACCTGTCCAGGGCTAGGCACCAAACAACTAGTTACAGCCCCTGTACTTCAGAACCCGCTGAAATTATCCAAATTAGCCTATCCTATATCTGCTTGCCTTATTTCACTCTTTCCTTCCCTCAGAAACCATGATAAAGATGTTTGTCCACAATTCCCCTCTCTCCCTCTCTCTGTGACAGACCCTGGCCCTGAGTGGACCTGCATGGTGTGCTGTGATCTCTCCAGGAAACTGTGGATATAAAAAGCTCTAAAACTCTTTCTAGCTTCTCTCTCTTGATCTGTGTCTGGCCCCACCATATCTCACTCAAGGTAAGGTTATACGGGTAAAACAATGCTCCACGGGGAAAAGCTTTCCATACTTACTAGGCAAAGAGAACACCAAAGCTAGATCAGGACAGCACCCAGCACAGAGGACCTTCCTGAGACCTCCCTTCCCCTCCATCCATACCCCTCACCTATGCTCCCTGCGTCAGAAAGGCTGTTACCCATCTTGCAGGGGGAGCAGCGGAGGGATGGACTACTGTGGTTCAAAGAGACCCTGTTGGTGGGAAAATAAAGAAGAGGTGACCACATGCTTGTTCCCTACTCCCTATAAGTGGAATTCTCAGATTTGACTATTGCACAGGACTGAGCATTTTAATTACCAAAATGAAACTATTCATGGGGTTAAAATATCTTGAGGTCTTTTCATTAGCTGAAGAGGACCAGAAAACTAGTGAGACCAACACATATTTCTCACAAGGGATGAGAAAGAACTTGTCCATAGAGCGGACTTGGATGGGTAGAGGAGGGAAAAGAAGAAAGAAAGAAAGAAAGTTGCTTTTGTACTGCATTCTGTCTCTTTCAGTGTAACTGTTACACTTATTGTATCTCTCTATCCTGGACCTGCTCTTGTTTGTCCTTGGCCCTGGAAAACATGTGGCCAGGGAACGGACTCCACCTTCTAGACAATGGAACTCTTACAGCTCTATCAGTTTCTTGACTTCAAGTTCTTTTTCATAAGAACTGCTTTGATAATAGATGTCTCTCATCTGTTTTTACCCTGTACCCTTCCCCTTTCTTCTGGGAAGAGCTCTCTGTTTTTCACTGGGGAATGAGTCTCCCCATACTCCAACCTTAGAAACTGTGATTTTCTTATATATCCTCACTACCTTGATTGGCTTATGGGTGATCACCAAACAGAAACTGGGCCAACGATCTCCCTTGGGATTTTTAAAGTTGAAAATAGAAAAAAGAGAATTCCACTTTCTTCTATGAAGCATTGGCTGCTGTGGGAATTGTCCTCCCATTGCAAACAACTAGAAAAACAGGATCAAAAAAAAGAAACAACTGTTTTTCTTTACTTGTTTGTTTGAGACGGAGTCTCACTCTGTCGCCCAGGCTGGAGTGCAGTGCTGTGATCTCGGCTCACTGCAAGCTCCGCCTCCTAGGTTCACACCATTCTCCTGCCTCAGTCTCCCGAGTACCTGGGACTACAGGTAGCCACCAGTATGTCCAGCTAGTTTTTTGTATTTTTAGTAGAGATGAGACGGGGTTTCACCGTGTTAGTCAGGGTGGTCTCGATCTCCTGACCTCGTGATCCACCCTCCTCGGACTCCCAAAGTGCTGGGATTACAGGTGTGAGCCACCGTGCCCGGCAAGAAGCAACTGTTTTTAAGCATTGAACAACAGAGCACAGGACTGTGATAACTAAGAGAAGAGAAACAAATGAAGTGAGTCTTACGTCCGAGCTTACTGTCTCAAAGCAGTTTCCAGGCATCACTGTAGGGATGGAGAACCCAAACAGAGCCCAGAAATTTCACAGAACACAGGAGACAGATCAGAGTCCAGGGAAGCCAAAGTGGCTAGAATTTGTGAAGCAGAATATAAGAGTGATGGGAGATGATTAGAGAGAGAGTTGCAGAGATCTGCAGAGCAGTCACTTCAAGTCATTAGCTGAATACTGTCCTAGGCATGCATGGGTGAAATTCTATGAGGCCATGGGAAGAACTACCAGAAAGCAGTATGCCAAACAATTCCTGGAGCTCACACAGGGCTGGAAGTAATTTGTCTTCATACCAGCCAAAACAGAGACCTTTTATACACAAAGCATTGGCCAGAGTCCACAGAAGGGTATCATCTTAATGCAGGGGGAGGCTAAATTAGCCCTAAAATAAACACTTATCTGGTCCTGCCTTAACAAAACTTAAAAGCAATCTTCAAAAGGATCAAATTGATCTCAAGTAACTTAACTGTGCTCAGAGAAAAAAAAAAGTCCAAGATTAGTTACAAAACAAACAACAACAAAACCCAACACCCAATAAGATAAAATTCACAATGTCCAACATGCAAACAAAAATTATCAGGCATGCAAAGAAAATGACTTGTAAGCAGGTTGAAAAATCAACCAATAGAAACAGACCATGAAGTGACAGAAATAATGCAATAAGCAAATAAATACCTTCAATTTTATAATATTTGAACAGACATTTCACCAAAGAAAAAATACAAATGGAAAAACAAAAAGTACATGAAAAAAATATTCAACATCATTAATCATTAATTAGGGAAATACAAATTGAAATCACAAGAAGATATTACTGCACACATTTAAGAATGGCTACAATGAAAAAGACTGATCATTTCATGTTCTGGCAAGGATATGGAGCAACTGGAACTCTCATATGCTGCTGGTGGGAAAGTAAAATGATACTACTTTGAAAAATGGTTTTCTATATTTCAAAAAAAGTGGAAATTACTTTTGCCTCACACCCTTCCCCTTTCTTCTGGGAAGAACTCTCTACTTTTTTTGGTGAATGATTCTCCCCATGTTCCAACCTTAGAAACTGGTCAGACAGTTTCTTTTTTTTTTTTTTGAGATGGAGTCTGGCTGTGTTCCCCAGGCTGGAATGCAGTGGCACGATCTTGGCTTACCACAACCTCTGCCTCCCAGGTTCAAGCAACCCTCCTGCCTCAGCTTCCTGAGTAGCTGGGATTATAGGCATGTACCACCACACCCAGCTAATTAATATATTTTAGTAGAGACAGGGTTTCACCATGTTGGCCAGGCTGGTCTCGAAATCCTGATGTCAGGTGATCCACCCACCTCAGCCTCCCAAAGTGCTGAGATTACAGGCGTGAGCCACCATGCCCGGCCCAGTTTCTTTTATAATTACATATACACTTACATATGACTTAGAAATTCGATTCTTTAGATATTCACCCAAGAAAAATGAAAACATGTCCACACAGACTTGTCCATAGCAGCTTTATTCATAATGGCCCCAAACTGGAAATAACCCAGATTTTCATCAACTGGTACAAATTGTGGTATATCCATACAATGGAATATTTACTACTCAGCAATAAAAAAGAAATTAACTACATATGCTTGCAACAACATGGATGAATCTCAAAAGCATTATGCTAAGTATAAGAAGCCAGATACAAAAGACTCATACTATATAATTTCATTTTTATGAAATTCTAGAAAAGACAAAACCATAGTAACCAAAAGGGCATAGTGGTTCCCAGATGTCAGGGGTGGGGATTGTAAAAGGGCAAGAGGAAACTGTTTTGGGTGATGGAAAAATTCTATATCCTAATTGTGATGGTAATTACTAACCATAAACAGATTCATCAAACTTTACATTTAGAATTGGCAGGTTTTGTTTTATGTAAATTATACATCAGTAAAGCTAAGTAATAAAAAATAGAAAACATATTTTTCCATGATGTCTTATGAGAAGCTCTGTAGTTGTGGATAACCATGTTTTTATTGGCCTTTTTCTTATTTATTATTTAAAAATGTTTATATATTGAGAAATAAGCTTTTTGACTGTCATCCACATTAAAATCTTTTTCCCAAGTTATCATTTTCCCTTCAGACATTATTTATGACATTTTTTCTTTTCAAAATGTTCAGAATTTTATGTAATCATTTTTATGTATATTTTATGGCTTGTGAGCTTTGTATTGGTTTATATATACCATTTGCCTCTCCTATACTAAAATTACTTATTTTTAAAATTTTTCTTAATTTTTAAAAATTTAAAATTAAAAATATTTCTGTGCATCTGCCTTTAAATTTTAAATTTTAATTTTATACTTTTTATTTTACAGTCCACCTGGAATTAATTTTAGTGTATGAGTTAGTTACTTGTCTTAATACAATTTATTGAACAAGCCACCATTTTCTCCTTCAAGTTGAAAGGCCATCTCCATCATATACTCTGTTCCTTATTATATCAGAGTCTAGTTTTTCTAGACTCTGTTCAGTTCTGCACATCCACTCATGAATGGTTGTAGTTTTAATTACTGCAGTGTTTTATAACATATTTTACTAATAGTAGGGATAGTCCCTTCACTTCCTTTTACAAATTTTCTGGTTATTCTTGCCATTTATACTTTCATTAGACTTTACAGTCATATTATCTCATTTTTTGATAATTCTGATTGTTATTTTTAATTGAGATGAGGTTAAATTTTTAGATTAATAATTAATCATGACAGTATTTGTCTTCCTATCCAAGAGCAAGGTATTTGTTTTCATTTATACAAATTATCTTCTGTGTTCTTAATAGCATTTAATTTTTTCTTCAAGTAGATCTTTCACATTTCTTTACATTGCCATTTGAACCAATGTGTTGTATTCCATTGTGTAAATATACCATAATTAATTTAAACAATTCCATATCATTGGCCATATAGTAATAGATCATTTCCAATTTTTACTGATTAAAAACCTAGGGCCAGGCATGGTAGCTTGCACCTGTAATCCCAACTACTTGGGAGACTGAGGCAGGAGGACTGCTTGAGCCCAGGAGTTTCAGTACAGCCTATGCAACAAAGCAAGACTCCTTCTCTAAAAATTAAAAAATAATTAAAAAATAATTTAGCAATGAACACACTTGTAGCTATATATTTTAATATGTTCATAATGATTTAGTTAGGATAAATTCCTGGAAATTGAGTCTTTAGGGGTATGAACTTTTTGGGCGGCTTTTGATGCATAATGCTAAATTACATTCCCAAAATGTTTCAGAAATGTTTGTTCTAATTTTTGTAAATTATAAGTGTTACATGTGGTATAGTAAGGTCTCATCATACAATCAATAACTTACTTGAATTAAACTTTAAGGGTCAGGAAAGAAAGAGAAAGAGGAAAATGGCCTGTATTACAGGGGTTCTGCCTGTCCTTTCACTTCATGACTTCATGAGAAGGCGCCCTGTGCTGATGATACTAGAGAGGTGGCTCTGCTGTTTCCTCCATAGACCTCGGTTCCTATGACAACCCCACACTCTGTGTGTGTGATTCTAGTGTTCACACATCCATATTGTTTGTACAACATGATCCTAAGCACCTCCACAGCTTCAGTTGGAAATGAACAAAACTGGAAAGTGATCTGATCCACAGCCTGAGGAAAAGCTCATTGTGTTAGACCACTATGAGCCATATAAATAATTTTTTACTGTATCAAATTTTTGCCTTAAACATTGACATTGATATGGAAACTCAACATCAAGTGTACCTACACCCAGAGTTGATCTACCATGAAGATAAAGCATACGTTTTAGGACATCTAATTAGGAGCCTGGGAATGACTCTAGCAGTATATTAACATGATTAGATGTCTTTAATAAAATGTGCAAAATTAAAGATTTTTATTAAAATCTGTTAAGACAGCTGTTTTTTCTAGTTCTCAATCACAC
This sequence comes from Homo sapiens, assembly GCF_000001405.40. Classification (NCBI taxonomy): domain Eukaryota; kingdom Metazoa; phylum Chordata; class Mammalia; order Primates; family Hominidae; genus Homo; species Homo sapiens. The sequence goes on from NC_000002.12 coordinate 86,345,032, forward strand.
TTCTCCTTGTGCTGAGTGTTATCCAAGTGGCTGGAGGCATTTTTGGAAGTTGGCTACGATGAAATTGAAAATACATTTAAAGTTTGGTGGGACATATGTATGGAGCTACAGTGACTTCCATGTCCGTTTTAGCTATGGTTGCTCCCCAATAAAGGAATGGCTTCCCAAAACACTCCTACTGCCCACTGTGTCAACTCACTCAGCTCCACAACACCATAGGCAGAGATAAAGATTGTATCCTACTATGATCGTGGCCTGCAGCCTTGGTCCTGGAACTGCTTGAAGAGTAGAAGAGAAACACAGTTTGAAATGTACAGAGCCAGCATCTAGTCTGTATCTATTCTTCCAGTCATCAGATGTGGAAAACTGTGAATGGAGGGTTCAGTTCTCATCTGTACCCAGTCAAAATGATTCTCCTCTTTCAGGAACATACTCCATAATGCAGTATAGACCACTACAAATGCACTACATCTATTTTTTTAACTTTTTTGGTGGGCATGATGTGAAAGAGAACATATTAGAATGCCTGACTTTATAAAGCACAAACCTATAGCAGTGTTACAAACAGCAAGCAAATCTATGTGTGGAGTCATACGTTTTATGAATCTCAACTCTAAATAAGAAGAAATATAGTTCAATAAACTGTTAGGACAAATTATATTTGTATCCTCTCTACAGAAAATAGCAATACAAAGTTGTTGTCAAATGAAGAAATGATGAAAGTGTAGGCATCCAGAAAATATAGGAAAAAAATTATAAACAAGTCTTAGTCAATAAAAATAATATGTTATTTTTGCTGTTTTTTGACACTTGTGGGTTTTTTTAGCATTTGAAACATTATAGTTTGCTGTGATTTATTTTCTTATTCCAAATAATTTTTTTTTTTTTTTTAGTATTTATTGATTATTCTTGGGTGTTTCTCGGAGAGGGGGATGGCAGGGGCATAGGATAATAGTGGAGAGAAGGTCAGCAGATAAACACGTGAACAAAGGTCTCTGGTTTTCCTAGGCAGAGGTCCCTGAGGCCTTTCGCAGTGTTTGTGTCCCTGGGTACTTGAGATTAGGGAGTGGTGATGACTCTTAACGAGCATGCTGCCTTCAAGCATCTGTTTAACAAAGCACATCTTGCACCATCCTTAATCCATTTAACCCTGAGTTGACACAGCACATGTTTCAGAGAGCGCGGGGTTGGGGGTAAGGTTATAGATTAACAGCATCCCAAGGCAGAAGAATTTTTCTTAGTACAGAACAAAATGGAGTCTCCTATGTCTACTTCTTTCTACACAGACACAGTAGCAATCTGATCTCTCTTTCTTTTCCCCACATTTCCCCCTTTTCTTTTCAACAAAACTGCCATTGTCATCATGGCCCGTTCTCGATGGTCGCTGTCTCTTTGGAGCTGTTGGGTACACCTGCAGAAAGGCTATCACTTCACACTTGGAAGATTGCACAGCGGCCAGGCAGAGGCGCTCCTCACTTCCCAGAGTGGGTGGCGGCCGGGCAGAGGCGCTCCTCACCTCCCAGACGGGGCCAAATAAAATTCTTATTCATACTTAGTTTTGAAATAACAGTTTTGGAGACCCAGCTCCCACATTTTTTTAAGTTTCAGGCTTCACAAAACCTGAATATGTCCCCGTGTATTTTATTGTATTTAATTTGCATTCTCTACTGTATTCAGTGAAGTTGAATTTCATCTAATTGATTAATTCAATTTCTTTTTTTGGGAGTTGCCTTTCCTTATTCCTTACCATTTTTCTATCGAAGTGTGTGGGGGTTTTTTGTTTTTGTTTTTGTTTTGCCACTTTCTTATTGGTTTGCAAGAGTTCTTTGTATAAGGATAACAAACTTTCATATTTTATTGTGTTGTAATTTTCCCAGTATGTAATTTTTCTTTTAAATTTATCCATGGTATTTTTGACATACAGAATTTTAAAATATATATTCATTTATATTTTATCTTAATAGAGCAATTCATCTTCCTCCCTAATGCAAAAATTTTACATTTATTCCTTTTTTTTTTCTTCACAGAGAATCAGAAAGGAGTAATCGGGGTGTTGCAAGTCCTGATTACGCAGAGACATTAACCACATTTCATGCATCTCCAATCAGCCTATTCTTCCTGCCCTCCAAAAGGAGAAACAGGTAAGAATTATCCCACCTGATGATGCATTTATTCCTGTTCCAGTTTGTGTGTTTTATCTGGAGCAAGTCTTCCGGTCTTAGATTATTTTTAATCCTGATTCCATTATCAGTGGTATTAATGATCAGGACCAGTATGCCTGTTAGATTGTCTTCAGCTGTGAGTAACAGCACATCCAACCAAATGATATAAGTTCATCTTTCTCACATGACAAAAAGTCCATTTGAAGGTTGTGGGTTTAACAGCTCAACAATATCACGGCCCTGGGTCACCTTCTGTCATGGTTGAGCCAGGGCTTCAGTGGCTGCAGACAGTAAATCCTCACATGACCATCTCTCAGGCAGGAATGAAGGCAGAGGAGGCTTTCCTTCAGTGCTGCCCGGAGGCTGCCCACAGACTTTCCCTCACATTTCAGAGGCCAGAGCAGAGTCGAGTGTCATCCCCTCCACGATTCCTTGCAAAGGGAAATGAATGTACTGTGACTGGCTTGGGCCACTCATTTTCCCTCGAGTATCGGGCCACCTTCCCTGAGCACATTTCTGTGTGATGCTGAACAAACTCAGGGTTATGATGTAAGGAGAATGGGTGAATGGCAGCCGGGTAGGCAACCAGCAGTGTCTCATCTACAAGAAGGATAAATTGCTGTTTGGTTTGCTAATGGACTACCGTAACAAATTACCACAAAGTAGGAGGCTTAAAACCACAGAAATTTACTGTCTGTCAGTTCTGGAGGCTGAGAGTCTGAAACCAAGGTGTTGGCAGGGCCATGCACCCCTCAAGGATCCAGGAATAATCGCTCCTCAGGTCTCCCAGCTTCTGGTGGTTGCCGGCAGCCCTTCGCATTCCTTGGCCTCACTTCAATCTCTGCCTCTGAATTCACGTGCTCATCTTCCTTTGGTGTCTGTTTGTGCATCTCCACATGGCTTTCTTATAAGGAGAACAGTCATTGAATTTAGGGCGCACCCTGATCCAGTATGATCTCATCTTAATGAATTATCTGCAAAGATCCTATTTCCAAATAAGGTCACACTCACAGGTACTGAGGGTTAGGATGTCAACATTTCTTTACGACGGACACAACTCAGCCCCCAACAACTATTATTCATGCCTCCATCCAAATATCTGATGCAATGCTGAGAGACCGAGGCTGGGACAGACCCTCAGTGCATACTTCCAGGGTCCTCACCTACAGCAGTCAGGTGTCCTACTCCACATGATGGCCCTCTCGATGGCTCACATCCTAAAATCTCTCCCTGCTTTCCCAAAAGAAGCTCCATTTTCACCAGTCTCCCAGCCTCCAGCCTCTCCTGGAGCCCACTCCAGAGTGTTTGACTCACCCTGCTTCAGACAGACGAGAACCTTCTCAACCACAGGGCCTAGCTCCTGCCAATATCCCCATCCAATGGCAACTCTGACATCTTCCTTCAGTTAGCCTCACCCCTGCTGCCAATTCTCACCTTCAGGTTCAGAGAACCTGTAAGGACAAAGTAACTTTTTGGGGGCTTACTGGCAGCTTTAGAAATTAGGAGGAAGGGCTGGGCATGGTGGCTCATGCCTGTAATACCAGAACTTTGGGAGGCTGAGGTGGGTGGATCATCTGAGGTCAACAGTTGGAGACCAGCCTGGCCAACATGGTGAAATCCCATCTCCATTAAAAATACAAAAAAATTAGCCGGGTATGGTGGTGGGTGCCTGTAATCCCACCTGCTCAGGAGGCTGAGGCAGGAGAATCACTTGAACCTGGGAGGCGGAGGTTGCAGTAAGCCTAGATCATGCCACTGCACTCCAGCCTGGGCAACAGAGCGAGATTCTGTCCACGTCCCCACCCCAAACCCCTGCCAAAAAAAAAAAAAAAAAAAAAAAAGATATAATGAAAAGGGAGTGGTGTCCAAATTGGGACTGAGAAAAACAGGCTTCAGACAATGGTCTCAAGTCTCACTGGGCTTCTAGCTTCTACCTAGAAAAACCCACACCAGGACATCGATGATAGGGACAATCTGAGGAGTGCAGTGGGGAAAGGAAAGGAGGAACAAACAACCTTGAGCCCTGGCCCTAGCCAAGATCTCAGAAATTCGCCTGGCCTCTTGACCTGTGGATTTTGGTCATGTTGTACTGAGGTACCTAGCACGTAGGAGGGCTGCCTGACTCACAGGGGAAAACTCAGACATGGGAAGGTGGGGTCTGAGAGATCAAGTCTGGGTTGACACCTTCTCCCTGGCCATCATAGATTGACCCAGGGGTGGATAACTGACTCAAGCCAAACCTTCTCTGAGATTTTTCAAGCTGGAATCAGGGAAATGTAATAATCCCACTCTGATGGAGAGTGCATGGCTCAGAAGCTGTTGCTCTCATTTCCCCCTTTATGTGGAAGAAGACCATCAGGCTTAGGAGGAATTTAGGCTGACATACAGCAACAAGAGAAGGGAAGGAAGATGTCAATAGCACAATATCTTTGGTTCTAGAGCTCTGGGTCCAGCTTCATCCCTGACCTTCCCGTTTTTGTGAATATTCCAACCACACACCCTCTTTGGGCATAGGGTGAGCTTCTGGCACTTGCAAGGAAGAGTCCTGAGAAATAAATGTATTTCCCTGTGGGGCTGTTGGCTCCTGGCCAGTCCACCTTCTCAGAGACCCCAGTGAGGGATGGCCCAGATGGCACTGCTAAATTTTTTTTTTTTGGGCGGGGGGTGAACAGAGTCTCTCTCTGTCAACCTGGAGTGCAGTGGCACAATTTCAGCTCACTGCAACCTCCGCCTCCCGGGTTCAAGCGATTCTTCTACCTCAGCCTCCCGAGTAGCTGGGACTGCAGGTGCACACCACCGTGGCCAGCTAATTTTTATATTTTTAGTAGAGACAGGTTTTCACCATGTTGGGCTGGTCTCAAACTCCTCACCTCAGGTGATCTGCCCACCTCGGCCTCCCAAAGTGCTGGGATTACAGGCATGAGACACCATGCCCAGATGAGCACTGCTCTTACCACACATGCATCATGGCTGTTGAATAGCTCAGGTTGTCCATATTCCCCCAGCCATAGGCCAGGGAAGGGCAGCATAGACACAAGTGGGTTAATGTCCATGCTGGAGATGGGATTCATACAGTCAGGCTGGCCTGCAAAAGGCAGAGGGACAATAAGGGCAAAATCCTTGAAGGCAAACAGTTAAAACTCAGAGAAGCAAAATCTGATGCAGAGCCCACGAATGGGGGGGCCAGAGGGGGGCCTGAAAAGCTGGTTCATGGGACTAGATCAGCCAAGGAGGAAGGCAGGTCCCTGGCCTCTCTGCAAGCAGTGATAGGCATCTACAGCCCCTTTGCCTGCTTGGTGAGGGGATATGGTCAGCTGGATTAAAGGTTTGTGTTGAGAGGCCATGAGAACACGAAAATGCAGAGAGGCAGACATTTAGTGCAGTACTTTACTAGTTTGGGGTGAATTTATTGGCCTTTATGAGCCTAATTTCTTTCATCTATAAAATAGAAATAATGATACACACTTTATCTTGTTGTAAAGGCTAAATGTAAAACAACAACATCAATGCGGTGGTATTTTAAAATGTGAATTCTTTGACGCTCCTTTAATCAAGAGGTGGGGTCTATCTCGCATTCTGTTGGATCTGGGTGAGGATGTGATGGCCTCAATTAATATATTACAGAGGAAGTGACTTCATATGACTTCCAAGGCTAGGTCATAAAAGGCCACGTAGTTTCTGCTTATGTATTACACATTCTTGGAGCACTGAGCCACCAGGCTCATAAAAGAATGTGACTTCCCTGAGGCTACCATGCTATGAGGAAGCCCAAGGCACATGGAGAGGCCACATGTGGGTGCTTAGTTGATATTCCCAGCTGAGCCCAGCCTTTAAATCACCCCAGGCTAGGCACCAGACATGTGAGTGAAGAAGTCTTTGAATGATTCTAGACCTCAGTCATTAGAGTCACCCCTGGCCATCTGAGTCTTCCCAGCTGAGTCTCAATATATCTTGGAACAGAGACAAGGCCTCCCTCTCTCCCTTGCCTCTATTCCTGACCCACAGTATCTGTGGGTGTACATTTTGGGGTAAATTGTTACACAGCAATAGATGGGTAACCTGGATGCCATGTAAAGGGCCAGGTATAGTAGCAGAGTTGGGATTTGAACTTATCTAGCTGATTCTACAGATTGTGAACTTTCTACTTTACTAGTGGTTCCTGAAAGCTGGTGACTATCAGTGATAGCATTTTAGTGAGAGAAAAAAAAAGATCAGGAAAATGTAGTAAATTTTTTAATAAAGCCAATGTATTCCACTGAAAAAAATTATATATATATAAATTTATATATATAAATTTATATAAATATATATATAATTTATATATAATTTATATATATTTATATATAATTTATATATATTTTTATATATATATAAATTTATATATATATATATATATATATAGAGAGAGAGAGAGAGAGAGAGAGAGAGAGAGAGAGAGAGAGAAAGAGTCTCTCTTTGTTGCCCCGGCTGGAGTGCAGTGGCACAATCACAGCTCACTGCAGCCTTGACCTCCTGGGCTCAGTCAATCCTCCCACCTCAGCCTACTGAATAGCTGGGACTACAGGTGTGCACCACCATGCTTGGCTAATTTTTTAAAAAAACTTTTTGTAGAGATAGGATCTTGCTATATGCTCAGCCTGGCCTCAAACCTCTAGGCTTAAGCAGTCCTCCCACCTCAGCCTCCCAGAGTGCTGGGACTACAGGCACGAGCCACTGTGCCCAGCCAAAAAAAACAAATATTATTCTGAGATTGTCTTTCCTACCTTGGGAGTTATCCATATGTCATTTCTTTTATGACATAATGGTGATGGCACTTAGTGGTGGTTATTTTATTAATGTCCTTACTCAGCAAAGTAAAAAATTATGAAGCTTATGTTATTCCATTCAGTTACCTTTCCTTTTTAAAGCTTCACTGGTCTTTGACATTCAAAAGTCCAGGAGCCCCTGCTCTGTTCTCTCCTTGGGTATCCTAGATCAGAGGTGGATCCATTGGAAGCTTGACATTGTTGTAGGGTTGTGCGTTGTCTTTGGTCGTTCCCTGTGATGGTTGAGGTGCTGGCTTGACTGGAGATTGCTGGTAAAGCGTTGCTTCTGGGTGTGTCTGTGAGGGTGTTTCCTGAGAAGACTGGCATGTGAGTCAGTGGACTCAGTGGGGAAGAGTCACCCTCCATGTGGGTGGGCACCATCCAATCAGCTGGGGCCCCAGATAGAACAAAAAAGGAGAGAATAGGATTTCCTCCCTCTGTCTCCTGGAGCTGGGACACTCTTCTCTCCTGACCTGGGACATCAGAACTCCAGGGTTCTTGCCCTTTGGACTCCAGGACTTATGCCAGCAACCCTCCACTGCCACCCTGAGAATTACACGGTCTGCTTCCCTGGCTCTGAGGCTTTTGGACTTGGACTGAGCCGTGCTGCAGGCAACCCAGTGTCTCCAACTTGAAGACAACCTGTGGTGGAAAATCCCCGCCTCCAAAATTGCGTGAGCCGATTCCCCTAATAAATCCCCTGCCATCTATCTATCATCTACATATGTATATCCTATTGGTGGTGTCTCTCTAGAGAACCCTGACTAATACATTCCCTATTCCCTTTTAGGATTAGCACATGTGTTCATTTATAGTTTATACCCCCACCTGTTTCCAAAAAGGATAGTCTTTCTCCAGACACACCCCAGATTCCTGTAACAGTTACTGAGTCAGATGGGGCCCTTCCCCAGGCGCCAAGAGGATTCAAACAGTGGATGACAAGAGTGAATGAGGGATGACCTTGCACTCCCTGTTGAAGGCAAGGTCATCCCTCACCCACCCCCGGCCACTGTTTGAGATCTTTGTTGCCACAGTGGCCCTTGCCAGCGCTTGGCATGAAAGGCAGAGATTGAGACCAGTGGCCCTTAGCCCTCATCCTGGTCCAGCCCTCAAACGTGGGCTGGCAGCTGTGGCTTCTTCTGTTTCCTGGTGTGTGGCTCTTCAGACACCTGTCTTCAGGCTGTAAGGCTTTATCTTAGGCAACATGTCTTCTTAGGTGGCTGGCAAGTCTTTCTAGCCGTGCTTATAACGGATCACCCATGGTGGAATCCAAGAACTTACTCTTGGAAGGCTGGTGTGACCGAGGGGTTAAGAGTCTCATTTCCAGAGCCAGAGTGCCTGGATTGAACCCTGATTCTGCCACGTACTAGGTGTGTTGTACCCTTGGGCAAGCTACTTAACCTTTCTGTGCCTTAGTTTCCCTGTCTGTAAAATGGGAATAATAATAATGTGTACTTCATAAGGTTGTTGTGAGAAGTAAGTTAATAAAGCACTTAAAAAAGTGCCTGGGAAAGGCCATTTAAAGCCATGTTGAGATATCCCACCCACCCATGAGAACAGCTATAATTAAAAAGACTGACAGTACCCAGTGCTGTTATGCCTGAGGAGCACTGCAACTTTTGAACATTGTTGATGGGAATGTGAAAGGATACAACCACTTTGGATAATAGGGTGGCATTTTCCTATGAAGTGAAATATGCACTTAAAATGCATTAATATGAAAAAAGGCATATATTTTTACAAAACAAATAATTTTTTACCACACAGTCCAGCAACTTTACTGCTGGGTATGCACCCAAGAGGAATAAAAATGTGATTACACAAAGACTTGTACATGAATGTTCATAGTAGCATTGTACTGTGAACATTATAACAGCTAAAAAGGTAAGCAATCCAAATGGCCTTCAACAGGTGCATGGGTAGAGAAAATGGGTTTTGTGTATGTGTGCAATGGAATACTACTTAGCAATAGAGAGGAATGGACCACTGATACATGCAACAACATGGATGAATCTTGAAAACTTTCTGATGAGCAAAAGAACCCAGTAGCCAAAAATGGACTGTATGAGTCCATTTGTATTAAACTTCAGGGAAGACAAATACAACCTAGACTGACAGAAAGCAGCTAAGCGTTTCTATAGGGAAGACAGAGAAGATTGAGTTGGAAAGGGCACAGGAACTTTCTGTAGATGATGGAAATCTCTATGTTGATTGTAGTGGCAGTTGCACAGTATATACTTTTTTTAATGCAATAAATATGCCAGGCATGGTGGCTCACGCCTGTAACCCCAGCAATTTGGGAGACCAAGGCAGGCAGATCACCTGAGGTCAGGAGTTGGAGACTAGCCTGGCCAACACGGCAAAACCCTGTCTGTACTAAAAATACAAAAACTAGCCGGGCGTGGTGGCACACACCTGTAATCCCAGCTGCTCGGGAGGCTGAGGCAGGAGAATTGCTTACTGGCAGAGGTGCCAGTAAGCCAAGATTGTACCACTGCACTCCAGCCTGGGTGACAGTGCGAGACTGTCTCAAAAAATAAAATAAAATAAAAAAATAAAATAAAATTAAGGTACACTTGAAATGGTATGGATTGTATTATATGGAAATAACATCCCAATAAAACTGTTTTTCAAAACTTCTATCTATATGGAATGTGATGCCCTGGCTAAACGTTGGGCTACAAAGTATTTTGGAATTATAAAAGGAAGACACAAAAGGTGAGATGGAAGAATGAACTATTATTTAATCTTTGCTAGAAGATGTCTGTTCTAGAGCTCTAGTCTGGAATAGAAACTGCACAAGGGCAGAGCTCTTAGTTGGTTTTATTCTGCAATGGATCCCAAGCACTTCAAATAGCACCTGACACTTGGCTGGAACTCAATTAATGTGTTGAATGAATGAATCTTTGGGACATACTGTTTCTTTGACTTGACAAAAATGGCCAAAACCAGTAAAACTTTATGTGTCCGAAAGGTAAAGCAAGTGCTCACCCATTATTCTTGGGAAGATGAGGCCGTTGCTGTCATATGGTTACATGTCAGCATTAAGAGCCCTGGCTGGGAATGTGAAGTTGTTTTGCGCTCTTGCACCCTGTAGCTGTGGGATATATCCAGCCTTTCCTCTGTCTCTCTGCTTATCCTTAATTTCCAACCATGAGTAAATGTTATGTGGCTGGGAATGAATCTAGAAGGCAGTCTCCTTGAGAGGCTTCCTCTTGCTGTTGTGATGGGGGTGGATTTTGGTTTGGTTTAGTTGGGGGAGGGGCGTCACTTGCTGGGTCTGAGGATGGAGGGGAAGATAGGAAGGGCCTGACTTAATGAGAGAGTGTATGGAGCCTGAGACACAGGCTAGGCTGCTTGGAGACTGGGGTGAAGATGTGTGGTATTAGGGAGCGAGGAAAGGGTGTCCTTGACCTCTGCAGACAAACTGGACCTGCTTTGGCACGTGGATGAGGGAGCCGGGAGCCAGGGAGGCAGCTCCTTTGGCACAGTCCTCAAGATACGCAGGTGCACCACTGGCAGTGGCCATGCTGACATTGTCTCAGGTCTTTGGAACAAGAAAGGAAGGACATTGCAGCTGCTGAGTGGGAACCTTAGTGGACAGAGAGATTTGTGGATTCATGTGACGTGCTCCTTGGGGACCCTTGCGATAACCGAGGAAGACACTTTGTGGCGCTAGGAGGACCTGAGAATCAATAATCGAGGCACTGGGGTCTTGAGCAATTGTTTATTGAACATTAAAATTAATGAGAATCCAATAACCAATATTGTATATTATTTATGGGCATATACATATAGAGTAAAAATAGAAATAAAAAATACTAAAATGGAGATCCTTTACCTTTGGGCAGGAAATGGAGGGGGTATCATCAGATACAAATACACAGGATGTATCAGCCAGAGATGCAAAAACACCAGAAGATTATCTATCTATCTATCCATCTATGTATCTGTCTATCTATCTATCTATCTATCTATCTATCTATCTCTCTATCTACCTATCTATCTATCATCCATCCATCCCCCCACCCATCCATCCATCACTACATGTTCTCTGTTACAAGATTTGATCTTATGCAATTGTGGGATCTGGTTAAATGGTTTCTGGAAAGCTGTTATCTTCTCTGATGCTGGAGTTTAAAGTCCCCAGGGCAGGCAGTCAGGAAGGGGAGATGGATGTAAACTGGGGAAGAATGAGGACAAGATGGAACCCAGGAATATGAGCGGAAACCCACAAGAATGGGCAAGAAACTGTGTCAGTCACTCACCACCTCCCACCTTGATGAAGGGTGTCCTGCAGGAAAAGCTGGTACCCTTTGTCATGGAGCTAGACACACACCTGGCTCAGCAGTCATAGAACTGAAGGAAGGAGCAGGGCCAGGGGGAGCAGGTGCAGGCCCGGACGCCGTCCCCGCCAACAAGGTAAGCAGAGAGGCAACAACGTGCAATAAAAGCACCCACCTAGGCCTTCCATGTGTAAAAAATAATATGGCTGTTGCTTCAGCTCTGTCCTCCAAATCTCAAAGATGGTCTCCTGTGGCCCACTGAAGCAGAAACATCCAGGGAAGGGGATTCTGGGAAATGTAGCTCAGCCCAACCAAGTGGACCGATTACAAAGCCACTTTGAATTTGCAGTTTCATGTCTAAAAACTGGTAAGTATGTAAGTGTTCATTATGTAATTCTCTATTTTTTTGCATGATTGATATGTTTGATAAAAGTTAAAAATGAATTGCAGACATGTTGGTTACACCTGTCCCTAACCTATAGGGCCTGTACACAGTTGTAATCATAGATGTGGCAACTCAGACCCAGGGTCACCCAGCCAGCAATGGGCAGGACTAGGACAGCCTTTCATGTTCTTTCCTCTACCAGGGGTGTCCAATTTTTTGGCTTTCCTGGGCCACATTGGAAGAAGAATAATTGTCTTGGGCCATACATAAAATACACTGACACTAATGATAGCCAATAAGCTAAAAAATGCAAAAAAATCTCATAGTGTTTTAAGAAAGTTTATGAATTTGTGTTGGTCCACTTTCAAAGTTGTCCTGGGCTGCATGTGGCCCATGGGCCACGGGTTGGATAAGCTTGCTCTAGATCAAGCTGTCTTCAACAAATAGGAGTTACAGGTGACCTAAAGAGGCGGCTGCTATGTTGCACTATCTTTTTTCCTTAATATTCTGTTTTATTGTCTGTCTCTTGTCACTAAAATGTAAGCTCCATGAAAGCAAGGATATGTGTTCATTTTGGTCACTACTGTATCATCAGAACCTAGAATAGTTACTGGCATATAGCAGGTGCTCAATAAATACTTGTTGAATGAATGAATAAATGCTCTTAGAGGAATCAGAATGTTATATTCCTTACATCAGAGGAGAGCTTTGGATATAATCTTATTGAACCCAACAAGACATCAATAAATCTGAAGTGGGAGCCCCAGCCCCACCCCCTCCAGCCTAGGCTTCTAAATATCAGCCAAATATTCCAGAGTCATCATGGCTAGTTATAACCTTTCTAAGCTTCAGGGTTTCGTCTCCACCTGTGAAGTAACAATGATCTTTGCCCTTCTTACCTCATGTGATTGTTGTGAGGCTCAAATAAGACTGCTCTGTAAAGTCCTCCACGTGATTCTTGTTATCCCCATGAGATGTTTATTCCTTCCTGGAGTAGAGAGGAAAACAAGACTTGGATGTGAACATAAAGGTGTACAAAGGGCCCCTCTTCCCATCAAAGGCTTTCTGACCGCTGAGGAGCCCTGGAGGCTACGGGATATTCACCAACAGCCACTACAGGCATTGCAAGCCTCTGTGCTGGTTCTCTGTGAGGGGAACCCTGATGCCTACATCCACACCCCAGACCCCAAACCACACCTCAGCTCAGAAAGCCTCTCAAGAGTTTCATGTTCCTTCATAATTTATCACTTTCTCCTATGCTACGTGCAGTAGATCCTCATTATTTGCAGATTCTGGGTGTGTAAATTTGCCTACTTGCTAAAATTTATTTGTAACCCCACAATCAACACACACAGAACTTTCTCAGTCATATGCAGACTGTAGGGTCCCCCAGGTACCCCTGCTTTTGCTCTTGTGCTGACCAAGAAACACAGAGTGCTTTGACTGCTCTGTGACCCAGCCAGCTACTTGTTTTTCCCAGCAGGTTTGAACCCAAGCTGGAGCATTGAACATCTTCAGGCACTGATAAAGTTATCCAGGTGTTGCCCAAAGCACTGAAAGAAACAGCCCCAGCCCTGAGCCAAATTTCTTAAACCCTCATGTAAACTCCATACCCTGACCCGTTGCTGCAGACACACCTAGGTAGAACACCCGCTCCTTTCACCATCCCCCCCACCCCCCTGAGCACTGGCAGCGGCTCTCCTCTGTGAGTTCCCCTAGTAAATGCTTTGGATTGATCACCCTGAGGTTTAGTGCTTTTTTATTTTTTTTATTATTATTATACTTTAAGCTCTAGCGTACATGTGCACAACGTGCAGATTTGTTACATATGTATACCTGTGCCATGTTGGTGTGCTGCACCCATTAACTCATCGTTTAGCATTAGGTATATCTCCTAATGCTATCCCTCCCCCCTCCCCCACCCCACAACAGTCCCTGGTGTGTGATGTTCCCCTTCCTGTGTCCATGTGTTCTCATTGTTCAATTCCCACCTACGATTGAGAACATGTGGTGTTTGGTGGTTTGTCCTTGCGATAGTTTGCTGAGAATAATGGTTTCCAGCTTCATCCATGTCCCTACAAAGGACCTGAACTCATCCTTTTTTATGGCTGCATAGTATTCCATGGTGTATATGTGCCACATTTTCTTAATCCAGTCTATCATTGATGGATATTTGGGTTGGTTCCAAGTCTTTGCTATTGTGAATAGTGCCACAATAAACATACGTGTGCATGTGTCTTTATAGTAGCATGTGCTTTTTTCTTTGAAATCCCAATCACTCTATCTTGGGACATTTTGGAAGCACCCTCTTGTGGGAATTCCCCTGCCTCCCCTTGTGGGGTGAATCCAGCCATGGGTTCTGCCAGAGGGAACAGAATGGTGCACAGAACCAGACGTGCACAGAATGGTGAAAATTTTGAGTTGTCCAACGTGCAAGTTAGCAGCTGAGGTTGAACAAGCCAGTGTTCTGCTTTCTTGTTTCGGTTCTCATACTGTCATCAAGTGTCCTTTCTGTGATCTACTTCCTGTCCTCTTTTTTTTTTTTTGCTGAATTTTTGAGCTTTATGTTGGTGATTGTGCTGTCTGAAATGGCCCCAAACATAGTGTTGAAGTGCTGGCTAGTGTTCCCAAGTGCAGGAAGCTGTGATATGTCTCATGGAGAAAATGTGCATTAGATAAGCTTCATTCAGGCAAGAGTTATAGTGCTGTGGCAGTGAGTTCAATGTTGGTGAATCAATAATATATATTAAACAAGTTGTCATAAGATAGAAACACACATAAAGCAAGGTTATGTATTGATTGGTTGATGAAAATGTCATGTCCAGAGTCTCATAGGAACCTCACCCTGTATTGCCTCTAGAAGCACAAGTCCAGTATTTGCTAATTCAGTGTTTGTAGGTACTTTGTAGATCAGGACAAGTGGGAATAAGGACAATAGATTGTACTTTGTTAATTTATTTTATTTACTATCTCTCTCCCTGACTAGAATGTAAACTTACCTGGTTCATCCCCTGCCTTCAGGAAACAAAATTTTAGCTATTCTAGGAAGAAGAGTCTATCTCAGTAGAAATAATAATAGCAACAATAATTTATTATTAACTGTAGCTTTGGAAACCTCACTTTCCTTATCCACAAATGGTGCACAGGGTTGATTACAAGATAAAATGAAATCAGGTGAGGTAACACACATGAAGCAGATAGCACCAGGGAAGCCACAAAGAAATCACTCCATAAATTTCAGCTGCTTCCCTGCCACAACTGCAATGAAAGAAGATTGTTTTGTTAAAATAATAGTACCTGGCTATTGAATGAAAAGAATATAAATATATATTCATGTATAAATAAATAATATCTATATGCTCAAATATATTTATATAATTATTTAAAATACAAATATATAATATAAATACTACTTATATATGTGTGTATATATATATTTATATATATATATATTTTTTGAGATGGAGTCTTGCTCCATTGCCCAGGCTGGAGTGCAGTGGCACGATCTCAGCTCACTGTAACCTCCATCTCCCGGGTTCAAGCAATTCTCCTGCCTCAGTCTCTCAAGTAGCTGGGATTACAGGCGTGTACCACCACACCCAGCTAATTTTTGTATTTTTAGTAGAGACAGGGTTTCACCATGTTGACCAGGCTGATCTCGAACTCCTGACCTCAGGTGATCCACCTGCCTCGGCCTCCCTAAGTGCTGGGGCTACAGGTGTGAGTCACCATGCCTGGCCTATATAAGTATATATTTAAATAAACAATATATAAATATTATATGTATACTGCCTATTTATGTTATTTTCATTTGTACAAAACATTCTACCTTAACAAAACAATCTTTTGTTTTTATCTTTGAATTGATTTAGTTTTAAATGGTTACTTCAAAAACAAGATCAGAGTTAATACTTTGAGCCAGATTAGTGTGTGAAACTTGAAATTCTGGCTGTAATTTTAAGTCTGCTTTCTCTGATTGGTAGACTGGATTTTTTTTCTAGTTATTTTAATTCAGAATCAATTAAAGCCTTTTCTTTTTCTCTCCACGCAGAAGAGGGTTCTGTGAAAGCCTGGTGAATTACCACCATAAAGTCTAATTATTCCTTCCAGAGACACGTTATTGTAGTGAGTGCTGGTTAGTCGCTGCACAGGAGGGCCAGGCTTGCAGGACACTTGGATTCAGAGGTGGGAAGCATTTAAGCTTAGAGCCAGGGCCACAAGAAAAGCCTGCTTTGTTCTTACCGTTGAGCTCATTAAAGTGCATTACCATCAGGACAACCAACCCCCAAATGACAAACTCAGTTGTGCTGCAAGAGTCCTTTAGGAGTCTGTTGTGGAAGCAGGAATGCATTTCCCCATGGAAACTGTGCTGCCCATAGCGGTAAGGTGCCAGCCAGCATCGATGTCTGATTAACCCACATAGTAGCCGGGTATTCCAGCCCGGATTCTGGATTCCAACAGCAGGGAGCCCAAGGTGTGGGAGGAAAATGATCCTGGTGGGTTGTTTCTCTTCTCCAGACTGCAAGGAGCTGCCTTTCGACCTGAGGGTGTGAACCTGGGACCTACGAACCCTTTGTTAGTCCTGAAAAGTTTGTGTAAATGTTGGTTCATGTTTGCATACATGCATTGTTCCAGGGAGTGGATCCAAAGCTTCCACACAACTCTGAAAGATGTCATTGATAGCCCCACTCCCCAAAAGGGCTGAAAATCTTCATCCTGAAATTGCCAAGTGTATATCTAATCTCCCCTCCCACCTGTTCTGCTTCCACCTCCCGCTCCTGGCAACTCTCCTCATGACAGCCTGCCCCACCACACACAGGCCCCTCATTCAGGGGGCAGGGTGGGCCGAGGTTAAAGACTCACCTAGCCAGCTGGGGGTCTCCCTAGGGCCATCTCTTGGGACCTGCTCTTGTTTTTTTAATATTTAGGGCCATTACTGAAGACACAGATCTCTTTTTTCCTCTGGGTGCAGTCAGATCATAATGTTCAAATGCAAATTCCTCAGCCCCACTAGTCCAAATGTCCAGGAGTGGCAGGGCTAACATATCCGCCAGGCACAGTAGTCACCATGCCCAGGGGCCACATATATTTCGGACCCATGAAAATGTTTAAATTTCTTTTAAAAAGGGAAGGGAAAAAAATGAACATAAGTCTAGCCTGGATCATGTACTTTGTATCCATGGCATAGTAAAATATAATTTTTAATATATTTTTATGGACAAAGGGGCCATGAAAATTGAGCAAGTAGGTGCTCTATATGTTGACTGTCTGTGTGCTAAGGGCAGAGTAACTGGTCCATTTTTTAGAGGGAGGGTCTCACTCAGTTACCCAGGCTGGAGTGCTTACCTTAACCTTGAACTCCTGGGCTCAAGAGATCCTTTTCCCTCAGCCTTTTGAGTAGCTAGGACTATAGGCATGCACCACCACACCCAGCTAACTTTCTAAATTTTAAAAATTTTTTGTAGAGACTGGGTCTCAATATATTGCCCAAGCTGGTTTGGAACTTCTGGCCTCAAGGGATCCTCCTGCCTCAGCTTCCCAAAGTATTGGGATTACAGGCATGAGTCACCATGCCTAGCCATTGTTTTGTTTTACATGCCCCCAAATTGGAACAGCAATCAGACAAATACAAATATGCTGCTTTGGATAATGAGTGGATTGTCTCAGAAAACACAGGAAGCAGAAAGTCCTTAGTTATAAATCTTGAAAACATTCAGGCAGCACCTCAAAAACCCAGTATTTAAAAATCTTTTGGCTGGGTGCAGTGGCTCATGCCTGTAATCTCAGCAATTTCGGAGGCAGAGGTGGCTGAATCACCTGAGGTCAGGAGTTTGAGACCAGCCTGGGCAACATGGCAAAACCCCGTCTCTACTAAAAATACAAAAATTAGCCGGGCATTGTGGTGCGTGCCTGTAATCCCAACTACTCGAGAGGCTGAGACAGGAGAGTCACTTGAACCTGAGAGACAGAGGTTGTGGTGAGCTGAGATCATGCCACTGCACTCCAGCCTGGGCAGCAGAGTGAAACTCCATCTTAAAAAAAAAAAAAAAATCTTTCAAGCCAAGACATCTATCTTTACATTTTATTCAAATGCTGCATGCTATTATATGAACGTTTGCGTCCCCCCCAAGGCTTATATGTTGAAATCCTAACCCCCAAGGTGATGGAATTAAGAGGTGGAGCCTGTGGCTGATGATTAGGTTGTGTGGGCTCTGCCCCCATGATTAGTATCAGTGCCCTTTAAAAGAGGCCCAAAAGAGACCCTTCACTCCTTCCACCATGTGAGAATGCAGCAGGAAGGCACCATCTAGGAACTAGGAAACGGGCCCTCAACAGACACTGAATCAGTCTTGATCTTGGGCCTTCTGGCCTCCAGAACTGTGAGAAATACATTTTTGTTGTTTATAAACTACCCAGTTTATGATATTTTGTTATAGCAGCCCATAACTACACTTTAATGAATTTATACAAGTTCTTTCCATATCTGGCTTTGGTAGTGAATTATAAAAATATCCACAAGGCTGGGTGCAGTGGCTCATGCCTGTAATCCCAGCACTTTGAGAGGCCGAGGTGGGTGGATAACCTGAGGTTAGGAGTTGGAGACTAGCCTGGCCAACATGGTGAAATCCCCATCTCTACCAAAAATACAAGAATTAGCCAGGCATGCTGGCACACACCTATAATCCCAGCTACTTGGGAGGCTAAGACAAGACAATCTCTTGAACCCGAGAAGTGAAGATTGCAGTAAGCCGAAATTGCACCATTGCACTCCAGCCTGGGGGACAAGAGCAAAACTCTGTCTAAAAAAAAAAAAAATCCCCAAACACTAACCATCATTTTCTCAAAAATCACTGGGAGGTCTTCCTGTCAGATGTGAAGTCAGGGCTAAATTTGTGACACTGTATTTTTTTTCCCCTCTATATCCCTGCTACTACTCTCCCTCACTCTCAGTGAACAATAGCATCAGATCAATTCAAACATCATGTTCTAGCCCTGTAAAGATGCACCAATTAGAGGAGAGTCTTTCTGTGTTTCTTTGAATCTAAGTCCAGTCTCATGGATTTGTAGACCATGTCTCTCTCTCTCCCTGTGAGGGACCATTGGGTCAGATCCTAGGAACAGCAGTACTGCCACTGATGGGATGGGAGGTGAGAGAGTGAGCCTGTTGAATAGTGTCCCCTTCTTAATTCATAGTTAATAAAAGATATTTCTGGCTGGGAGCAGTGGCTCTTGCCTGTAATCCCAGCACTTTGGGAGGCCGAGGTGGGCAGATCACCTGAGGTCAGGAGCTCGAAACCAGCCTGGACAATATGGTGAAACCCTGTCTCTACTAAAAATGAAAAATTAGCCGGGTGTGGTGGCGCATGCCTGTAATCCCAGCTACTCAGGAGGATGAGGCAGGAGAATCGCTTGAACCCGGGAGGTGGAGGTTGCAGTGAGCCAAGATTGTACCACTGCACTCTAGCCTGGTCAACAGAGAGAGACTCTGTCTCAAAAAAAAGAAAGAAAAGATTTCTGATGTGCTAAACAAACTTTTGGAGACAAATTAGCAGCATGACTAATTTAGCCATTGCTGTCAGTTACCTTCAGACAAGTATCATCAGTTTCATAATACATTCTATATTTCTTTGCATTGTGTGATGTTTTTGTATATTTAAAAAATTGAAAGAAGAAATGTGTAGTGTGTTACGCCATTCTTGCATTGCTATAAAGAGATACCAAAGACTGGGAAGTTTATAAAGAAAAGAGGTTTGATTGGCTCACAGTTCTGTAGGCTTTACAGGAAGCATGGTGCTGGCACCTGCTCAGCTTCTAGGGAGGCCTCAGGAAGTTTACAATCATGGCAGAAGGTGAAGGGGAAGCAGACATATTACATGGCCAGAGCAGGAGCAAGGGGGTGGGAGGTGGGTGCGACACACTTTTTTGGGGGGGCTGTGTCGGGGAACGGTGTCTCGCTCAGTCACCCAGGCTGGAGTGCAATGGCGTGATCTTGGCTCACTGCAACCTCCGCCTCTCAAGTTCAAGCAATTCTCCCGTTTCAGCCTCCTAAGTAGCTGGGATTACAGGCACCGGCCATCATGCCCAGCTATTTTTTTTTTTTTGTATGGATAGGGGTTCACTATGTTGGCCAGGCTGGTCTCGAACTCCTGACCACCTTGGCATCCCAAAGTGCTGGGATTACAGGTGTGAGCCACTGCACCCAGCCCGGTGCCACACACTTTTAAACAACCAGATCTCATGAAAACTCACTCACTATCAATAAGACAGCACCAAGCCATGAGGGATCTGCCCTCATGACCCAAACACCTCCCACCAGGCCCCACCTCCAGCACTGGGGATTACAATTCAACATGAAATTTGGGTGGGGACAAATATCTAAACTACATCACATAGCTACTCAGAATCTGAGAATGTGACCTTATTTGGAAATAGTGTCTTTGCGGATGTAATTAGTTAAGATGAGGTCATACTGGGTTAAGCTGGGTCCTGAATCCAGTATCTAGGGTCCTTATAAGAGCAGGAAAAGACACACAGAGACACATCCAAGGAAGAAGACCATGTGATGATGGAGACAGAGATGCGAGTAATGCAGCTGCAGGCCAGGGAATGCCAAGGATTGCTGGCAATTGCCAGAAGCCAGGAGAGGGGCACACAAGAGATTCTCCCTCAGAGCCTCCAGAAGCCGCCAACCCTGCCAACACCTTGATTTTGTACTTCTGGCCTCTGGAACTGTGAGAAAATAAATTTCTGTTGTGTTAAGCTCCCCAGATTATGGTAGTTTGCTATGGCAGCCCTAGGGGATCATACAGGGAGGTTCCCTTCAGAGTCCCCCTTGGAGCTGCCTTTGCTTCTCCATGTCCTCTGTGGTCAGGGCTCTTCCTGCATCACCCACAGGGCCCAGGGTGGGACTCTCAGTTGTATGAGCACAGCATACAGGACTGTGGCTTTGTCACAGCCAGCCACAGGGTGGTCCTTCGAAAATAGCCCTTTGCAAAGTCCAGGGATTGGCTGAGAGCCAGGATGCACTGCGCATCTCAGTTCCCCACCCCCACTACAATAGAGATGATGATATACCCTAAGTGTGCAGGTAATATTAGTGAATCAGCAGAATTTTGTTAAAACTATGCAAGGCTGAGTGCACAGGAGACAACTAGGAGGCCACAAGCATTTAAAGGCTATAATCTAGTTCTTATTAATAATGTAATGACAAAACTGCCATTTATTGAGCACTTAGCATGGGCACAGAGCACTTTATAAGCATTGTGTCATTTTAGCCTCCCATCAGGACTTATGATGTAAATAACGTGCCCAAGGTCAAGAAGCTAGTAAGTAACAGAAGAGGGCAGATAAGACATGTGCTCTTTAAAAGAAAGGAAGGAACAACAGAGCTGAAGATAGCATGTGCGTAGGACACAATTTCGCAGAAGAAGCAACATGCAGTGGTAGAAAAATCTGTAAAATGGAGACAAAATAATTCCAAATTCATGGGGTTGTTCTGAAGTCTAAATGAGCTAATGTTTCAAAGGATTTTTCCTCAGGTGTCTAGCATATAGTAAGGTCTCAACAAACATGAGCTGTGCTAATTATTATTAAAATGCATGGGGCAGACATCCAGAGCCTTCCAGATGGAAAGACTGTCTAGAGAAAAAGTAGAGATTCAGAAGGGTATATTTTATCCTAAAGTCAGGTGTAGACCCTGAGCATGAAGATGAAGAAAACAGTTATGGGTGGCTAAATAACACTAAAGGCATTGGGAAAGTACTCTGTGGTCTCTGGAGCTGGAGGGTCCTGAGACTTGCTGGGGGAGGGATAGGTAGGAATTAGGTGACACAGGGCTCCAGGCCCTTTCCTACCTCCTCCACCCTGAGCCAAACTGCACTGAGCTGGGGTTTTTTTTTTTTTTTTGTCTCACTCTGTCACCCAGGCTGGAGTGCAGTGGCACAATCTCAGCTCACTACAACCTCCGCCACCCCAGCCCAAGCGATTATTGTGCCTCAGCCTCCTGAGTAGCTGGGATCAAGGCGCGCGCCATGACACCCAGGTAATTTTTAGTAATTTTAGTACAGACAGGGTTTCACCATGTTGGCCAGGCTGGTCTCAAACTCCTGGCCTCATGTGATCCACCTGCGTTGGCCTGCCCAAAGTGCTGGGATTACAGGTGTGAACCACTGCACCTGGCCAACACTGAGCTGTTTACCCACAGTATTTCATTATGGGATTATGTCTATGGAATGCTTAATTTTGCTCCCTGTAGCCTTGTGATGTTGGACACATCTCTTCACCTCTTCACCTGTCTGAACATCGGTGTCCCCATTGTGAAATGGGATAATATAGCACCTGTCTCTGAGGGTGGCCAGTAGCATTCTATTATTCAATGCATGTCAAGAGCATAGAACAGTGTGGACACCTAGTACTAGCCAAAAGATTCTGCTATCACTTATAGAGAGGAAACTGCTGACAAGAGACAGGAAACAACTTCTGCAGGTGGCCAGGCTGGCTAGTAACAAAGCCAAGCCAAACCAATCTTTGACCTGTCAGATAACACTCCCATAATCCTGACCTATGCTTCTTCTATGCCAGGCACTGCTAAGGGCCTCACAAATATCATTCTTTTAAACTCATGACAATCCTGAGAGGTGAATATTATTATTTTCTCACTTTACAGATAAGAAAACTGAGAGCCAGAACAGTTAGATAATTTGCACAAGGGCTCAGAGCTGGTTAGTGACAGAGCTGGGATGCAAACCCAGGCAGCCTGGCACCAGACTATTAAACTTTGCCTCACTCAGGTGATATATCCATTTGTGGTCCAATCTCAAGAGAGAGTCGGTAAGGGACAAAAGTCAAGAGGTCTGGGATATAATTTCAGGAGCAGAGGGAGGTTTGCTGGGCTGTGTGTGGGGCAGGCAGGCCTGGGTCCTTGGCCTTTGTAACTAGCTCTTAGGGGAGCTCTGGGGACAATGTCCTCCAAGACCCAGCCTGCTGGTCAATCCTGTCTCCTTGCTGAGTCCCCTTTGCCCTTGTCCAGGTGCCCTTTGCCTTGAGCTTCTGCAGTGCCCTGGCTTCCAAACAACCTACTCTGATAAGCTGCACAGTCTTTCAACTCCCAGGTTCAAAGCCCAGCTCTGCTACCTGCTGTCCTTGGATGAGTTTTTTATTTATCCTCCTTACACCTCATTCCTCACCTGTAAAACAGGGATGGTTTTCTTATATTTGCTTTGCTTTATTCCAAGGATGATATCAGACAGTGTCTGCAAAACAAATGGCACATAGTATTACTAAATTCACGTTGGTTCCTCCCCACCCCCAGTCTACTCTGCTCCCTCCTTATCTATCCCCACTTTCCTCTAATTGTGGAATCGCAATCGTGGCTCTTTTCTGCAAACATCCCTCCATCAGATGACAAAATACTCAACTCAAACAGAAGTCAATCGATCCAAACTTAATAGTAACTAATATAACAGTGCTATGCACCAGGCTGGAGGAAAGTGCTTTAAATGCATTTTCTCCTTAAATCTTCAAATGAATCGTGCAATTTCCTGTGGTTTCAGAGACCTCAGTGAGTAACTTGCCCAAGGTCACACAGGGATTTAGTGTCAGAGCAGGATTTGGATCCACCCACCAAACCCAAGCAGACGGCTCCTGTCCAGTGCCTGCACCCTGCCGTCTGTTCCTGTGAGAAGCCAGTCCGGGCCACCCAGTTTCTCTCCCCAGAGAGCCCCCTGTCCCAGAGAAGGACCCTGTTCTGCAACCCAGAGAAGGGGACTCCTTGGGGATTTGGCCTGGGGCGGGTGCGCCCTCTGGGGGAGCCAGCAGAGAACGCCTGGGAAAAAAAAAAAAAAAAAAAAAAAAAAAACGCGGTGGGTGGGAAGGAGGCGGGGCTTGAAAAACCAAATTGCTTTCAACAGGTACTTGGCCAATCGCGAGGTACCGCAGCTCAGTGAAATCCCTAAGTTAAACCCAAGTACCATCCAGACTGATTGAACACTTATCTCCTGTGAGGGTCTGGAATGAATTGGTAACAGATGGATGAGAATTTCAAAACCAGAGAGGTGCCCACAGGAGCCAGCATGGGGGACAGTCCCTAGTGCTGGTGAGCTGACATCTAGGCATCATTGTTCAGTCCTGGGCTCATCAGAGGCAGCCAGGCGAGGTGGAAACTGTTCATGTCCAACTCAGAGAGTGTCAGATGCAAGAGGAATAGGACAACTGGGAGCACTGGTGGTCAAAGGGATTTCTGCTTCGGGTGCAAAATTGGAATTAAAAAAAAAACAACTCTGGAGATTCTATGATTGAAATATCTGTCAAGAATCTGTGATTCTATTACAGGTGCTGCTCTAGGAAAAAATGCACTGTGGGGGTCCTGCTCACACCTGGGGTTAATCTAAGGATTACAGAAGTGCATTTGGAGGGAATATTGAAGCAGACGGAGTGGGCTAGCCTAGTGGGTCTGCGTGTGGCCCCTGAAGAGCGGCTTCAGTGTCACTTGGGACTTGGTAAAAACACAAACTTGAGGTTCCAACCCCAGGCCTACCGAGTTAGAAACTGTACAAGTAGGGCCCAGGAATCTGTTTTAATAAGCCCTCCCAGGGACTCTGATGCAAGCTAAAGTTTCAGAATCACTCTCTAGAGTTCATCTTAATCTGGTGGTTATTTTCCTCTGTATTTTCATCACACAGTACTGATATTTACTACTGTTAATATAACAATAGAGCATCCATCAATTCGGCATTTATTATGAACCAACACAAAAATGAAAAAGACGTAGTACCTTCTTAGTAGGAGCTCACAAAATGATGAGAAACTCAATTTTAACCCAGACAACTGTCATGCGCACCCCAGCCAAGGGATGAACACACTAAGGGTGCAGAGGAAGAAGGGATTCATTTCTACTGATAAGCTGGCAGAAAGAATCACTGAAACAATGATTCGTGATTTGGATTTTGAAGGACATGTATCATGTTCAGCAAGCAGAGAAAGAGAAATTGATTATTACTTAATAATAGTTCAACCGTCCTTAAACCAAGGGTTTGCTTTTAGACCAAACAGAGCAGAATAGTTGTTTTCCTTGATATCTTTATTTGTGGGGCAAGTCAGGCAGCATCATCTGCTGGTGGTTCTCATGGTAATGGGAAAGCAAAAATAAATGATCTTCATCAGTTCATAAGGTTGCTAATCACCCAAGGTCAGGACTGGAGACTGTGAACCCAGACGCCACTGGTTTTGAGTAGAGGAGCAATATGCAGAGAGGAGAACTACCTGGTGACAGCAAGGATGTGTTGCTGTGTGTGGAGGGCCAGGCGTCCAAAATGGGGAGCGGGAGATGGAAGAGACATCAGCAGAGAGGAGGAGAGAAGAAATGAAGGAGGATTTGACTGAACTT
The DNA here is from genome assembly GCF_000001405.40 of Homo sapiens. Taxonomy (NCBI): domain Eukaryota; kingdom Metazoa; phylum Chordata; class Mammalia; order Primates; family Hominidae; genus Homo; species Homo sapiens. The sequence continues at coordinate 86,370,054 of NC_000002.12, forward strand.
GGTGGAGGCTTTCAGGAAAGAAGAAGAATCAATCGTTCAGTAGTACCTGTATTTGGCCTCCTAAATTAAATGTAAATAAGGCTTTGCAGCCTGAAAGCATAAGAGGAAATTTAAGCCAGAGTTTCAATTATTTAAAACTGCAACACAGTACACTTGGAGCTGGGATCCAGACTGTTCTGAGGAGTCAAACCACATCACTCATTAGACAGATCTTCTCTGAGCTCAGGACAAGCTAGCCCCTGGATCAGTCAGGGCCTAAGCAGAAGAGAGACACCACACAATAATTTGAACAGGAAAAGTTCAATATAAAGAATAAATCATAAAAGTGAATTGGATAACAGGGGATTGGCTAAAAGAACAAAAAGAGAACTCTAAAGAATAGAGGAATGGCAGACATAAGAAGCAGCTGCTATGCTGGGGGCTACTTAGGCCCATATGATAGCAGAGTTGCTTAGGTGCTTGCCAGCACAACTTGCTGGAAGTCAGTCTTCTAGGGTGCTAGGGAAAGCTGCTCCTAGGGAGGTGTCAGTGGAGGCACTCCACTATAAAACTACCACAGGTGGAGTGCCAGGGGAAGCTGCTGGCCTCCAGATGTTGCAGGAGCCTGGGACTGGAGAAGCTGTGCTTGCCACAGGAACCTATTGAACTAGGCAGTACACTGGAAGCAGGAAGCAAAACTCTTTCCTCCTGCAATGTCTCTCCAGCGCCCTCTACTCACAAAACTTTCCTTGGAAAAAGAAAAATATTTATAGGTCCCAGCTTAATTTTCACAGAGCAAGCAAAAAGGGTGAATTTGGAGTTGAAAAGCAATGAATTGGTAACTGGGACACCCCATAACTATCTTAGAAGGTTCAGGACACTCAAAAAGGGTATCGTTTGATTCCATATTACCGTAGAAAACAGTTTAATCTTGTCTAAGTTTGGACTTTAAGCAGGTAGAGGCTTGCCTGATGGGTACCTGGCCATGTGTGCATCAAAAACTTTATAAAAATTGATGCCTTTTCATCTAGGACTTCCATTTCTAAGGACAAGCAGAGGTAAACAGTGGTTCATTGCTGTGATATTTATTAGAAAGACAGAAAACGTGCTTAGAAGTCTGATATCTGGGGAATGGTTCAATAAGTTCTGATGTGTTTACAAGGTGAAATATAGGTCATTAAAATGATATTTTAAAATAATTTTTAATGGAATGAGAATATACTCATGATATAATGTAAAAAGGAAAAAAAGGACATGAATAGTATCTGTGGTACATTCCCAATTATGTTAAAATGTAAAAGAGTGTGTGTGTATGTTTAATAAAACAGAAGGCATGATAATGGTGTTTATCTCTGGATGGTGATTTTTATTTTTCTTCTCCATGCTTCTCTATATTTTTCATATTTCCTAGACTGAGCATGTGTTACCTTTATAATTTAAAAAATGTGAGCATGTTTTAAGGAATATGTACATCTCCAGCATTCAGTAGCAGGAGAGAAGCCTGGCTTCACGATTCCTTCTGGAAGCTTACGTTTAAGATCTGATTTTTCTTCAGGAGTACAGACTTTTAACGGCCTGTTTACAGCTCCACTGGGGTGTGGGTGGAGACAGAGCTCTTTCTGCCCATATCATTTCCTCTTCCTATATCTCTTGAATCTTTCCTTCCTTTGTGCAGAAGAAGAGAGAGAACAAAAATATACAGCAGTGTGATAACATGGCCTTCATAAAACTCTGCTCCTGACAGCAGCCACTGTGTATTTACTGACTGCAGAACTTCCCTCCCTCCTGCTCAACCCTCCCTCCTCCTCTGCTAGATATTTACCAATTCATTTGTATCCGATGTTCCTTCTGAAACAATCACTGGGATAAGATGAGATTCTCTTTTTCTGAGGTTTTCGCTTGCCAGAACAGCATTCCAGAATTCTGGTTTTGTTTTTCTTTTTTAAAAGAACTCAGTTATGGTAAAGATATGCATGCTGCATAATGATAAAATAATCTAACTTTCAAGTCAAAAAATAAAATATATTAATCTATATTATTTTAATAGCTTCTTATACAATAAAAAAGCATTGAATTTTCATAGGACACTTTTAATAAGTCACAGTGTGACCAACTCCTTCCTCTTTTCAAGAGTCTGATGGAAGTCCAGCAATTTAATAACAGATATCACTAAGGAAACATGAAAGAATAAGATGAATGGGATAGCTACCGGGAGGGTTGTTTAAACTATCAACCAATATGGCCCCCCTATACTCACACACACACATGGTCACACACACATGCACACTAGAAAGGACATGAAACTCCTCTCTGGCCTGTGGGGGCAGAAGACAGCTGGAGAGGAAGCAAGACCTCAAATTAATTGAAATTTCAATACCCACACGAGGCTACGGCTCCTGTTTGGACAGCATAAACAGAGGCAGAGTAAGTTTGGAGAGCTGAGAGCAGAGGAGCTCTGTTCGCTCTTTCTCTCCAGAACTCTGGTACCTCATAGGAGTGTCTCATGCCCTTTTGCAGTGGAAACTGTAGCGTGACAATGACTGAATGGGATGCCAGGGACACAGGGGTTCTGGGACAGTCTTACCTGTATTCCCACGGCTCTTAAGTGGCATGAGGGAGCTGTCACATTTTTCTGAGCCTCCCTTCCCCAAGAAAGATACAGTAGTTAGATTTTAAAAAAGGAGAGAAATGCTAATCTCCAGGATCCCTTTGCCTTGAGGGAATACTGGGTAGAAAGTGGTGTGAACTCTATGACTGCTATCATATGAGACCAGACCAAGACTGGAGGCCTGGCTATCATGGGTTCTGGGGCACTCCTCCCATATCCCTTCTCCAGGGCAGATGCACTCATCTCTCAGCTGCTGAGAATACTGGTTGCTGACCAGTATCCACTGGGAATTGCCCTGGCTGTGGGGAATTGGCCCCCGGGTGGGAGCAGTCCACACATAGTCAGTGACTGGCTGAGGTAGGGATACAAAAGCCAGCCTGTCCTGCTTCAATTTGGAGCAATCATAAGGCATTGTTCCAGCTCAAGAGCTCCCCCTGGGATCTAGGATCTGTCACCACATTACAGGACGGTTTCTATCTCTCCCCATTCCTGCCTTCCTTGTTCCCTTATTCCCATCTGCAAGACGCATAACTGCCAACACTTTCCAATAACCCCTCTGTAAGCCTTTTTCCATCTCAGAATGTGAATTCATTGTAATATAGTTGGTGCCGGGAGTGGTCCTAGGAAGCCAACTGCAAAAAGGGATTTTGGAAATGGGTCATTTGCTGGCTAGCTGGCAATGAGAACCCTAGACCTGGTGGCTGAGCATATGCATGGGACAAGAGCCCCAGAGTGTGCTGGACAGGTAACATTGTTCTGATCAGCACTAACACAGCTCCTTGGAGGACATTGCAGGGTCTCTGGCTTGCATTTTGAGAAGCCAGTGGAGGATTTTGAGTACAGAAGTGATTTAACCTCACTAATTTACAGGGAATATAGGGAGAAGAGAAACATGTTAAAAGACACCAAGGGGAAACAATCAGAAAAATCCAGGCTGGCAGAAATCCTACAGGATAAACAATGTTGTTTGATTATGTAAAAATATCTTGAAAGATGGAAGACACTATAAGCCAGGTTAGATGACATAAGTGTGTCTACGCATACAGCAGCTCAGGAATGTTACCCAAGAAACTGGTAATGGATGTGCTGGGACCAGATGTAGGCAGCTGTAATACAGAGTGAGGAGGAAAATTACCTTTTGAAGTATTTTCTTTTTTGCATGTTGTTTACTTCACCACCCTATCCAAATAATTCTATTTTGGTATCAAGTAATTGTATTATTTCTTTGGAAACAATACCAATAAATAAATATATCTTTTAAAAAAGGTAGCAATAGACTGGGAAAATCGACATTAATATTCCCAATATACAAATATTTTCTACAAGTCAATAAGAAGAAGATGAACAGCGAAACAGGAAAAAAGCTATTCATCAATCCATCTTTTTCGAATGGTTTTGATGAATCCCAAGCACGTGCCCAGCACTATTCTACATGCTGAGGATAGGGTGCTGAAGTAAACAAACAAAGACTCTGCAATCCAGAGGCTAACATTCAGTAATGGTGGGGTGTGCACGGAAGAAGAGCACATCTACAGGCAATTGACAGGAACAGAAATTCTAATGGTTATAAAGAAATAAAAAATTCTCGACCTCAAAAACAAATATATACAAAGTGAAACAGGAAGACATGATTTTAACCCATGGAGTGTCAAAGATTAAGTAGACCTAGAGCATCCATCCACAGTGAGAGTGGGGGAATTGGAACTCCTTTGTAATGTTGAATGGTATGTAAACCAGTGCAAGAGTGAAAGAGCATAATTTGCCTGTGTGTGTTAAAATAGAAATTATACATACACTTATAGCCAGCAATAACACACTTAGGAAACTTTGGAAATAATACCAAAAGTGCAGAAAGGCATATTGAGAAGCAGTGTTTATTACAGCATTTTTTTGAAACAGTGAAAATGTAAAAACAATCTCGATGCTCATCAGTAGATGATAGTTAAATAAATTATGATATATCCATAAGTACAAAATAGTACTATTTTGATGTTAAAAGAATGAGGTAAAGAATGAGGTAATTCTATAGATATTCACCTGGAAAAAGAAGGTTGCCAAGCAGAATATAGGAATTGTTCCCTGTTGGGTTTTTAAAAAGCTCTATCTGTATGATAAAACTTAATTTGTTAAAAAACAAAACTCTGTATGTGTGTTTTAAACTTTTCTTTTTGGAATAATTATAGACTCACAGAAAGTTTTTAAACTGTCTTTTAATTTTTTTACTTTTAATTGACACAAAAATTGTACATATTTATGGGATACATGTGATATTTCAATACATGCATACAATGTATAATGATCAAATCAGGGTAATTGGCATATCCATCACTCAAACATTTATCATTTCTTTGTGTTAAGAACATCTGAAATCATTTCTAGCTATTTTGAAATATACAATAAATTATTGTTACCCATAGGTACCCTACTGTGCTATAGAACACTGGAACAAATTCCTCCTGTGTGACTGTAATTTGCACCATCAATCATTCTCTCCTTATCTCCCCCTCCCTTTATCCTTCCCAGCCTCTAGTAACATCTAGTGTTTCACTCTATACTTCTATGAGATCAACTTTTTCAGCTCCCACATATGAATGAGAACATGCAATGTTTGTCGTTCTGTGTCTGGCTTATTTCATTTAACATGATGTCCCCCAGCACCAGGCTCATCCACTTTGCCTCAAATGACAGGATTTCATTTCTCTCTCTCTCTCTCTCTCTCTCTCTCTCTCTCTCTCTTTCTCTCTCTCTCTCTTTCTCCAGGGTCTTGCTCTGTTGCCCAGGCTGCGGTGTAGCAGTGCGGAGTGTAACAGTGCGAACATGACACACTGCAGCCTTGACCCCCCGGGGTCAAGAGATCCTGCCTCAGCCTCCCATGTAGTTGAGACCACAGGTGTGTGCCACCATACCTCGCTAATTTTTTATTTTTATTTTTTGTAGAGATGGGGTCTCACTTTTTTGCCCAGGCAGGTCTCAAACTCCTGGGCTCAAGTGATCCTCCCACCTCAAACCTCCCAAGGGCTGGGAGCACAGGTGTGAGCCACCACAGTCAGCCATCAGAATTTCATTAATTTTTATGGCTGAATAATATTCCATTATGTATATATACCATGTTATCTTTATTCATTCATCTGTTAATGGACACATAGTTGATTCTGTATCTTTGCTACTGTGAATAGTGATGCAATAAATATGGGAGTGTAGATATCTCTTTGACATACTGATATGATTAGGCTTTGTGTCCTCACCCAAATTTCATCTTGAATTGTAATCCCCGTAATCCCCATGTGTCAAGGGAGAGACTGAGTGGAGGTAATTGAATTATGGGGGCAGTCCCCCTTACCATGCTGTTCTCATGATAGTGACTGGGTTCTCATGAGATCTGATGGTTTTATAATGGGCTCTTCTCCTCTTCACTCAGCATTTCTCCTTCCTGCCACCTTGTGAAGAAGGTGCCTTGCTTCCCCTTCACCTTCTGCCATGATTGTAAGATTCCTAAGCCTACCGAGCCATGTTGGGCTGTGAGTCAATTAAACCTCTTTCCTTTATAAATTACCCAGTCTCAGGCAGTTCTTTATAGCAGTATGAAATCGGACTAATACACATACTGAATTTTATTTTGTTTGCTGCATACCCAGTGGTGGTATGGCTGGATCATATGGTATTTCTAGTTTTAGTTTTTAAAGGAAACTCCATACTGTTTTCCATAATGACTGTCCTAATTTACATCCCCACCAGCAGTGTATAAAAGTTCACCTTTCTCCACATCCTTACCAGCATTTGTTATTTTTTGTCTGTTTGATAACAGCTACTTTAAGTGGGGTGAGATAATATTTAATTGTGGTTTTTATTAGTATTTCCCTGACAATTAGTGGTGTTGAGCATTTTTTTCACATACCTGTCAGCCATTTGTATGTCTTCTTTTGAGAAATGTCTTTTCAGATCATTTGCCCATTTTTAAACCAAATTATTACTATTATTATTATTTTAATTTTATTTATTTATTTTTTTGAGATGGAGTCTCACTCTGTTGCCCAGGCTGGAGTACAGTGGCGCCATCTTAGCTCACGGCAAACTCTGCCTCCTGGGTTCAAGCGATTCTCCTGCCTCAGCCTCCTGAGTAGCTGGGATTACAGGTGTGTACCACCATGCCAGGGTAATTTTTGTAATTTTAGTAGAGATGGGGTTTCACCATGTTGGCCAGGCTGGTCTCACTCAAACTCCTCACCTCACGTGATCCGCCCACCTTGGCCTCCCAAAGTGTTGGGATTATAGGTGTGAGCCAGAGCGCCCAGCCTATCTCTATTATTTTTGCTGTTGAGTTGTTTGAGTTCCCTCTATATCCAGGATATTAATCCTTTGTTGGATAGATAATTTGCAAATATTTTCTCCTACTTTGTATGTTGTCTCTTCACTCTGTTGATTGGCTCCTTTGCTGCGCAGAAGTTTTAAAAATTTTATATAATCCCATTTGTCTGTTTTTGTTTTTGTTGCCTGTGCTTTCGAGGTCTTATCCATAAAAATCTTTGCCCAGACTAACATCCTAACACATTTCTCCTGTTTTCTTCTAGTAGTTTCATTGTTTCTCGTCTTTAATTTAACTCTTTACTCTATCTTGAATTGGTTTTTGTATATGGTGAGAGATAGTGGTCTAGTTTTATTCTTCCAAGTATTCTTCAATTGTCCCAGCACCATTTATTGAAAAGACTGTCCTTTCCCTAATATATGTTCTTGGCACTTTTGTTGAAAATCAGGTAGCAAATCGGTGAATTTATTTCTGGGTTCTCTATTCTGTTTCATTGGTCTATGTGCCTGTTTTTATGCTAGTAGCCTTGTAGAATATTCTGAAGTCAGGTAGAGTGATGCCTCCAGCTTTGTTCTTTTTGCTCATGATGTCTTTGGCTATTCAGGCTCCTTGTGGTTCCATACACATTTTTGGATTGTTTTTTCTATTTCTGTGAAGAATGTCACTGGTATTTTAATAAGAATTGCATTGAATCTGTAGATCACTTTGGGTAGTGTGGACATTTTAATAATATTATTTCTTACAACCTCTGAACATAGTATGTCTTTCCATTTTTTATGTCCTCTTTATTTCATCAGTGTTTTATAGTTTTCATTGGAAATATCTTTCACTTTCTTGGTTAAATTTACTTCTAGGCATTTTTATAGCTATTATAAATAAAATTGCTTTCTTAATTTTTTTAGATTGTTTGCTATTAGTGTACAGAAATGCTACTTTTTTTTTTTTAAGACAAAGTCTCACTGTGTCGCACAGGCTGGAGTGCAGTGGTGTGATCTCAGCTCACTGCAACCTCCACCTCCTGGGTTCAAGCAATTCTACTGCCTCAGCCTCCCGAGTAGCTGGGACTACAGGCCCACACCACCATGCCCAGTTAATTTTTTGTATTTTTAGGAGAGACAGGGTTTCACTATGTTGGTCAGGCTGCTCCCCAACTCCTGACCTCAGGTGATCTCCTGCCTCGGCCTCCCAAAGTGCTGGGATTACAGGCATGAGCCACTGCTCCCAGCCGTTACTAATTTTTGTACATTGATTTTTGTATTATCCAACTTTACTGAATTCATCGATCAGTTCTAACAGTTTTTTAGTGGAGTCTTTAGGATTTTTAAAATATGAGATCAAGTTGTTTGCAAACAGGAAGATTTTGATTTTCTCTTTTCCAATTTAGATGCCCTTTTCTTTTCTTTTTTTTTTTTTTGAGACGGAGTCTCGCTCTGCCGCCCAGGCTGGAGTGCAGTGGACGATCTCGGCTCACTGCAACCTCCGCCTCCCAGGTTCACGCCATTCTCCTGCCTCAGCCTCCTGAGTAGCTGGGACTACAGGTGCCTGCCACCATGCCCGGCTAATTTTTGTATTTTTAGTAGAGACAGAGTTTCACCATGTTAGCCAAGATGGTTTCAATCTCCTGACCTCGTGATCCGCTCACCTTGGCGTCCCATTTCTTTTCTTTTCTTTTCTTTTCTTTTCTTTCCTTTCCTTTGCTTTCCTTTCCTTTCCTTTTCTTTTCCTTTCCTTTTCTTTCTCTCTTTCTTTCTCTCTCTTTCTTTCTTTCTCTCTTTTTTTTTTTTGCCTAATTGCTCTGACCTTAGACTTCCAGTGCTATGTTGAATAAAAGTAGTTAAAGTAGGCATCCTTGTCTTGTTCCAGATCTTAGTGGAAAGGCTTTCAAATTTTCCCTGTTCAGTATAACATTAGGTGTGAGTTTGTCATATATGGCCTTTATTGTTTTGAAGTACATTTCTTTGATACCTGATTTGTTGAGAGTTCTTATCATAAGAAATGTTGAATTGTATCAAATGCTTTTTCTGCATCTATTGAGATAATCATATGGTTTCTGTCCTTCATTCTGTTCAAGCAACGTATCACAGTTGTTGATTTGTGTATGTTGAATCATCTTTGCATCCCTAGATAAGTCCTACTTGACCATGGTGTTTTATTTTTTTGATGTGCTGTTGCATTCAGTTTGCTAGTATTTTGTTGAGGATTTTTGCATCTATGGTCATCAGGGATATTAGTCTGTAGTTTTCTTTTGTGTGTGTGTCCTTCTCTGGTTTTGGTATCAGGGTAATGCTGGCCTTGTAGAGTGAGTTAGAAAGAATTCCCTCCTCTGGAGTTTTTTGGAAAAGTTTGAGAAGAATTGGTATTAATTCTTCTTTGCAAGTTTGGTAGAATTCAACAGTCAAACCATCCAGTCATTGACTTGTCTTATTGGGAGACTTTTTATTACTGATTCAATCTCATTATGTATTATTGGCCTGTTTATGTTTTCTATTTTTTCATGGTTCAATCTTAGCAGGTTGTATGTGTCTAAGAGTTTACTCATTTCCTCTAGGTTTTTCAATTTATTGGCACATAGTTTTTCATACTAGTCTCTAATAATTCCTTGTATTCTGTGGTATCACATGTAACATATTTTCTAAATCTCAGATTCTATTTCTTAATCTAGCTAAAGGCTTGTCAATTTTGTTTACCTTTTTTTAAAACTAACTTTTGTTATGTTAATCTTTTATATTATTTTAGTCTCAATTTCATTTATTTCTGCTCTAATCTTTATTATTTCTTTCATCGTACTAATTTTGGATTTGTTTTGTTCTTGCTTTTCTAGTTCCTTGAGGTATATCATTAGTTTGTTTATTTGACATTTTTTGACTTTCTTGATGTAGGTGTTTATGGCTATAAACTTCCCTATCGGTACTACTTTTGTTGTGTCCCATATGTTTTGGTATGGTGTGTTTCATTTTCATTTGTTTTAATAAATATTTAAACTTTCTTCTCAATTTCTTCACTGACCCTTTGGTCATTGAGCAGCATGTTGTAAAATGTACGTGCATTTGTACAGTTTCCAAAGTTCCTCTCTTATTGATATCTAATTTTATTCCATTGTGGTCAGAAAAGATACTTGATATGATCTTGATTTTAAAAAATATTTTGTGGCTTGTCTTGTGGCTTAACATATGGTCTATCCTGGAGAATGTTCCATATGCTAATAAGAATGTGTATTCTGCATCTATTGGATAAAATGTTCTGTAAATGTCCATTGGGTCCATTTGGTCTATAGTGTAGTTTAACTCTAATGTTTCCTTGTTGATTTTCTGTCTGGATGACCTTTCCATTGCTGAAAGTGAGCCATTGAAATATCCTACTATTATGGCATCGCAGTCAATCTCTCCCTTTAGGTCTATTAATATATTTGCTTTCTATATTTAGATGTCCAGTGTTGGGCATATATGTATTTATCATTTTTATACCCTCTTGCTCTATTGACTCATTTATAAATACATAATGGCCTTCTTTGCCTTTTTTTTTTTTTTTGCCATTCTTACTTAAAGTCTATTTTAGTATAGATATCCTGCTCATTTTTGGTTTCTTGTCTAATATAAGTACAGCTATTCCTTTTTTTTTTTTTTTTTTTTTTTGAGATGGAGTCTTGCTCTGTCACCCAGGCTGGAGCGCAGTGGCACCATCTTGGCTCACTGCAGCCTCTGCCTCCTGGGTTCAAGTGATTCTCCTGCCTCAGCCTCCCAAGTAGCTGGGATTACAGGTGCGTGCCACCATGCCCAGCTAATTTTCTTATATTTTCAGTAGAGACGGGATTTCACCATGTTGGCCAGACTCCTGACCTCAGGTGATCCACCCACCTTGCCCTCCCAAAGTGCTGGGATTACAGGCTTGAGCCACCATGCCCAGACCTGGTTTTTATCTAATATAAGTATAGCTATTCCATTTTTCATCGAAATATCTTTTTCCATTTTTTCACTTTCAGTCTTGTGTGTATCTTTTTCCATTTTTTCACTTTCAGTCTTGTGTGTATTTATAGGTGAAGTGAGTTTCTTGTAGGCAACGTATAGTTAGGTCTTATTTTTTCTTTAATCCATTCAGCCACTCTGTGTCTTTTAATTGGATAATTAAATTCATTTACATTCAAGATTATTATTGATAGGTAAGGACTTACTACTACCATTTTGTCACTTGTTTTCTGGTTTGTTTTGTAGACTCTTTCTTCCTTTTTTCTGTCTTCCTTTGTAGTTACGTGGTTTTCCCTAGTAGAGATGTTTTGATTGCATGCTATTTATTTTTCTATTATAAATGTATCTATTATAAATTTTTGCTTTGTGGTTACCATGAAGCTTATAAAACACTCTTACAGTTATAACATGTTATTTTAAATGGATAACGACTTAACTTTATTAACAAAGCAAAGAAACAAAATTAAACTCTACACTTTAACAATATCTCCTCCACTTTTTGGCTTTCTGATATTTCAAATTACATCTTTTTATATTGCCTTCTAACCCATTATTACAGTTATTATTATCTTTAATACTGTTATATTTTAGTCAATACTAAAAATATAAGTGGTTTTGATGCCTTAATTATAGTATTAGAGTATTCTGAATTTATCTGTATATTCACTTTTACTAGTAAGTTTTATAAGTTTTACACCTTTAGATGTTTTCTTGTTACACATTAGCAGCTATCTTTCAGATTGAAGAACTTCCTTAGCATTTCTGTTAAGAGAGGTCTGGTGTTGATAAATTCTCTCAGCTTTTATTTGTTTGAGAAAGTCTTTGTCACACTATCATGTTTGAAGGATAGCTTTTCTGGGTACAGTATTCTTGACTGTTTTTTCCCCCCTTTCAAAACATTGAATATACCATCCTACTCTCTCTAGGCCTGCAGGGTTTCTCTTGAGAAATCTGCTGAAGGTCATGTTGGGGCTTTGTTGAATGTGATATATTTTTCTCTCTTTTTCTTGCTGCGTTCAGTATTCTCCTTTTGTCTTTGATTTTTGATAACGTGATTATGACGTGCCTTGGGGAACTCCTCTTTGGGTTGAATTTGATTGGTGACCTCTGAGCTTCCTGTATCTGGATGGTGTTGTCTTTTTCCATATTTGGGAAATTATCACCTATTATCTCCTTAAATATGTGTTCTAGGCCTTTTTCTCTCTTATCTCCTTTGGGAACTCCTGTTATGCAGATGTTATTTCACTTGATAGTGTCTCATAATTCCTGTAGGCCTTCCTCACTTTTTAAATTGTTTTTTCTTTTTGCTGTTCTGATTAGGTAATTTCAAATGTTCTGTCTTTGGGCTCTCAGATTCTTTCCTGTTTGACCAACTTAATTGCTAACCTTTAAGTTGCTTCTGAGTCAGGGAGACATTCCATATGAGCATGTGGGCTGTATGGGAAATCCGGCCAGGGATTTGGGCCTTCCTGTGGATCGTGCACCTCTGAAGCACTATGGTGCCCCACTGATCAGAATGAAGAGCATCTACTGAGATCTGCATGGTAGTTGCTGAGATCAGCACTCCTACTCTTTGTCTCCAGATCACCTCAGGTGGGTCAGCCCTCTTGTTACTCCCAATGCTTCTGGTAGAACAGGACCAAAGCAGGTTTTCCATGAAGATTCCGAGACTAGTAGGGAGATCAAACATCCACCTCCAATTCCCTCCTCCCAGCTCAGAAACTGTAGGTCCATCCATGGAAATTCTCCATGAATGGCATTATTCCAGCTTAGGGGAGTGGGTGGTGCAGTCTAAAACGACCTTTTCTTTTACTAGTTGTGGCTTTTCTCATTTCTGTGGGCCCAGGGAGCTTCTCTACTTCTCCCCCAAGTTCTGTGAATTCAGGATGGTATTGTTGTTTCTCAGTAGTTGCTAGTTGTACTTTTGTGCTGGGGGTTGTCTATTCACCATCTTGCTGACACCACTCTGGAAGTTTTAAAAATAGTACAGAAAGAGCTTGTGTATCCTTCACCCCACTCTCCCCAGTGATAAAATTGTACACAACTATAAATATCAAAACTTGGAAATTGACATGGGTACAATACCAACTAGGTTATAAAGCTTATTCAGAGTTCATCGGTTTTTATATGCCAATTTGCATATAAAAACCTCATTTGAGTGTTTGCATATGTAGGTTCTATGCAATTTTATCACATGTATAAATTCATATAAGCATGGCCACAATTAAGACACAGAACTATTACATTACATCACCAAAAGGAACTATCTCCTGCTACCCCTTCTCTAATGCCTGGCAACACTTATCTGCTCTCCATAGCTATAATTTTGTCATTTTAAGAATGTTATATAGATGGAATAATACAGCATGTGACTTTTGAGATTGGTTTTTTTCATTCATCATATTGTTCTTGAGATCCAAATTGTGTATATCAAAGGTTTGTTTCTTTTTACAGCTAGGTAGCATTTCATTATATGAATATACCATTATATTGTGTTTTTACAACAGCGTGCCTTTATAAGCAGTGGTGAATTTAGGAAATGATAAATTATAAACTGTAGGCAAGGTTAACTCTGGAGACTGAAATAGGAGCAGTCAGAAGCAAGGATTTTCACATATTTTTGTAACTCAAAAGAGAGGAGCTTAGGGGTATGTTTTCTTTTATTTTGTTTTCAGTGTCTTTTCCCCAAAGAATTAAAACACACTAAAATAAAGAAAATTAACTAGGCCAAAAAACTTGAACTGAATGTGTGGCAGTTTTCAAGAAATTTTATTATATATTCATATGTCTTTCTTATGTTGAATGAAACTTTGACTCCTACCTAAAGAAAAGTCAACAAAATATTTTTTGTTGCAGAGCAATTCTTGCTGCTCTGGATCCTTCCCCAATTAGGAACTCCACCCCCCACCAACACATATCTTTAGAGTTCAATTTAACAACAATATTTATAAACCTCATCCTGATGTTGTTTGTTTCTGAAAATACCCAGTGAGATGGACAAGGCTGGTATTATTTTTCCCATGCATCAAATACACCAAGGCTTGGAGAGCTGTGGATAGTGAAAGAATGACTATTGCCTCATCTAATGCTTTTCTCACTACATCAGGAAGGCAGAGTCTGGCTAAGAGCCCACCAAAACAGTTGCATTATGCTCCTGGCCACATAATTAAACAATACTTCCCAGCTCACTTGCCCTTGGGTTGGGGCCTGTGACTGAGTTCTGGACAATGAACTGTAGAGAGAAGTGGCATCACCGCTTCCAGACCTGCCTGGCCTACAATACCACCTATGTGATCTCAATTCTCTCTTCTCCATCCTTAGTACTGTTGGCAGGTCTGTGTTGAAAAAAGCAGCACTGTTAGATATGTATTTATTCTTACAGTTCTTCTGTTTATGGCATTTGATATCTATTTAGGTAAAAAACAAAAGGCATACCAAGAAAAAATTAACAAATGGTAGAAAGACATGTGAGGGAAAAATCATACAGGCAGTGCATGCGCAGGGTAGAAACATTGCATTACAACCGACCACATTTCTATTTTGAGTGCAGGCATGATCACTGGAGGTGAGTATAAGAGTGAAGAGATAGGCCAGGAGTGGTGGCTCACGCCTGTAATCCCAGCACTTTGGACGGCTGAGGCGGGCAGATCACAAGGTTAGGAGTTCGAGACCAGCCTGGCCAACATAGTGAAACCCCGTCTCTACTAAAAATACAAAAATTAGCCAGGCGTGGTGGTGTGTGCCTGTAGTCCCAGCTACTGAGGGAGGCTGAGGCAGGAGAATCGCTTGAACCTGGGAGGTGGAGGTTGCAGTGAGCTGAGATCATGCCATTGCACTCCAGCCTGGGCAATAGAGTGAGATTCTGTCTCAAAAAAAAAAAAAAAAAAAAGAGTGAAGAGATGAAAGACAGGGTGAATCTGGGGCGACATTGTGGGAGAGCTGTTCCTAGAGCATCCTGTGGCAGCTGTAAAAGTGTGTTGGGCAGGACAGGATGAGCAGTTCAAGCTTGCCCCAGTGACCCAGGATTCAATAAATACACAGTCAATGTGTGCGTAACTGGTCCCCAACATCTGAGTAAAAGCCTCCTTTCGGGAAGAATGCATATGTCTCTCTATTTGTGTCCCATGGCTGCTGGCCTGAGGCTGAACACTCAGGAGGTCATTTGGAATGTCAGGCATGGTAACTCTGGTGGAGGGGCAGGTGAGGTCTGAGATTTCAGTGCACCCTGAGTTCTGAGGGGATCACACTCCCCTGGCTGTCCCAGGTGAGCCACCTGCTGGAGCCCATGTTCAGACAGTTATGGCCTGTAGAAAACTTGGGAAGGCTCTGGAGTTTTAGCAGCTTGGGGATACCCACTTCCTGCAGCCCCTTGGCTCCTGCTGCTCTGGTGTGCATGGAAGGAGTAGAAATAGGGAATTTCAGAGAGCGGGTTAAGAGGGAATTGCATGAGGGGGAGCAGCCATGCCCACGGGAATGGCCCATCTGTGTCCTCTGCCCCTGAGGCCTCCTGGGCAGCTGCAAGGTGAGGAAATCTGAGGAGAGGCAGGTTGAGGTTACCCCCCTGGCTCTCATGGCTTGCTGGGTAGAAAGAGGTGGAATCCCTTTCTCACACAACTGTCTTCGTCACTCTCCACATGTCAGGCCCCAGACTCAGCTCCCCAAACCCCTGAGGCCCTGGGAATGCATGGTGTAGTGGTGGAGACAGCAGGTAAGTGGCTTTTTTACCTCAAGGCCAAGGAAGAGGAACAGAGGCCCCAGCCATGAGATGTGGGGCACAAGCAGAGAGGAACCTGGATGCGGGGCAGCCCCATGAGTTGAGGACCCTCACAGAGCTGACATAACTCAGATGTGGGGAGGGAAAGGAGGAGGAGCCAGTGGAATTCAATAGCACCCATGGCCCATCCTGATTCTTACCAGGTGCGATCATCTATTGAAAAAGTAGAAAATAATTGTTTTTCTCCTCTTTGTGCCCCCCTCCACTTTTCTCTTGTCCTCTCCCAGTTTTCCCAGGTGGCCAAGCTAAGTGGTCCCTTACCATCTGGACTTTTCTTGAAGCAGAACATCAGGATGGTGTTGAGAGAGAGCCCTGTCTGCTGTCATGGTGCAGGTCACCGCTAAAAGTATTATGATGGGTGTGTACACAGGTGCAACGCCTTTGAGAATCAGGCCCTCCCCCTGCACTCACACACAATTGAAAGGAAAGGGAACCAGGTCCGGAGGCATGTGAGCTGTGGTCACTCTTACCCTGCATGAGAGGGTAGCCAGGCCTCAGGAGGATGAGTGAGTATGGAGAAGAGGGAGGCTGAGACCCCAGTAGGGCATCCCCAACCTCAGCAAAGTTTCCTGGGCTCCATATGTGACCTCAAAGCAAAAAGGTACCCTACCTGGAAATACTACAGGCCTGGACAATGAGGAAGACAGAGGCAGCTGTGATGAAATGCAGAGTAGGGATGTTCCTCTGATTCTCAGGGCTCTATAGCAGCATCTTGGACACCCCGGCAGGAAGAAGAACCTAACAGTGTCCAACATGGATTATGTAGGAAGGACAAGGTCCTGGGGTCAGATTTAAGTTGGTTTAAGGAAAACAAATGTAGCAAGAGTGAGATTCATACCAATTATATTTATTTGATTGTACAGCTCCCTCTTTCCTACCTCACCCCCCTTAAAGTAGATTATGTATAAGCTATGTTAAAAGTAGATATGTATAAGCTATTTTACACACACACACACACACACACACACACACACACACACACTTATTTTTAGAACAGTTTTGGGATCACATCAAAATTGAGCAGAAAGTAGAGAGATTTCTTATATGTCCCCTGCGCCACATGTGCACAGCCTCCCCAGCTATTGACATCCTGCCCCAGAGTGGTACATTTGTTACAATCCATAAACCTACACTGCTACTTCCCCACTGTATAGTTAACATTTAGGGACTTTTCCATTTATAGTTTACACTGGGGACTGCTCTTGCTGTGGTACATTCTATGTGTTTGGGCGAATGCACAATTACATGTATCCCTCATTGCAGTATCATACAAAATAGTTTCACTGCCCTAAAAAATCCTCTATGTTCTGCCTATTTAATCCCTCCTTCCCTCAACCCCTGGCAACTACTTATCTTTTTTATAGTCTCCATAGTTTTGCCTTTTCCAGAATTCCAAGAGTTGGAATCATACTGTATATAGCCTTTTCAGCCTGGCTACTTTCACCTAGTAATATGCATTTAAGTTTCCTCCATGTTGTTTCATGGCTTGATAGCTCGTTTCTTTTTAGTAGTGAATAATACTCTATTGCCTGGGGGTATCACAGTTTATTTATCCATTCCCTACTGAGAGACATTTTGGTTGCTTCCCAGTTTTGGCAATTATGATTAAAGCCATTATAAACATTCGTGTGCAAGTTTTCGTGTAGACAATGTTTTCAATTCATTTGGGTAAATACCAAGTAGTGTGATTGCTGGATCATCTAGTAAGAGCATGTTTCGTTTTGCAAGAAACTGCCAAATTGCCTTCTGAAGTGGCCATACAGTTTTTCATTCTCACCAGCAATGGATGAGTGTTCCTTTACTCCACATCCTTACCAGCATTTGGTGGTGTCAGTGTTCTGAATTTTGATCATTCTAACGGGTGCGTAGCAGTGTCTCATTGTTGTTTTAATTTGCAATTCCCTCATGACATATGATGTTGAACTTCTTTTTGTATGCATACTATTTGTATATATTTTTTGGTGTGGTGTTTATTCAGGTATTTTCCCATTTTTTAATTGGGTTGTTCATTTTCTTATTGTTGAGACTTCTTTGTATATTTTGGATGATAGTCTTTTATCAGATGTGTCTTTTGCAAATATTTTCTCCCAAACTGTGGCTTATCTTCTTGTTCTTTTGACATTGTTTTTCACAGAGCAGAATTTTTTAATCTTAATGAGGTCCCTCTTATCAATTCTTTCTCTCATAGATCTGTCTTTGTTGTTGTATTGAAAAAGTCATTGCCAAGGCCAAGGTCACCTAGATTTTCTCCTATGTTATCTTCTAGGAGCTTACAGTTTTGTGTATTATGTTCAGATCTATAATCCATTTTTAGTTCATTCCTGTGAAGGGCATAAGGTCTGTGTCTAGATGAATTTTTTTTTATGTGGATGTCTAGTTGTTCCAACATCATTTGTTCAAATAACCATCTTTGTTCCACTGTATTACCCTTGCTCCTTTGCCAAAGATAATTATATTTATGTGGGTCTATTTCTGGGCTTTCTATTCTATTCTGTTCCATTGCCCAATTTGTCTTTTTTTTTTTTTTTTTTTTTTTTTTTTTTTTTTTTTTTTGAGACAGGACCTCACTCTGTCACACAGGCTGGGATGTGGTGGCACAATCACAGCTCACTGTAGCCTCAACTTCAAACCCTTGGGCTCAAGTGATCCCCTCACCTTAGCCTCCTGAGTAGCATGCACCACCATACCTGACTAATTTTTCTATTTTTTATAGAGACGAGGTCTCACTATGTAGCCTTGGCTGGTCTCGAACTCTTGGACTCAAGCGATCCTCCCACCTCAGCCTCCCAAAGTGCTAGGATCACAGGTGTGAGCCACCATGCTTAGCCTGTTTTTAAATTAATACCACACTGGCCAGTCGTGGTGGGTCACACCTGTAATCCCAGCACTTTGGGAGGCCGATGTTGGCGGATCACTTGAGGCCGGGAGTTCAAGGCCACCCTGGCCAACATGACAAAACTCTGTCTCTACTAAAAATACAAAAATTAGCCATATATGATTGTGTGGGCCTGTAATCTCAACTACTTGGGAGGGTGAGGCACAAGAATCACTTGAACCTGGGAGGTGGAGGTTGCAGTGAGCCAAGATTGTGCCACTTGCACTCCAGCCTGGGCAGTAGAGTGAGAGTCTGTCTCAAAACACAACAAAACATTATCAAGCTTAAAAAAAAATTAGTGTTACACTGTCTTTATTACCATAGCTCTGTAATAACTTTTGAAGCCAGGTAGTGTCACTCTTCTGATTTTCTTCCTCTCCTTCAATATTGAGTTGGTTATTCTGAGTCTTTTGCCTCTCCATATGAACTTTAGAATTGGTCTATAGATATCCACAAAATAATTTACTAAGATTTTGAGTTGGATTGCATTGAATGCATAGGTAAAATTGAAAAGAGCTGACATCTTGAAAATATTGAGTCTTCCTATCCATGAACATGAAATATCTCTTCCATTATTTAGTTTTTCTTTGCTATCTTTCAGAGTTTTACAGTTCCGTTCATATGAATCATATACATATTTGATAGATTTATAACTAAGTATTTCATTTTGAGGGGTGCTAATGTAAACGGTAGTGTGTTTTCATTTCTTTATTTTTATTTTTTACCATGTTCTATCATCAGTGTTTAAGTGGTTACATGTTTTAAAATTCAAATTCTACTTGTTTGTTGCTAGTATAAAGGAAAGTTATTGACTTTTGTATATTAACCTTATATTCTGCAATCTTGCTACAATCACTTATTAGTTCTAGGAGTTTTTTGTTGATTCTGTTGGATTTTCTTCATAGACAGTCAGGTCATCTTCAAACAAAGACGGTTTTGTTTCTTCTCTCTCAATCTGTGTACCTTTTTTTGTTTGTTTCTTGTCTTGTGTATTAGCTAGGACTTCCAATACAATGTTGAAAAGGAATGGTGTGATGGGACATCTTTGCCTTGTTCCTGATCTTGTGAAAAAGCTTTGAGTTTCTCACCATTAAATAAGATGTTAGTTGTATACTGTTTTGTAGATACCCTTTATCAAATTGGGGGAGGTCCCCTCTATTCTGTTTGCTGAGAGTTTCTAACATAAATGGGTATTGGAATTTGTCAAATGCTTTTTCTGAATCTATTGGTATGATCATGTACTTTTTCTTCTTTAGCTCGTTGATGTGTTGGATTACATTAACTGATTTTTGAATGCTGAACAAGTCTTGAATACCAGGTGTATATCCCACTTGTCCATGGTGTATAATTCTTTTTATACATGGTTAGATTCAATTATCTAATGTTTGTTGAGAGTTTTTGCATCTATATTCATGAGAGATATTGGTCTGTAGTTTTATTTTCTTAGAATGCCTTTGTTTAATTTTGTTATTAGATTGATGCTGACCTCATAAAATAAGTTAAGGTGTACTTCCTCTGCTTCTGTCTTCTGGAAGAGATTGTAGAAAATAGGTATATGTTTTTCCTTTAATATTTGGTAGAATTCACCAGTGAAGCCATGTGGAGTTGGTGCTTTCTGTTTTGGAAATTTATTATTTATTCAATCTCTCTAATTGTTATAGGTCTATTCAGATTGTCTATTTATTCTTAGGTGAGTTTTGGCAAAATGTGACTTCCAGGGAATTGGCCCATTTTATCTAGGTTAACAAATTTATGGGCACAGTGTTGTTCATAGTATTCCTTTATCATTCCTTCAGTGTTCTTGGGATCTGTAGTGATGTCCCCTCTTTCATTTTTTATATTAGTAATTTGTGTTTTCTTTCTTTTTGCCTTATTTAGCTTGGCTAGAGGCTTATCAATTTTTTTCATCTTTTCAAAGAACCAGCTTTTGGCTTTGTTGATTTTCTCTGTTGCTTTTCTGTTTTGAATTTCATTGATTTCTGCTTTAATTTTTATTTATCTTTTCTGTTACTTTACATTTAATTTTCTCTTTTTGTTGCAGTTTCCAAAAGTGGAAGCTTAGATGATTGATTTTACATCTTTCTTCTTTTCTAATATATAAATTCAATGCTATACATTTTCCTCTTAGTATTGCTTTCACTATATACCACAAATTTTGATAAGTTGTATTTTTATTTTTATTTAGTTAAAAATATCTTTAAATCTCTATTGAGATTTCTTCTTTGGCCTATGTTTTCTTTAAAAGTGTATTGTTTAATCTCCAAGTATTTGGCTATTTTCCAGCTATCTTTCTTTTCTTTTCTTTTCTTTTTTAAACAAACCACATGACTGTGTTAGCCACCTCTTTAGTTTTGCTTTTTTTAAAATTTATTATACTTTAAGTTCTGGGATACATGTGCAGAACGTGCAGGTTTGTTACATAGGTATACATGTGCCATGGTGGTTTGCTGCACCATAAACCCATCATCTACATTAGGTATTTCTCCTAATGCTATCCTTCCCCTAACCCCTCACCCCCAAACAGGCCCTGGTGTGTGATATTCCTCTCCCTGTGTCCATGTGTTCTCATTGTTCGACTCCCACTTATGAGTGAGAAGATGCAGTGTTTGGTTTTCTGTTTCTGTGTTAGTTTGCTGAGAATGATGGTTTCCAGCTTCATCCATGTCCCTGCAAAGGACATAAACTCATCCTTTTTATGGCTGCATAGTATTCCATGGTGTATATGTGACATATTTTCTTTATCCAGTCTATCATTGATGGGCCTTTGGGTTGGTTCCAAGTCTTTGCTATTGTGAACAGTGCTACAATAAACATACGTGTGCATGTGTCTTTATAGTAGAATGATTTATAATCTTTTGGGTATATATGCAGTAATGGGATTGCTGGGTCAAATGGTATTTCTGGCTCTAGATCCTTGAGGAATCGCCACACTGTCTTCCACAATGGTTGAACTAATTTACACTCCCACCAACAATGTAAAAGCGTTCCTGTTTCTCCACATCCTTTCCAGCATCTGTTGTTTCCTGACTTTTTAATGATCGCCATTCTAACTGGCGTGAGATGGTATCTCATTGTGGTTTTGATTTGCATTTGTCTAATGACCAGTGATGATGAGCTTTTTTTCATACGTTTGTTGGCTACATAAATGTCTTCTTTTGAGACATGTCTGTTCATATCCTTCGCCCACCTTTTGATGAGGTTGTTATTTTCTTGTGAATTTGCTTAAGTGCCTTATAGATTCTGGATATTAGCCCTTTGTCAGATGGATAGATTGCAAATTTTTTCTCCCATTCTGTAGATTGCCTGTTCATTCTGATGATAGTTACTTTTGCTGTGCAGAAGCTCTTTAGTTTAATTAGATCCCATTTGTCAATTTTGGCTTTTGTTGCCGTTGCTTTTGGTGTTTTATTCATGAAGTCCTTGCCCATGCCTATGTCCTGAATGGTATTGCCTAGGTTTTCTTCTATAGTTTTTATGGTGTTAGGTCTTAGGTTTAAGTCTTTAATCCATCTTGAGTTACTGTTTTTATAAGGTGTAAGGAAGGGGTCCAGTTTCAGTTTTCTCATATGGCTAGCCAGTTTTCCCAACACCATTTATTAAATAGGGAATCCTTTCCCCATTGCTTGTTTTTGTCAGGTTCCTCAAAGATCAGATGGTTGTAGATGTGTGGCATGATTTCTGAGGCCTCTGTCTTGTTCCGTTGGTCTATATATCTGTTTCAGTATCAGTACCATGCTGTTTTGCTTACTGTAGCCTTGTAGTATAGTTTGAAGTCAGGCAGCATGATGCCTCCAGCTTTGTTCTTTTTGCTTAGGATTGTCTTGGCTATATGGGCTCTTTTTTGGTTCCATATGAAATTTGGAACTCCTGACCTCAGGTGATCCACCCACCTTGGCCTCTCAAAGTGCTGGGATTACAGGCATGAGCCACCACACCCAGCCAATGATGAATTTTTTAAGAGAAAATAGCATTAGGAAGAATTAAAAGGAAGGCAAAGCCTCTGAAAGATCCAGAGGAAAATTTTAGGAAAGAGTTTGACCATAACCATGTTTTGGCCACTGGTGTATGGCATATACTGCATGCTATGGGGCAGCACCCTAGCCTCCCAGCTGTCACTGTAACTGAGCCCTCCACAGGCCATTCCACTGTTTAATCAAGCCAGCTGATTTGGGGTGATGTGTAGCACATGGCAAAAACAGTGAATTCTATAGATACAAGTAATGAGCTCACGTCTATAGAATGCCCTTCACCATAAAATGATCTCCTTAATAAAGGCAATTTTGTGTGAGTTGCAGATGTTGAGTAAGGCATTATTTAAGCCCACAAATGGTGCTGGCAGAAGGACTTCTATGGTGGGCATAGAAGACAAACTCGTATCTTGAATAAGTATCTATTCCCATAAAGACAAATTGCTGTCTCCTCCGCAATGGAAAATGTCCAGTATAATCAACCTAAGACATTGGGGCTGGCTGGCAGCCCAAGGATAGGTGTCATAATGAGGCCCCAGTGTTATCTCTGCTGTTAGAACATTGGGCACCCAGCAGTGACGTTAGCTAGATTAATCTTGGCGAGAGGAATCCAGCTTGGTGAGCTCATGTAAAATCTACCCCTGCCACCGTGGACATTTTGTTTATGGGCCCATTGAGTAAGCATCAAAATGTTTAGGGAAAGGAAATCACTTTCAGCCACACATGGGTTGTTTTGTGCACTCCACTAGACCACAGAGAGCTGCCTCTTCAGTAGATGCCCTTTGGTGAGCATTCATAGTGGTTACAAATATGTACATTTTTAGTGCCTGTTTTGAAGAGTTAATTCACATACTTCCTGAAGACTTCCTTGTCACTAGTCTTCCAATCTTGCTCCTCAGAAGTCAGTGACCACTCTTCTAATCCATTAATCCTTGATCATAAATTGGTATAGTTGCATACTCCAGGGCATCTCGCCTTCTACAGTAAGTGGACAACAGATGTACTGCTTAAAATTCTGCCTATTAAGAGGATTTCCTTTCACCCTTGCCTTTCAGACTCACTCTTCAGGGGAGCTGTAAAACAGCAGCTGTTCACTTGCAGCCCTATCATGCAGACCCACTGCAAACCAAGCCTGTGCTTTTTCTTCTTCTGTCAGCTAGTCCTAGGCAACTCCCCTTGAGGCCACTGGTGTGGGCTGAGAGAGGTGGTAAAGTAGTAGAAGCAAAAAATGTGGGAGGGTGAGCCACCTGCTTATGCAATATTCTTGAGCCTTTTATACCTGCTTGGGCCTTATCTTGTAAACACCATTTCCATTTTATACTGAGTACTGCTGCACATTCCAATTTTATGACTCAGTGGATTAGATAATGCCCAGTTCACAATGGACAGTTTGAGTTGCCTAGCTTGCCATAGTCAGGATTCAGACTCTATCAGGGACTAAATTCAGCCTTGTTCTGGGAATTGGTGCCTAGGTCTTGTGGTTTCATGGGGTTTTCTGGACTCTCTAAAGTTGGCACAGGGCTTCCTGTATGCAAAAGAAATCCCTACACTAAAGACTTCCCTGACATGATTGTGTTGCTGCATAAACTGTGATAATAATGACTAACCTGACTTTCACTTTTATTTAGTTAAGCTTCATAACAATTTGGTGAAGTAGGTTTTATGTTCTCCATTTAATCAGAAGAGAAAAACCTTGATACAGCTCTAGAGGTTAAATGCCTTGTCTGAGGCTACATGGCTCACAAGTGGTGACAGCTGGAGTCAGACTGCCAACTGCAATACTGTCCCCTTGGCCACCCGAAGTAGCTTCCCAAAGGCATATTTATATCAGCCACCTGCAGAGTCCTTTCAGTGCACAGAGACAAATTAGATTCATCTAGCCTGGGCCAAGGTATAGGGCATAGAGTAGGGTAGGTAAAGGCAAGGATATCAGTGGGTCTTGGTACAGGATGATTTTGTTGAATTCCTAAGGACCACATTCTCAATGGTGATGCCCACATTATAATATATACTGAAGCAATTATTGATAAAATGATATAATTTCTAAAATTTGCTTTAAATTAGCCAGGAAGAGAGAAACCAGTGATGAAATAAGATTGGCCATGTGTTGATAACAGTTGAAGCCTAGTGATGAAAATATAGTTCATTATACTGTTTTTCCACATACTAAAAAGTAAAAAATATATTCTATTCACCATGGCAGACCACATTATGGGCCATGCACCTATCTTAGCAAGTTTAAAACAACAGAAACTACACAATATCTGCTCTCAGACTACAATAGAATTAAATCAGAAATTGATAAAAGAAAGATAGCTAGGGCCGGGCACGGTGGCTCACGCCTGTAATCCCAGGACTTTGGGAGGCTGAGGCGGGTGGATCACGAGGTCAGGAGTTCGAGACCAACCTGGTCAACATGGTGAAACCCCATCTCTACTAAAAACACAAAAATTAGCCAGGCATGGTGGCACGCACCTGTAATCCCAGCTACTCGGGAGGCTGAGGCAGGAGAATTGCTTGAATCCAGGAGGTGGAGGTTGCAGTGAGCTGAGATCATGCCACTGCACTCCAGCCTGGGTGACAGAGCAAGACTATGTTAAAAAAAAATCATTATTTTGTTGTAAATCCAATATTGTTTTAAATTATTTAAATGTCACTTTAAATGTTGTTATAAATCCAGTTCTCTTCACTCCGCATCAAACAAGGCAAGGTGTGATCACACAGACTATTTGGGGGTGGGTGGCTGTGGGTCGTCATCTCCACAGTGCTTGGTTTCTCTTCTCAAATCTACAGCTTGGAGTAGGTTGATTTCCCTGCCTGTTTCCCAGGGAAGCGTTGCACTACCCATATGGCAGCTTTCTCATACTCCCTGTCTGCATTCCTCTGTTTCCCTAAATGAATGGAATATCTTGGATGAACTACTGCAAGGTCCTTTGGGTCTCTCCCACACAGTTTTGGCTCACTGCAACCTCTGCCTCCTGAGTTCAAGCGATTCTCCTGCCTCAGCCTCCTGAGTAGCTGGGATTACAGGTGCCTGCCACCACACCTGGCTAATTTTTGTATTTTTAGAAGAGACTAGGTTTCACCACGTTGGCCGTGCTGGTCTCGAGCTCCTGATCTCAGGGGATCTGCCCGCCTCGGCCTCCCAAAGTGCTGGGATTACAGGCATGAGCCACCACACCTGGCCCGATAATTCTTTACTCCTAGAACTAACTTCCCAAGATGTACTATACACACACTCACTTCCCCCAACCCCCACTCAACATACACATACACAAGACTCACTTACTGCCCCATTCCCTGGAATTGGTAGCCTCTATCTCCAGAAATATGGGATGTGAGAATGGAGGGTATAAAAGAGAAGGGAAGTGTACAAAAAATGCACAAAGTGCATAAATAAATATCCAAGGGATTTAGAGGGTGGATTAAATGCCAGCTTTTGTTCTTCCTATGTTTTGTGTGTCTGAGCCCAAGGACAAAACCTAGATGGAAGAATCAAGCTTGCTTACTTACATCCAGCACTCAGAAGGCAAAGCTGGGGTTCGTACCAGGAGCTGTAGCTTGGGTGCTTTCCTCAAAATGGTTATATCTGCCTCATAATCAGATCCCAATTTATCTGTCTATTGATTGCCTGTTGGTCGTAGTTTTCAGTGCTGCTGCAAGATCTGGTTATTTTCTTCATCTTCGTGGACAAAACACTGGAGGCAGTATTTTGAGGACTGCTACTCCTTCCCATGCTATTCAATAAATCTCCCCCAGTTCAGTCAGAAACACTGAGAAGTTACCCTGTGCCAAGCCCTGGATCAGGTGGCACAGGCTCCATGATCATTGTGTATGGGTGAGCTCATAGTCTAGAGCCAGTGCCAGCCGTGGGACTCGGTTAATGCCTCAGCAAACCTCCTGGCTCTCTGCCCCCCACCCCCTTCGCCCTTCGCTGACTTTCCCTTCATGACCCTGGTCTTTCCGTTGTGCCCGTTTCTATTTGCATAGACAAATACTTTAGCTATGCACCTATCTTGATTCTAGAAACTTAGGCTGTGTTTCAAGAAATGGATTGTTGTGGTCTCCATTTTGCCTCTGGAGCAGTGCATAGTCCACAGGGAGGCAGCATAGTCCACAAGCCAGGGTCCATGCTGAATTCCAGATAGAGATAGCAGCTGTGTGGCCTTGAGCTTCATGTCTCCAGCTCCCTCATCTGTCAAATGGGGATAATAATGTGCACCTGATAGAATTTTGTGGTAAGAAAATGAGAGGAAATATATTACAACACAAAGCACAGTCCCTGAAACAAAATGAAAGCTGTATAATACTCTTTTTCTTCCCCATCTTATACATAATGTGAAAACATTCCCTAAAAAACTTGGTTTTGGTCGGGCGTGGTGGCTCATGCCTGTAATCCCAGCACTTTGGGAGGCCAAGGCGGGTGGATCATGAGGTCAGGAGATCCAGACCATCCTGGCTAACACGGTGAAACCCCGTCTCTACTAGAAAATACAAAAAATTAGCTGGGCGTGGTGGTGGGCACCTGTAGTCCCAGCTACTCGGGAGGCTGAGGCAAGAGAATGGTGTGAGCCCGGGAGGCAGAGCTTGCAGTGAGCCGAGATTGCGCCACTGCACTCCAGCCTGGGCAACAGAGCGAGACTCCATCTCAAAAAAAAAAAAAAAAAAAAAAAAAAGAAAGAAAAAACAACTTGGTTTTGCCAGTATGACCTGTGAAGCTTTTCTGTATTCCTAGAAAAGAGTATTGTGTGAGTTGGATGACTGTGTGTGTGTGTGCACGTACACTCGGTCACACATGCACACTCTCCAGGTCTGCTAAATGGGGAATGCTAAAGTTAGTCTATTTTTGTTTGTTTGTTTGTTTGTTTGTTTGAGATGAGGTCTCACTCTGTCTCCCAGGCTGGAGTGCAGTGGCGTGATCTCAAGATCTCCTCCTGGGCTCAAGTGATTCTCACACCTCAGCCTATCAAGTAGCTGGGATCACAGGTGCACACCACCATGCCCAGCTAATTTTTGTATTTTTTGGTAGAGACAGGGTTTTGCTATGTTGGCCAGGCTGATCTCAAACTCCTGAGCTCAAGCGATCCTCCCACCTTGGCCTCCCAAAGTGCTGGGATTATAGGCATGAGCCACCATGCCTGGCCACCAAACTTAGTCTGTGTGTGTATGTGAGTATGTGATGTGCATATGCTCGTGCACACTTGCATGCCTGTCTTGGAGAAAAGAAATGACTCAGTTAAATTTGATTCG
Source organism: Homo sapiens (assembly GCF_000001405.40). Taxonomy (NCBI): domain Eukaryota; kingdom Metazoa; phylum Chordata; class Mammalia; order Primates; family Hominidae; genus Homo; species Homo sapiens. The sequence goes on from NC_000002.12 coordinate 86,397,773, forward strand.
GATAATTGTCTAATAAATTAGTCTTTAATCAATCAGCAGGTCTTCCTAAAACCCTCACTTGCTCTAGATGCCAAGAGGCACAGATTGATAGAAAATATATCTTCTGCCTACAAGGATTTGCTGGTCAAAACTCTTTAAATTAGCTTAGGCACAAGGGTAAAATGTATTGGCTCAGGGAGAAAGACTATAGAAAGAGTAGGTTCAGCTGGATCCAGGGCTTAAACCGCCAGGACTCTCATACTGTCCTTGGGGCTCTGTTCTTATCTCCTTGCTAGCTTTGTTTTCTTAGACTGGCTTCTCCATAAGATAAGGGATGTGGCCGTGGGCAGTCCCAGCATTACATCCACACCGTGTGCAACCACAGCTCTCCTTTCCAAGTTTGAATGATAAAAATCTAACAAGAAAACTCTGATTGGCCAGGCTTAGGTCATGTGTCAATTCCCGGCCCAAACCAAGCCCTTGGGAGTTAATACTCCACTTGTGTCACCTGCATTCACTGGTGGCCAGAACACAGAGTATCACAAATGGCAGACTCATGTGGCTAGGGGGCAGTTTCCCGGAAGAAGGATGTTGCTATTATGAGCAGATGAGATAAATAATTACCTACGACACAGATGCATGCTAAATTTTGCAGTGGAGGAAATTAAGTCAGTGAAATAGTAAGTCGGTATTTTTTGAATTCTATTTTGATGGTGTCGGTGATATATTTATATAACTTTTACCCAGTTGGAACAAGCTATTTGCTTTTTGATAATATAAATGAACCACTTTAGTCAAAGTTTCATAAAAAAGGTATATTGATCCAGTTATTTTCAGCAAATTACTGTGGTTTTACAGCTCAATGCATGCCCATGAGATGAGTATTTTCTCATTTACTTTATAGTAACCTTTGTTAAGAGACTTATTAAGTCATAGCTTGTGGTACAAAGAATTTAAGTCATCTCTCCTCTCTATTCCACAAATGTCTAGGGCTTCTTTCTTTTTTGACCACTAATGCCTATAATTTCCAGTATTAATATCTTCTGACATGAACACGATAACATGAATCTACTAGATATAAACAGATGTAACAGCCATGGAATCCATTAGTGATGCTTTCAGAAAAAGAAATTTGGGATCCCAGGATCTGTCCCAACATTTGTAATATCTTGGGATAGGACCAGAAATTATGCAAGACTAAATAGAAGGCATGGATGGTCTTGGACTTACATATGGACTCAACTTACTGAGGTGGTGGTGAAATGGGGAGAGAGTGAATGAGTCAAGAATTGCAGAGACAAGATCAAGAGGCCTTGGCAACTGCTTGGGAAGGGGAACAAAGTAGAGGGAGGAGCCTGAGATGACACTGAAGTGGGGTGGAGGAGCAACTCACAGAACTAGGAGACAGGGAGGGGAAGCAGGTTGGAGGAAGAGTCCATTCCAGACACGGTGAAGACGAGCTACCAGGATTTGTTGGTAATATGGGAGATTTGTTGGTAATGCGAGATTGAAGCTCAGGAGAGAAAACAGATACTGGCTGAGCCATGATGGCGAGTAAGATCAGCAAGTCAAAAAGTGTAGAGAGAGAAGAGAAGACAAAGGAACTTTGAGGAACACTCCCTTAGTGACTGGAGGAAGTACTTGGAGCCAGAGAAAGAAGCAGAGAAGGAGCATCAGAGAGAATGCAGACACTGGAGAATGCCGTGTCGCATTAAAGAGCTTTGGAAGGAGAGTGGCCCATGGTGTCAAATGTGAAGAGGAGCCTGAGAAGGAGTCCCTGAAGCCAAACTGGAAAGTCTCTGCTAGGTTGGTGCAATGGACTGAAAGTGTGTGTCCCCCCACCCCACAAATTCTTATGTTGAAGCTCTAATCCCAGTGTGATGATATTAGCAGTTTGTGCCTTTAGGAGGTGATAAGGTCATGAAGGTGGAACCCTCATGAATGGGATTTGTGCCCTTATAAGAAAAGGTCAGAGAGTTAATACACTCTCCCTCGTGAGGATGTAAGAAGTCAGCTGTCTGTCACTGGAGGAAACCCTCACCCGAACCCAACCATGCCAGCACCTGTTCTCTGATTTCCGGCCTCCAGAACTGTTAAATTTGATTCAGATAATTTAAGAAAACTGTGAGAAATAAATTTCTGTTATTTATAAGCCACCCAGTATATTACTCTTCATTACAGCAGCCCAAAGGGACTAAGAAGGTTGGGCTTCCCTCATTTAGGAGAGATTCCTCAGAAGCAGTCTTGTGCAGTCGACTTATTCCAGAAGACATCTCTGAGGGTGTGGGGGGCAGCAGGACGGGGAAAGGTGTAGTACACTGGAAGAGGCATATCATGGCTATAAGATTAATGGCAGCCATAAGGCCCACTCATGCATCTTGCAGGGCTGGTACTACTGGTCACTTGGTAGTATGCTACAACCTGACCTGGAGATTTCCAACTCTGGTCCATGGATTTCCAGGAGACAAGGCCACCTCAGCATAGATGCAACTTTCATAAATCATAAAACAAAGCTTACTCTTACAAGAATAGCTTCAACTCCATTTATGAAAGAAACACTTTGTAACTGAGGTAATTGACCTGGACTGAATGCAGGTATAAGAAAGGGGGAAGGATCCCCCAAACTCTGAGAACAGTCTCCAGATGGAGACCCTCTCTGTCATTTGTCATCTGATCCCCTGACTGTATCTAGCCCATGCCACCAGCCTGCTCCTGTCTTATAAAAGTGCTGCCAGAATAAATTCCTTGAGCATTAGACAGTGTCTAAGACTCATGTCTGATGCAAATCTAACTGAAGGGGAAATATCACTCTTGGAGAAGCTGGTTAACTCAGACCACTCGAAAACCCCCAACACAACAAAAGCACAGCAGGTAAGCAAGGTGCAATTTCCAGCAAGTCCCAAGGAGGGGAGCTCCAGGCTGACCCTGCAGTGGGTGCTCTGGGCTTGCATTAGTCAAGGTTCTCCAGAGAAACAGAACTAATAGGATATATAGATGCTCCTCAACTTACAATGGGGTCACATCTTGATAAACCTGGCATAATTTGAACATATTATAAGTAAAAAAAAAAAAAATGCACTTAAGGGGCCAGGTGTGTTGTCTCAGGCCTGTAATCCCAGAACTTTGGGAAGCCAAGGCAGACAGATCACCTGAGGTGAATAGTCTGAGACCAGCCCAGTCAACATAATGATATCCCACCTCTACTAAAAACAGAAACTAACTGGGTGTGGTGGCACATGCCTATAATCCCAGCTGCTCAGGAGGCTGAGGCAGGAGAATCACTTGAACCCGGGAGGCGGAGGTTGCAGTGAGCTGAGATTGCACCACTGCACTCCACCCTGGGCGAGAGTGAGATTTTGTCTCAAAAAAAAAAAAAAAAAAAAAAAAAAGCACTTAATACACACGACCTACCTGAACATAATAGCTTAGCCTAGTCTACCTCACACGCGCTCAGAACACTTACTCTAGCCTACAGTTGGGCAAAATGATCTAACACAAGCTTATTTTATACTAAAGTGTTGACTATCTCATGTAATTTATTGAATACTATACTGAATGTGAAAAACAGAAAATGGTTGTATGAGTACTCAAAGTATAATTTCTACTGAATGCCTATTGCCTTTGCACCACTGTAAAGTAAAGAAATTGTAAAGTCGAGCCATTATAAGTCAGGCACAGTCTCTCTCTCTCTCTCTCTCTCTCTCTCTCTCCCTCTGTCTGTCTCTGTCTCTCTCTCTCTCTGTATACATATATGTGGAAATTTATTATAATAATTGGCTCACATGATTATGGAGGCCAAGAAGTCCCACAATTTGTTGTTTGCATCGTGGAGAACCAGGAAAACCAGTGTTGTAATTCAGTCTGAGTCCAAAGGCCTGAGAACAGTGGAGACAATGTTGTAACATATAATCCAAGTCCAAAGGTCTAAGAAGTAGGGGGCAGTTGGTATAAGTCCCAAAGTCCAAAGGTCTGATAACCAAGAGCTCTGATGTCCAAGGGCAATGGATGTTCCACTTCAAGAGAGAGATAATGCCCTCTTCCTCTGCCTTTTTGTTCTATCTGAGCCCTCAATGAATAGATTAATGCCCATTCACATTGAGTGAGGTTGGATCTTCTTTACTCAGTCTGTGATTCAAATGCTAATCTGTTTACCAGCTCTCTGTTTTACCAGCTATCTGGGCATCCCTTAGCCCAGTCAAGTTGACACCCAACATTAATCATCACAAAGTTGTCTTAGTGCATTTTAGTGTGTTACAGTGTTACAGGCTCACACCTGTAATCCCAGCACTTTGGGAGGCTGAGATAGGTGGATCGCTTGAGGTCAGGAGTTCGAGACCAGCCTGGCCAACATGGTGAAACCCCATCTCTACTAAAAATACAAAAATTATCTGGGCATAGTGGCCCATGCCTGTGGTCCCAACCACTCAGGAGGCTGAGGCAGGAGAATCGCTTGAACCTGGGAGGCAGAGGTTGTGGTGAGCCGAGATCATGCCACTGCACTCCACTCTGGGTGACAGAGTGAGATTCCTTCTCAAAAATAAAAATAAAAATAAACTATGTAAAAAAAAAAAAAAGAAGGTAGTGAATGAAACAGAACAACACCCCAGGGTAGAGAACAGTACCCTGGGGAAGCCTCCATCCTTCCTAGCTGAGCAAACAAGGCAATCTTGACTTGCCAGCAATGTGAGACAGGGAGAGAAGATCCCCTATTCTCTTGTACTGGGTTCCATCCCATCTCCACAATGCCTGGCAAAAGTGCTAATGGAAAGGTCTGAAGCTTTCTGTGCCATGCTTTGCCCATGAGCAATAATTACAAATGTGTATGGCCCAGGGCAGTTTCCAGAGCATTTTCCTGGATTTTCTAATTTAATGGCTGTGACAACCCCATGACATCAATGTTATTATTGCACCTTTATGAATGAGGAAACAGGCTCTGATAAGTAACTTGCCAATCTCCAAAGTGAAACATTGGAAGAACTGAAATGCAGACTCCAAGTCCCCAGCTGTAGCAAACTTAGTTAAAATGAGGGGTTGGGGTGAGATCTGAGGGGTATATGCAGGAGGCCTAGTTCCAAGAGCAATTTTTAATTTCCTGCTTTCATTTGATGATAATGTCAAAAATCGTTTAAACCATTTCTAAAGACAATATGTGAGCTTTTCTCAAACTGGGGGACAAGGACCTTGGGGTCCACAAAATGAGTTTCAGGGATTTTGTGAATTTTTTTTTCTGTTTAAAACAATTGTAAATTGTATTTAAGTTTGAGAAGCACTAGATTAGATGCCCTCGAAGAGGGGATCCAGCTCTAATATGCATTTCATAGATTTACTGTCAAGTAGGAACTGGGTGACTTGTTAGATTCTTTCAACATCTATTCATTTATTCATTTTTTTTTTTTTTTTGGTTAACCATTTATTGAATGCCTAGTATGCTTTGGGATTAAAGATGTTGGAAAAAATTAGACTGTATTCCTGGCTTTGTGGAGCAATGTCCAGTGAGTGAGCAAGATGTGAGGGAAAAACTAAGATACACATACACAAAAATGATATAATGCCCTATGTATTGCAATGGAAGAATTTACAGGGTAATATTATGCACAGGAGGTTGAGGAATTGGTTATGCCTCAAGGAGGAGCTATCGGTGGGGTGAAAGGCACAGCCATGGTTAGTGGAGGAATGAAAGGATGAGTAGCAGTGTTGGGGCCAGGGCCAGGGTGAAGCAAGTGAGGAAACTGGGGGACGATTTAAGGATGTGCTCCCTCTCAGGTATCAAGCCTGCACTTGTGTGACCCTGAGAGTGGGTGCCTTAATCACCTCACCTTAGACCCAGCTCTGAGTGATGTAATGGAACTCTGTTGTCGCCTACCCAGATCCCTTTATGTGAGTAAGACATCCATCCCCCAGCTGCTGTGGAGTTGGCCGCTAACAGCTCATGGCTGACTTTTTCTCCAGAGAATTGCCCTCAGCCAAATGGGAGCTGTCTCACTTCGGACATCATTTCCCTTCCCATTCCCCATTCATGAGTAGCCCATAGCCAAAGAAGAGAAATTGCTAGCATGACAGTGTCAGGGGCACTGTGGACCCACTCCTCAGTGAAACTGGTGACAATTATTTTAAAAAAAAAACCATTTAAAATATCTGGAAATGGTCCCAAGGACATATAGCAAATGAAGAAATATTTATTTAAGAAAATATAGGCCGGGTGCAGTGGCTCACACCTGTAATCCCAGCACCTCGGGAGGCTGAGGCAGGCAGATCACGAGGTCAGGAGTTCAAGACCAGCCTGGCCAACATGATAAAACCCTGTCTCTACTAAAAATACAAAAATTAGACAGGCGTGGTGGTGCGTGCCTGTAATCCCAGCTACTTGGGAGGCTGAGGCAGGAGAATTGCCTGAACCCAGGAGGCGGAGGCTGCAGTGAGCAGAGATCGCGCCACTACGCTCCAGCCTAGGTGGGCAACAGAGCAAGACTCCATCTCAAAAAAAAGAAAGAAAGAAAGAATGAAAATATAATAAAATTTGACATGAAAAGCAAGAGTCTGTTATATTTGAACCCAGACATGCTCCCTCCCTCCACCTTCCCAACTCAGTGAGATGGAAACTCCACTCCAGACTGGTTTAGCAAAGAACATAGGGCTCCTTCTCTCCCCAGTTCCCAGTTGGAGGTAAAGGGCATCAGTATTTCTCATCTGGCCTTCAGTTACCTATCCCAAATATCCCAAGTAAGTGTGGCTGACTGGTGGGGGCTCCTGTCTTCCTCTCAGCTTGCACTCATGGGGTGGAGACTACCTTGGGCAGTAGTACCCACTGAGAATACTGGGACCCCAATTTCCCTCACTCCAGCTTATAAGGCAGTGATCACTTGAGGTCAGGAGTTCAAGAAAAGCCTGGCCAACATGGTGAGACCCCATTTCTACTAAAAATACAAAAATTAGCCAGGTATGGGGCGCCTGTAATCCCAGATGCTCAGGAGGCTGAGATGGGAAAATCGCTTGAACTCAGGGGGCGGAGATTGCAGTGAGCTGAGATCATGCCATTGGACTCCAAATTGAGTGACAGAGTGAGACCCTGTCTCAAAATAAATAAATAAATAAATAAAGTAAAAAAGAAATGACTCCAGATAGTAACTCAAATCCAGAAAAACAAATGAAAAGAACTGGAAGTGATCAGTAAGAAGATTAATATAACAAAACCTATGAAATAAATCCTTATTGTCATTTCTTCTCTCAGCTTCTGTAAGACACAAGAAAACATATATAATAATGATTAAAACAATATATTTTTGGGTTTGTAACATTTATAAATGTAATATGTATAATAATAATACCACAAAAAAGAGAAAAGGGAATAGAGCTATATAGGAATAATGTTTCTATATCTCATTGGAATTAAGTTAGCATAAACCTAAATTTGTCCCTGAAGTTTTGTTGCATATAATGAGCCCTAGAATAACCACTAAGGAAATAACTCAAAATATATAGTAAAAATCATTAAAGTAATTATATGGCTGCATTAAAAACATGCATTTGAGGCATTAAATGAGTATTTAATGAATATATAATACATCAAATGAATATTTAAATGATTAAAGCTGTAAAGGAGGAATAGAGGAACAAAAAACATATGACACATAGAAAACAAAAAAGTCAAATGGCATGCATAAATCCAACTATATAAATAAAAACATTAAACGTGAATGAATTAGACAATACAATCAAAAGAAAAAATCATCAGACTGGATTAAAGAAAGCAAGATCTAACTATATGCTGTCCACAGGAGAAATATTTTGATTCAAAGATACAAATAGATTGAAAGTAAAAGATTAAGAAAATATATAGCATGCAAGTAGCAACCACAAGAAAGCTGGAGTGGGTATACTACTACCAGATTAAATAGAGTTTAAAATTTAAAAACATTAGTAGAGATTTTAAAAAGGATCATTATAAAATGTCAGTCCATGAGGAAGATATAACAACTATAGACATATATGTACCTAGTTACAGAGCACCAAAATATATGTGACAAAAATGGACAGAAATGAAGGGAGAAATAGGAAATTCAATAATACTTGGAGACTTCTATACTCTATTTACAATAATAAATAGAACAACTAGGCCAGAAGACTGAGAAGGAAGTAGAATACTTAACACTCTAAAACTAAGAGGCATTTATGTAACATTCCATTCAACAACACCAGAATATATATTCTTCTTAAGAGTACATGGATTCCTCTCCATGATAGACCATCTGCTGAGCCATAAAATAAACCTCAATAAGTTTAAAAGAATAGAACTAATACAAAGTATGTTCTCCCATCACGATGGAATGATGTTAAAAAGTGAAAACAGAAACTCAGGAAACTCACAATTATGTGGAAATTTTAAAAACACAATCCTAAATAACCAATAGATCAAAGAAAAAATCCAAAGGGAAATTAGACAATGCTCTGAGATGAATGAAAATGAAGACACAACATTTCCAAACTTATGAGATGCAGCTAAAATAGTGCTTAGAAGGAAGTTTATAGTTGTAAATACCTACATTAAGAAATAAGAAAGATCTTGGCCAGGCACGGTGGCTCATGCCTGTAATCCCAGCATTTTGGGAGGCTGAGGCAGGGGAATCACAAGGTCAGGAGTTCGAGACCAGCCTGGCCAAGATGGTGAAACCCCGTCTCTACTAAAAATACAAAAAATTAGCCGGGCGCGGTGGCGGGCGCCTGTAGTCCCAGCTACTCGGGAGGCTGAGGCAGGAGAATGGCGTGAACCCGGGAGGCGGAGCTTGCAGTGAGCCGAGATTGCGCCACTGCAGTCTGCAGTCCGGCCTGGGCGACAGAGCGAGACTCCGTCTCAAAAAAAAAAAAAAAAAAAAAAAAAAAATACAAAAATTAGCCAGGCACAGTGGCAGGAGCCTGTAGTCCCAGCTACTCGGGAGGCTGAGGCAGGAGAATCACTTGAACCCGGGAGGTGGAGGTTGCAGTGAGCCGAGATTGTGCCACTACACTGTAGCCTGGGCGACAGAGCAAGACTCCATCTCAAAAAAAAAAAAAAAAAGAAGAAAGATCTCAAATTGTAACCTCACATTCCATCTTAAGACACTAAAAAAAGAAGATCAAACTAAACCCCAAAAAAGCAGGAGGAAGGAAATATTGAATATTAGACCAGAAATCAATAAAATAGAGAATAGAAAAATTGCAAAATCACTTAAACCACAATTTGGTTTTTTGAAAGATCGACAAAACTGACAAACTTTAGCTAGATTAATCAAGGAAAAAAGAAAGAAGACTGAAGTGATCAGAATCAGAAATAAAAGAGGAAACATTATTACTGACCACATAGAAATAAATAGCATTGTAAAGGAATACTATGAACTGTTATATGCCAATAAATTAGATATCTTAGGTGAAATGGACACATTTCTGAAAAGACACAAACTACCAAAACAGACTCAAAAAGAAATAGACAATCTACATAGATCTATAACAAATAAAGAGATTGAATTAGTAGTATAAAACTGCACACAAAGAAAAGCCCAGGCCCAGAGAGCCACTCTGCTAATCCTATCAAACATTTATAAAAAACAGTACCAAGGCTTCACAGACTTTTCCAAAAATAGAAGAGAACACTTCCCAACTAATTCTGTGAGGCCAATATTACCCTGATACCAAAACCAAAGACATCAAAAGAAAAGAAAGCTACAGGCCAGTATCTTTTATAAATATGGACACAAAAATGCACAACAAAAAAGCAGACTCTGGAAGCATATAAAAAGAATTATATACCATGACCAAGTGAGATTTATCCCAGGAATGAAAAGTTGGTTTAACATTCAAAACGTGATATACCATATCAATAGTAAAAAAACAAAACCACATAATTGTCTCAATAAACACAGAAAAAGCATTTGACAAAAGTCAAACACGCATGCCTCTATCATAACATCTCATGTACCTCATAAATATATACACCTACTATTTAGTACCCACAAAACTTAAAAATAAAAACCTTAGGGCCAGGCACAGTGGCTCATGCCTGTTATCCCAACACTTTGGGAGCTTGAGACAGGAGGATTGCTTGAGTTCAGGGGTTCAAGACAAGCCTGGGCAAAATAGTGAGACTCTGTCTCTACAAAAAATAAAAACCAGGCATGGTGGCACATGCCTGTGGGTCCAGCCACTCAGGAGTCTGAGGCGGGAGGATCGTTTGAGCCTAGGAGGCTGAGCCTGCAGTGAGCCGTGATCGTGACACTGTACTCCAGCCTGGGCAACAGAGCAAGACCCTGCCTTAGAAAAAAAAAAAAGTCCAACACCCTTTTATAATAAAAACACTAAAAAACTGGGAATAGAAGGCAACTAAACCTGATAAAGAGCATCTACAGGAAACCACAATTAACATCATGGTGAAAGACTGTGTGCTTTGCTTTCCTCCTGAGATCAGGAACAAGATAAAAATGCCTACTTTTACCATGTCTATTCAACATTGTACTGGAGATTTTAGCCAGAGCAATTAGGCAAGAACAAGAAATAAAAGGCGTCCAGGTTGGATAGGGAGTAAAACTATCTTTATTCACAGATCTTATATATATTAATAGAAACCCTAAGGAATCTACTAAAGAACTATTAGAACTAATAATTGAATTCAGCATGGTTACAGGATATAACATAAGAAAAAGATCAACTGTATTTTTATATACTTGCATTGAACAATCCAAAAATGAAATTAAAAACAATTTTGTCAGGCATGGTGGGACATGCTTATAATTCAGTGCTTTGGAAGGCTGAGACAAAGAATTGTTTCTGGCCAGGAGTTTAAGATGAGCATAGACATCTTAGCAAGATCCCATCTCTACAAAAATAAATAAATAAATACACAAAAAATTAGCCAGATGTAGTGGCATGTGCCTGTAGTTTGGGCTACTTAGGAGGCTGAAGTGGGATGATTGCTTGAGCCCAGGAGGTTGAGGCTACAGTGAGCTATCACCATGGTACTGCACTCCAGCCTGGGTAATAGAGCAAGACCCTGTCTCAAAATGAACAAACAAACAAAACAATTTCAGTTAGCATAGCATCAAAAATAACACTCAGGAATAAATTTAACAAAACAAGTGCAAAACCTACACTCTGAAAACTAGAAAATATTATTGAAGGAAATTCAAGATCTAAATAAGACAATGTTGTTAAGGTGACAATATTTCCCAAATTTATCTATAGATTCAATGCCTACCTGAATCCCCATCTGAATCCCAGTAGACTTCATTGTAGAAATTAACAAGCTGATTCTAAAATTCATATGGAATTGCAAGGGACTCAGAATAGAACAATTTTGAAAAAAAAAGAACAACGTAAAAAGACTCAAATTTCCTAATTTCAAAACTTACTACAAAACAACATTAATCAGCTAGGCACAATGGCTCACATCTGTAGTCCTAGCATTTTGGGAGGCTGAAGTGGGAGGATTGCTTGAGCCCAGGAGTTCAAGATAAGCCTGGGCAACACGTGAGACTCTGTCTCTATAAAAAATACAAAAATTAGCTGAGTGTGGTGGTGCACACATATGATCCCAGCTACTTGGAGGGTGAGGTGGGAGGATCACTTGAGCCCAGGAGGCTGAGGCTGCAGTGAGCTGTGTTTGCATCACTGCACTCCAGCCTGGCTGACAGCGTGGGACCCTGCCTCAAAACAAAACCCAACATTAATCAAGACAGTGTGGCACTGACAGAAGGATAGACATCGGGATCAATAGAATAGAACTGACGGTCCATAAATAAATATGTCTATGGCCAACTGATTTTTGAAAAGAGTGCCAAGATCATTTAATGGGGAAAGAATAATCTTTTCAACAAATGGTGCTGGGACAATTGCATAGTCACATGCAAAAGAATAAACTTGGATGCTAACTTCACACCATATACAAAAATTAACTCAAAATGGATCAAAGACCTAAATGTAAAAGCTAAACCTATAAAACTCTCAGGCAGGTATGTTGTCTCATGCCTGTAATCCCAACACTTTGGGAGGCCAAGATGGGAGGATTGCATGAGGCCAGCAGTTCAAGACCAGGCTGGGAAACATAGTGAGACCCCTTTTCTACAAAAACAAAAACAAAAACAAAAAAAATTAACTAGCTGGGCATTGTGGTACACACCCGTAGTCGTAGCTACTCAGGAGGCTGAGGTGAGAGGATCACTTGAGTCCAAGAGTTCGAGGTGGCAGTGAGCTATGATCATGTTTTCCAGCCTAGGCAACAAAGCAAGATCCCATCTGTTAAGCAAACAAACAAACAAACAAACAAACAAAAAACTCTCAGAAGAAAACATAGGGGTAAATCTTCATGACTTTGACTTGACAATGGATTCTTATATATGGCACCAAATGTGTGACCAATAAAAGAAAAAATAAATTAGACTTCATTAAAATGAAAAACTTTTGTGCTTCAAAGGACACCATCAAGAAAATTAAAATACCCACAGAATGGAGGAACATATTTGCAAATAATATGTCTGATAATGGACTTGTACTAGAATGTATAAAGAATTCCTCCAGTTCAATAATAAAAAGATATTCCAATTATAAAATGGGCAATAAATCTAAACAGACATTTCTCCAAAGACGATATATGAATGGCTAATGAGCACTTAGAAACATGCTCAACATCATTAGTCAGCAGGGGAATGCAAATCAAATCACAATAAGATACCACTTCACACCCACAAGGATGTCTAGAATCAAAAGTCCAGAGAAGAGCAGGTATTGGGGAGCATCTAGAGAAATCAGAATTCTCAAATGCTGCTCATTGGAATGTAAAATGGTATAGCCACTTTGGAAAACAGTCTGGCAGTTTTCTCAAACAATTATACAGAGAGTTACCATATAACTAAGAAATTTCACCTCTAAATATATACACAAGAGAAATGCAAACCTGTGTCTAGACAAACATACAAATTTTTATAGCAGCACTCTTCATAGCAGTCAGAAGGTAGACACAACCCAAATTTCTATCAACTGATGAATGAATAAATAAAATGTGGTATATCCATACAGAGGAATATTATTTGGCCACAAAAAGGAATGAAATACATGCTACAACATGGATGAATCTTGAAAACATTATGCTAAGTGAAAGATGCCAGTCTTAAAAGACTGCATATTGTGTATGACTCCATTTATATGAAATGTTCACAGTAAGGAAATTTACAGTGACAGAAAGTAGATTAGTGGTTGCTTAGGGCTGGAAGGGATGGAGTATAGGGAGGTGATAATTAAGGGTACAGGGTTTCTTTTTGATGTGATGAAAATCTTCTAAAATTAATAGTGGTGATTGTTGCATATGTCTGTAAATATACTAAAACCATTAAAGTGTATCCTTTTAAATGGGTGAATTGTATGGTATATGTATATCTCAATAAAGATGTCTTTAAAAAGCCGGCTGGGTACGGTGACTCACGCCTGTAATCCCAGCACTTTGGGAGGCCGAGGTGGGCAGATCACAAGGTCAAGAGATCGACACCATCCTGGCCAACATGGTGAAACCCCGTCTCTAATAAAAATACAAAAAATTAGCTGGGCATGGTGATGCGTCCTTGTAGTCCCAGCTACTGGGGAGGCTGAGGCAGGAAGATCGCTTGAACCAGGGAGGTGGAGGCTGCAGTGAGCCGAGATCGCGCCACTGCACTCCAGCCTGGAGACAGAGTGAGACCCTGTCTCAAAAAAAAAAAAAAAAAAAAAAAAAGCCAGCTTCCTGACTCAAGGCAGGATCAGCACTGTAGTACAATTCACACTTCAGAGGTTCCTGAGTGGTCAGGCTGCTCAGGCTGAGACCACATCCTTGCCTAGCTCCTTCTCCCTGTTATCTAGCTTCCTCATTCCCTCTCTTCTGACGGCGTGGCCTTAACAAATCACATGCCCTCAATAATTCCATCTCAGGTTCCGCTTCCAGGGAACTTGATGATTGGTATTGAAATCAGTTCTAGGAAGCAGACTCTAAGAATGGAAATTGCTATGACATTCACCTGGGGTGAACTAGGATGGAATATACAGATGGAATACACAGGCTCATATCACCTCTCTGGCATTTGAGAGTACAGGAGTGTATCAGGTATCTATTGCTATGTAACAAATCACCCCTAAACATAATGGCTTAAAAATGATAATTTATTATTTCTGACAATTCCGTCATAAATTCTGTTCCAACGATCGTCATGGCATGGGTTGACTGGCTAATTCTTCTACTCCACATGGTATAGACTGGGGTAGGCGATGAACTGGTAGGTCAGCTGGGCTCAGCTGAAGTTAGTAGTCTATTTTCTTTTCTAAAATAGCCTGCTTGCTTGCTCTTTCTTTCTTTCTCTTTCCTTCTTTCTTCCTCCCTTCCTTTCTTCCTTCCTTCCTTCCTTTCTTCCTTCCTTCCTCTTTCTTTCTTTTCTTTCGTTCTCGTTCTTTCTTTCTTCCTTTCTTTTTCTTTCTTTCTTTCCTTCCTTCTCCTTCCTTCCTTCGTTCCTTTGTTCCTTCCCTCCTTCTTCCTTCTTCTCCCTTTCTTTTCTCTCTCTCTCTCTCTCTCACAGTGGTGTGATCATAGCCCACTGCAGCCTTGAACTCCTGGGTTCAAATAATCCTCCTGCCTCAGCCTCCCAAGTAGCTGGGACTACAAGCATGTGCCACCATGCCCAGTTAATTTAAAAAAAAATTTTTTTTTTTGAGATGGAGTCTCACTCTGCCACCCAGGCTGGAAAGCAGTGGCACAATCTCGGCTCACTGCAACCTCCGCCTCCTGGGTTCAAGTGATTCTCCTGCTTCAGCCTCCTGAGTAGCTGGGACTACAGGCAGCCACCACCACGCCTGGGTAATTTTTTTTGTATTTTTAGTAGAGATGGGGTTTCACCATGTTGGTCAGGCTGGTCTCAAACTCCTGACCTCAAATGATCTGCTGGCCTTGGCCTCCCAAAGTGATGGGATTACAGGTGTGAGCCACCACGCCTGGCCTAAAAAAAAATTTGTAGAGAAGGGTTGTCTCACTTTGTTGCTCAGGTCCTGGCTTCAAGTAATCCTTCCACATCAGCCTCCAAAAGAGTTGGGATTACAGGTGTGAGCCATTACACCTGGCCAAAACACAGATGTGTTTTTTTTTAAAAAAAAAAACACAATTGGAGTAAATGATACACATTGTTTTACACTGGCTTTTCCATTTAATAATATGGCCTGACAATCATTCCCTGCTACTTCCTTTCTTTTTCCCTGCTGCATAGTATCCCAGAGTTGTATCATACTTTATTTAACCAGTCTCTTAGTCTTATAGTGAACGTCTTTACATAAGTCACTGAGCATGTGCACATGAGCCTGAGTAGACCAGGAGGACAAAGTCTTTAAGATGGAACTGTAGAGTCAAGGGTAAGTGCTTACTACATTATGATAAATGTTGCCAAATGGTTCCTCCTAGAGTCTCAGCCTCAGTTTTCTCATCTGCAAAGTAGGTTTTAATAAAAGTAACTACTCCAAAGTGATGTTGCAAGGTTTCCACTCAATAATCCATGCCAGTAACATAAGGCAAGAAGATTCCACCCACACAGATGCCAAAAAGAAGATGGATCTTAAGTAAAGCCACCCTTAGAGAAGCTAACGGTTAGAAAAACCTTAGGAAAATTGACCAGTCTGGGAGTTTACTATGGAAATCAAGAGTCATTGGGTCATCCACATCAACAATGAAATCACCTGGGATGATTGCAGAACTACTGTCAAGCAGGAACTAAATTCTTCCTGGAATGTGGATGAGTGAGAATAAGGAGGGAAGGTGATACAAGCCAGTGGAACCAGTCTCTAAGGAGGAGGTGTTTTTACACAAAGGTGGAAAGGTTTGGGTTAAAAAGAGCACTGGCCTTTCCTCTAGGATGAAGAATGAAAATGAACTCCCCAACTCAAGATGCTACAGCAGAAGAGGGTTGCAGTTAAGGCCAGGAGATGAAAGAGGTTGAGGCTAGGAAGACTGGCTTAGCAGAGAATGCAGTTCCAGAGATGCAACTCATTGGTTCCATACAGAGTTCTGAGGGCTAGTCCTGACCTAGGTTTGGGAGGGGTGGGAACACTAGGAGGGTGGAGAGAAGGAGTGGAAGGACAGCGACAGCGCAGCTCTGGCAAATGAGAGGAGGTCTCCACAGCCGGGAAGTCTCTCGTGTCAGGAAGGGTGATTTATTTCTCTTATTGTTCTTTTCAAGTTTTTTCAGTAGTGCTGAAGAGCATGTGAAATCTATTAAGAAAAGCCAGCGAGACAGCTGTAGCCATAGCTGCAAATAAATCTCCCCAGTTTACGATGAGTTTTTCCCGAAGCTTTCAATTTCCCACCAACTTCCTGATAACCATTATGAAAACAAACAGTAAAGAGTCAAATTTAAGAATAGGAAGAAATAGATAAAACTATTAAGATGAAAAGCTATGTTTCTAAGGGGAAAAAGTAAAAAAATAAAAAGAGGAAGGAAAGAATCATGGTTCAAAGGCATGAAACAAATTCAAAACAGAAAAACCAGAAGCTTAATCATTCATCTGGGAAAATTAATGGCACAGTTTAAGTATAAAATTATTTTTAAAAGAATTTAAAATCATATAAAATATGAAAATGAACAGCAACAAAAAGTACCAAAATGACCTTTAAATAAATCCCAAAGCCAGTATGCCATGCTCAGTTAATAAAAGGGAATAAAAGGCAAAGAGCAGAAATTATAAAATAAATAAAAATAAAGAAGCTAAATATAAAGTTCTTTAAATGGCCTATAAAACTAAGCTAAATAATTTAAAACATAAATAATTTTTTAAAAAGACGGAAACAAGTAAAACTAGAAGATCAAAAATATTGAAGATAAAATAGTGATTGCTAAAGTATAGCAGGGTGAAAAAAGAAAAAGATTAAAGAAAGAAAAACAGCCCCCCAAAAACATTAAAAATAAAACAAAATGCTAGAAATAATTGTATGCAATTGTTCAAATTGCATACAAAATAAAAAGTTTAGGAAGAAAACATTCAAAACAGAAATATGAAAAGATTGGAAAGATAAAATTAGAAAATAGCAAAACTTGAAAGGTGAATAAAATAATACAATGTCAGAATAAAAAAACATACTAAGACAACACAAAGGTACAAAGGCAAAAATACTTCAGATTAAATCCTTAATGAGGTACAAAATGCACATGAAAAATATTTAAGGGTGAGTGTTTAAGAAGGAATTTAGGGTTGCAGTAGCCACGACAGGGAACTGAAAGGAGGTCCTGGATGGGGGCAGAGAAAGGGAGCAGGACCCCAGCCCCCACCCCCCAGTGGGAGCCCCCGGAAAGCTTCTCCAGGAAAGGAACCACACTGCAATAATAAGCAGCTGGCAGCCCAAATCTGTCAAAGCAACAGAGCCTGCCAGGAGGCCCCCTCACCCCTTGCATGTGCCCAGCGGCAGCTGCAGCAGTCAATAATCTCTATGGATGACAGGCACCTTTTCACTCTGAGAGTCATAAACAGTACAGGACCTGTAAACACATGCACCAACTTGAAGACACACTAATTCCTCCTTTGTAGCTCCATGCTCTTAGGTAAGTTTCCTAACTTCTCGAAGCCTCAAGTTTCTCATCAGAAAAACAGGAATAATTACACCTATCTTATAAGGCTATTTTGAAGACTCCACAAGATAAAGCTTACAAATTATGTTACAAACCATGAATGAATGACAGTCTTTATTATTTATATTATTCACTTGCTAGAAGAAAAAAAGTTCTTTTTTATTACAGCTATACAGAAAAAAAGACAAAATATTTTTAAGGTGTTAGGATTTTCTTGAGGGGGAACCGAAAAGGCTCAACTGGGATATCTTTTTTTTTTTTGGCTTAAAACACCACAAATTTATTATTTTACAGTTCTGGAGCTCAGAATGTTTAAAGTCAAGGTGGCAACAGAGCTGTGTTCCTGTTGGAGACTCAAGGGGAGAATCCATTTCCTTGTCTCTTCCAGCTTTCAATGCCACCTGCATTCCTTGGTTTTTGACCTCTTGCCCCCATCTTCAAAGTCAGCAGCATCTTCAACCCTCCCCCTCCCTTTCTTTCTCTTCCATGACTCCCATTTCCATTATCACATCTCCTTCTGAATCTATCTTTCTGAATCTGAAAAAAGACTTTTGTGATTATATCAGGCCCACTTGGATAATCCAGGTTAATCTTCCCATTTCAAAATCCTTAACTTATACACATCTGCAAAGTCTCTTTTGCATGTAAGGTGACACATTCACAGGTTCCAAGGATTAGGATATAGACATCTTTAGGGTATCATTATTCTGTCTACCACATCCCCTGAAAGGATTAGCCTAGTATCCATTGAAATGTGCATAGGTTTAAGCCCTAACTCTTAGTAGGGGCAAATTATTCAGATCTGGCTCTGAAGACCATCTAGACATCAGACCTCTGCAGTTAAGATTGTTGCTCCAGATCCTTGATCCTTATGCAAAAGGAGCCCAGCACTGAGTCCGGTGGCAAACAGAATCTTCCTCAAAAAGTGCCAGGGGGAGGAGGACTGGAGGCCCAGTGGTTTGTGGTGAAAGCCAAGGGGGCAATGTGCCCTAGACATGTTACCATCCCTGCCCAACAGGAAGTCACAAGGAAGGTAAAAAAGGAAGGAAAACTGGTCAGAAGGAGAAAGAACTCAACCAGCTTTCTACACTTTCTCAGCTCCATTTGAATAGGCTGCATGTGTGTGCGTGTGTGTATGGTGAAATTCACATAACATAAAATTCACCATCTCAATTATTTTAAAGTATACAGTTCAGTGCTGTTAGTACCTTCACAATGCTGTGCAACCACCACCACTGTCTAGTTCCAGAACATTTTCATCACAACCCCCTATGAAATCCCTATATCCACTAAGCTGTCACTCCCCATTGCCCACTCCTTCCAACCCCTAGCCACCATTAATCTTCCTTCTGTCTCTTTGGAATGTCATATTCTGAATATTTCATATAAATTGAATCACACAACATGTGGCTTTGTGTCTGATTTCTTTCACTTAGCCTACTGTTTTCAAGGTCCATCCCTGTCGTAGCACGTGTCAGTACTTTATTACCTCTTATGGCCTAAGGATATTCCATTGTATGGATATAGTGAATTTTGTTTATCCGTTCATTAGTTGACGAACATTTGGGTTGGTTCTACCTTTTGGCTGCTGTGAATAGTGCTGCTTATAAATATTTGTGTATAATTTTTCATTTTGTTTATTCGTTCACTAGTTGATGAACATTTGGGTTGTTTCTACCTTTTGGCTATTGTGAATAGTGCTGCTTATAAATATTTGTGTATAATTTTTCATTCAAGTACCGGTTTTCATTTCTTTTGAGAATGTAACTAGAAGTGGAATTGCTGGGCCATATGGTAAACATATGTTTTTAATAGACCATCTTTAAAAAATACTACATAAATAAAACAATTTTTAAAAATTATTATTATATTCTATTAGTAAGAAAGAGCTCTCAAGCAACCATGAGAAAGGAAAAGAAAGAGAAAAAAACAAAACAAAACATGCATTAGGATGCAGATTCCATTGCTATAAAAGAAACCAAAGTAACAATGGCCTGGACAAAATGTTAGTTTATCTTTCAATTAGGCAACAGTCATGAGGTGAGGGCCACTTCCTTCTGTCTTCAGCATGCAGCTCCCAAAATGACTCCTCCAGTCCCTACTACACTTAAGGTGACCAACCCATCAGTTTGCCTGAAACTTTACCAGTTTTTTCACAGAAACTCCTGCATCAGGAACCCATATAAACTGAGACACTCCAACCTGTATCACTCCAGCTAACTGGAGAGGGAGAAGAGAAAGTGAAGTAGAAATCATGTTTTCCCTTTAAAGAGAAGACCTGGAGGTATATTTACTGTTTCTGTTCTTATCTTATTAGCCAACAGTCCCATGAGCACATCTATTTATAAGGAAGGCTTGGAAATGTAATGTGGAGCTGGACAACTATGGGCCCAGATAAAAACTGAGGATTCATGACTAAAGAAAGGGGAGAATGGCTAGGCAGAGACAACTAGCTGTCTCTGCCAACACACGTGGTAAAGAAAGGTACCAGGACACGATGCAAGTAGGGAGAGATGTGCAAGGAAAAAATGTGGTATGTCACATGTGGTATGTCATTAATTGGTTTATAAGTTTGGTTGTTAAGTGATTATTTCTTCTTTGGATACTTATGATTCACCAGCTGGTAGTAGTGCCATATTAAACAGGTGTCCCTTCCTTCCTTCCTTCCTTCCTCCCTTCCTTCCTTCCTTCCTTCCTTCCTTCCTTCCTTCCTCCCTCTTTCCGTCTTCCTTTTTCATAAGGAACATGACTTTATCAGTCAGGATCCTGGCAGTAGTAGCATGGGTAAGAGATGACTGAGGAGAGTGGAATGAAGGGACTATACACAGGGGAAGGGAAACCACAGGGATGGTGTAATACTCCAGGGCTAGCAACCAGGTAGAACCATTACCACCCCTTGTCTGAAAGGAAGGAGGGGTTATGGGAGCTTGGAAGGAGCAGCTGTGGTTGTTCAGAGGGCCACCCAGCAGGGGCTGTGGCCTCCACTAGAGGAATAAAGTTAACCCAAGACCCAGCAGGGAAAGAAAGAGCCTTGGGAATAAACATTCACCTCTCTCTCCTTCCCTCCAATCTCCTGCCCGACAGGAGGATCAGCCTCTTGGGGCACAGAGAAAGGAGAAGGGCCAATCTGCAGGGGCAGGTACAAAATAGCCAGCAAATCAACTTTTCATTAAAACAGTCCTACTGTACAGTTAATAACTTAAATGAATTAATAAACATTACATAGTTACCTTACCTTTGAAATTAGCCTTAGTATTGTTGATTATAACTTCATTGAATCCAGGCCGGGCACAGTGGCTCACCCCTGTAATCCCACCATTTTGGGAGGCCAAGGTGGGCGGATCACTTGAGGTCAGGGGTTCGAGACCAGCCTGGCCAACATGGTGAAACCCCATCTCTACTAAAAATACCAAAAAAAAAAAAAAAATTAGACAGGCGTGGTGGTATATGCCTGTAATCCTTGGTACTCGGGAGGCTGAGTGGGAGGATTGCTTGAACCCGGGAGGCAGAGGTTGAAGTGAGCCGAGATCACTGCATACTCCAGCCTGGGCAACAGAGCAAGACTCCGTCTCAAAAGCAAACAAAAAACGCTTCACTGAATCCTGGTCTCATATAGATTTGCAATTCCCACCGCAACTCACCTTGAATCTGATTTTGAAACCTGATCTAGGACTCCTGCTTATCCACCAGATTCACTTTGTAGGTTTCTGTCTCTGTTTTCAGTAGGGTATTTTACCATATTATGAAATATATTTTGTTTATCCCTGCAATTATTCCTTTGAGGTAGCTTATTTGATAGCAATGCACTCCCCCTTCCAATAAAAACAAATAAGCCAAACAAAACAAGCCATCTTTCTGAGTATGCATTTATCTGGGGCTTCCAATGAGATGTTTTAAATAGGTTCCACGCTACCAGTAGTTATTAATCTTAAAAAAATCTACTTTTCCTTATAAAGAAGGCATATAAATCAGTAAGACCGGCACTATCTCCCTAACTAATCAATGGACAAGGATATAAATAAATTTTTTAAAAAAGGTAAGAAATATTCAGCTTTACTTGGAATCTAAGAAAATCAGTTTTAAAACCAACCAGGTACAAATTTGTTTACTAGAAAATTCAGGGAGAATGAAAGGATTTAGTATTTCAAAATATTATGCAGCACACAAGAACTGAAAGCACATGCTTCTTGAAGGTCATAATAAGAGGATACAGAACTTGGATAAATTATTTTTTTGGTGAGTTAAAGATACCATAATTGGCACCGTCAAGCTCAAAAACCCATGGAAATAGACTGTGGTGGCCCACAGAAGTAAGCACAGCCACTTTGGGAATGTCCCACAAAGAGCATCTGTGAGTAAGGCCACTGTGTGAAAATGGGGTGATACGTTGGCATGGGTTGCATCCTGAATCTCCTATTTTTCACAGCTCACAGCCAATCCATTGGCAAAGCCTTTAAAATACATCTATAATCTGATCATCTCTCACCACCTCCAGTGCTACCAATATCTCTCACCTGGACCAATAGCCTCCTAACTGGACCCCCAACTTCTGCTGTTGTCCCAAAGAGGATTGTGTTCAAACACGTCAGATCATTATCTGAAAGCCTTCCAGTGGCTTCCCATTTTGCTGAGACTAGAAACCAGAGTCTTGCACTGTCTATAAGGACTGACACTGGCCTTCTGTGGCCTGTTGACCTCATTCCCCTTCACTCACCCTCCTGCAGCCACTCTGGTCTCCATGGGGCATGCCAGGCACACTCCTGCCTTACAGCATGGGCTGGCCCCTCTGCCAGGAATGCTCTTTCCACAGTTACCCACATGGCTTGTTCTCTCACATCCTCAGGTCTCTGCCCAGAGGTCCACCTTCTCACTTAGGAGCCTGTTCTTAGCTTTATTTTTCTTCATAGCACTTTTTACCTTCTGACATTCTGTGCAATAGACTAATTTACTTTTTGCCATCTCCCTACTAGCATCTAAGTTCCAGGAGGGCAAGATTTTTTTCTGTTTTATTAATTATGGCATTCCTAGTGCCTAGAAACAAGGCCAAGCACATAGTAGGTGTTCGGTAAGTCTATACCTATTTCTCCACTATATCTGATAAATACAAAATTAAGCTGTAAGTATCCTTGGGCTGGACTCGCATCGGAACTAAAACAACTTTCCTACCAGTCTCCTATCTCACGGATAGTGTCATCATCTACTCCATGGCTCAAGCCAGAAAGCTGGGAATCATCCTGGATTCCTCCTATACTTTCAGCTCCTCTCTAAGCATCACCAAGTCCTGCTGATTGTTCCTCATTGTTTTCCAGTCCCTTCTATGTCCTTCCACCCTGACTGCCACTAGTCTGGATTAAGCCACTATCATCTCCCCTCTAGATTAAGAAAAGTCTCCCAACTCATCTTCCTGCTGCTCTCACCTCTTCCAATTTATAATTTATGATGTAGTTAATCAAAGGGATATTTCAGAATGCAGATCTGCACAGAGATGCTTAAGCTCCTTCAGTGGTTGCCCCTTACCTTAAGCATATGGTTCATATTCCTTAACATGGCTTAAAAAACCCTTTTCATCTGGGCACCATCTAACTATTTAGCCTCTTTTCTGTAGGCCTACATGCTCTTCCCATGGTATTAAATACTCTCTACATCTCCTCTTTGCCTGGTTTACAGATTTGGTGTCACTTCTTCCAGAAGGCTGGAGCTTTGACAGAACGCTGTACTTCCCTATCATAGCATCCACCACCCACTTTGTCGACTACTCCCACACCCCACCTCACTTACTCACCCTATTCTGTGAGTCCTGCAAGAACGATAATGAAGGCTTGGTGCTCAGCCCAGTCTCAGGGAGTGAGAGATGGCATTGGAGCTATGTCTCAAAGGCAAGCAGGAATTAGGCTTTGGAGAAGGGATGGGTATTCTGGGTTCTCAGTAAAGCATGAGAAAAATCACGAAATCAAGAAACAGCAGCATAGGGATGCGGAAGTACAGCTATGTTCACATTAATCAAGGTTAATATGAGCAGAGGAGGAACAAGTGGGGAGAGGGACAGAGGAGCTCAAAAGCCATCAAGGGTCTTTAGATTGTTCTTTCCAGCCACTGAAGGGTTTTTGCTATGGTCAGATTACACTTCAGGTGGACCATTCTGGTAGTTTTGAGGATGACACATAGGAGGTCAGGGGAGCAGTGAGGGGATTCCACTTCCCTACAGTACATCATGCATGATGACTATGTCCTCAAATCTTCCTTATCAATGGTTGTAACAGCCAAAACAAGCTTTCAGTTTCAATAATTAAGCCAATAATATGCCTAAGTTTTTATGGAGGTGAGAAAATAGTCATAATAATTTTTCTGTTGGAGAAATATTTAAGATAATCTCTGAATTATTTCATTTTTCATGACACTTCCCCAGTTTTCCAAGGTTAGGTTTTCTACAGCTCTTGTTAAACCAGGAACTAGAAGGAGGAAACTCAAAGAATGGATAAAATCATTTAATTTATTGTGGCTTTGTGATAAGAAATGAGAGGAATGCCTCTCTGACTTTAGGCAAATAAGATAGAGTTCAGAAAAACTCTAGACCAAAATAATCTATCAGACTTAAAAAAAATTCATTGATGGTTTTCACCATGAATTTTCTTAACACCATCTCACTTTTATTAATCCCTTGATCTTACCAGTCCAACTGTGAGCTCCTGGATAGTTTAAGAGTTATGACTCTTTGTGCCTTACATATATGTTTCATATTTCACAAAGTGAACCATCTCTTTCTTGATCTATTTGGATAATTTTTCTTATTCTTCAAAGGAACATGCTGTAATACTTTGCTATTTTTAAATCAATTTTATAAATACTGTGATGGAATATGTAGGCAAAATATGCATAACTAAACAACCTCTTTTCTTTCATTAAAATATTTCCATATCTGCCTATCTATCTAATGTATGTTATTTTATCTAACCCTATGTGGTAGGTGTTAGTGGAATAATTTTATCTTTGAGAAAACCAAGCCCCAATCAAATTAGATAATGTGCCCAATCATCCAGTAAGTGACAAAGCTAGGGCACAAATCAGGGCTTGTGAGTCAAGCCTTGTTCTTTCCATTGTGTAATTGCCTCTCCTTTTGTCTATTATTCTACTAGTGCAATTAAAAGCCTACAGCAACACCATGAATATCACCAAAAGAAAGACCCCTCACCCCCAGGAAAGATCTTAAAGGCTAAAAGGACTCTGTGGGAGATAAACCTGATGACAAAAGTAGAGATCTGAGGGGGCAAGACCCAGAAGCACAGCTGATTGTGGGTATGTTGAGATACAGGTGAGAAAGCTTTGTAGAGTCTTTGAAACACCTCTCAGATTCTACTATTACAGTCTACACCTAAGGCAGAGCCATTATGTTGGATTTATGTTTATTTCACAGGTCATCATTGCTTTACTGCCTGTTTTACTCTTATTTTAGATCTGTAAGCCCTTAGATACTTGATTAGAAGGCAGCAATATGAAAAATAAAATGAGTTATTTAAAAATTCTTAATTTTCTTTGAGTACCTTTATGGTTTCTTTTTTTCCTGGTTTCTCTGACCTTCTGGTATAAGGTGTGAGGTAGGGATTCAACTTCACCTGTTTTCACATGACTACTCAGTTTGTGTTGTGGGACTATTTGTCCTATTTGTAGCCACCCAGTGTCATTTGAATCATATTTCTATACTTGTGGATGTTCTAAAATTGTATTCTGTCTCATCAAAGTAAGGCAGATACAAAGTCAATTCCCCAGCTTCTCCTGTGGCTCTGAAGAAGGTGCATGACCTAGGTTTCATCAACTAGGTATGCATTCACGAAATCTTGATTTGGAAAAAACATCATGAGAAGGCAGGTACTACAAAACATAGTTCCCGAAGAGGGTGATGAAGCACAGCAGAAAAACATGGAGAAGTTAGCAACAGCAACAGCAACAGCAACAGCACAACTATGGTGTGAAGTATGTTGCCAGCACCAGAATGCTGCAGTCATTCCTTTGAATAGTTTGACAGGCTAATTCAGTTTCCAAGTGCTTCACCTCAAAGCCTAACTCTCTGGCCCATCTGGAAAATTTGTAATCTATTAATAATGTTTAATATACTTCTTTTCTGTTAAAACTGTCTCAGATTTTATCCTGTAATTGCAAATTAGAACCTATTAATATGTATCTTGACACCATTTATTGAATAATTTATCTTTTCCTCCACTGAGATGAATTGCACTTTTGGTGGACTTCTATTAGTTTCTGATACTGTTTCTGGAAAGATAGTATCAGGAACCAGATTTACCTTCTTGTATGAAACAACAAACAAACAGAAAAACTAGACAAAATATATGAAACAATGGGGTTCAGACATGACATCAAGTGGGGCAGGACAGTGATCCCTAAGAAAGGCAAAGCAAATAAAGTGAGCCCTATGATTACCCCAGCTTACTTTCTTTTTATTTTTTTTCCCTCCCTTCCTCAGATCCTCAGTTCCATCATGGAGCAACTTACTTTCTTGAGAGAGTTTTCAGGCCACAGTGCAGTATGCAGGAACTCAGGCAAGACCTGGAGGTCTCTCTGAATTGAATAGAGTTGGGAGATTGGGAAGTCTAAGGCACCTAGAGTTCCCACACACAGTGGCACAGGGGAAAGAGTTGCATAAAGAGAAAGTTCTAGATTCTGTAAAAGATTCACCTTGTCATCAGCTAAATACTGATCACAGCATGCAAGTAACTACTCAAAGCTAGAGAAATAACTGTCTCAATGGAATGTAGTCAGCAGAGCTCACAGAAGGCTAGGAATAGTCCATGGTTATACCAGGCAGAGTGAAAAACATCATAACTCAGGGGGCATTGGGTAGAGTCCTCTGAAGGGAAAAACAAGCCCTAGACTAATTGCCTCAATAGTATGGTAAAGTTAGCCCTATTGTAATAGCTGCTTGTCCCAGTTAACAAAGTCAAAAAGAAGTCTCAAAAGGATCCAACTGTTTTTACATAACTTAGCTGCATCTCATAACAAAGCTCAGTAATATTTGAAGGAATATAAGAATATCCAGCACCCAGCAGAGTGAAATTCACAATATCTGGCATTTGATCAAAAATTATGAGACACACTATGCAAAATGTGGAGGAAAAAAGATCAGTCAATTGAAACAGACCAAGAAATGTCAAAGAGGGTAGAATTAGTAGACAAGGGTATAAAAACAATTATTATAAATATCTTATATGATCAAGAAATAGAGGAAAGCATGAGCATATGAAGGAGAGACAAGGAAAATGACCCAACCGTACTTCTAGAGATGACAAAAACCAATGTCTGTAATGAAAAATACCAAGGAAGGGATTAGTAGCAGATTAGACATTATAGAAGAAAAAAATTAGGAAACTTGAAGCCAGAGAAACAAAAAATAATCTAAAATAAAACACGTAGGGTGAAAAGACTGAAAGACAATTTAACAGAACATCAAAGAGCTGTGGGACATCAAATGGTCTAATCTATATCCAATAAGAGTAACGAAAGGAGATGAGAGAGGAGAAAACAAACAACATTAAAGAACCCAAAGATTTTCAAATCATTTGAAAATAAAAAACCTACAGGTCCAAGAAAATCAATAATTTCAAGCATAAAAGCATGAATAAGACTATCTCTAGGCATATCATAAGCGAATTGCCTAAACTCACCAGCACACATACACTACAATAAATATTAAAGAAAGTCCTTCAGGCAGAAGGAAAAGGACACCAGATGGAAATCTGGATCTATGTAAAGGGATGAAAAAATCACAAATGGTAACTACATGGATAAATAGATAAGACTTTTTCTTATTATCTTATTCTCTTAATAGACAATTGACTTTAAACAAAAATAATAAAAATGTATTGTGGAGTTTATGACATTTGTGAAAGTAAAATGCAAAACAAATATAAAGGACTGAAAATGGCAGAGTAAGGAAGTTCAAAACTGTGTCTGTCTTCTAAAGCAATGATTAAGTTAGCAAGAGCTGTCATAATCAACTTTTACAGAAATCTGGAACATAATAAAAAACTTAACAACCAGGGGATGCTAAATGAAGAAAGAAGCAGCTACATTTTAGTAAGGGAGCATTGTAGCATTTTAACTTACCCACCTACAAAATTCACTCTCCAGATCATCAGCAGCAGCCACTAAACAAGTCTTAACACATTTTAAAAGATTGAAATTATATAAGATATCTTTTTGACCCCAGTAGAATTAAACTAGAAATCATTAACAGAAAGAAAACTAGAAAATTCACAAAGTATAAATTAAACAACACAGTCTTAACCAATGAGTCAAAGAAGAATCACAAGGGAAGTTAGAATATATCTTGAGGCAAAGGAAAATAAAAACACAACATAACAAAACTTATGAGATCCAGCAAAAACAGTGCTCAGAGGGAAATTCATACTGAAACATGGCATTAAAAAAAGAGAAAGATCTTAAATCAATAATTTAACTGTATACCTTAAGAAACTAGTAAAAGGAGAACAAAGTCCAAAGCTAGGAGAATGAAGGAAGTAATAAAAATTGAAGATAAATGCAACAGAGATTAGAAAAATAATAGAGTTAATGACCCCCAAAGTTGATTCTTTCAATATCAACGAAATTGACAAACATTTAGCTAGACTGATCAAGAAAAAAAGAGAGAAGTCTCAAATTACTAAAATTGGAAATGAAAGTGGAGATATTACTATGAACCTTATAACAATAAAAATATTACAATACTATGAACAATTGTATACCAACAAATTAGATAACATAGATGAAATGGAAAATTCCTAAAAACATACAAACCACTAAAACTTATGAAGAAGAAATAGAATATCTGAACAGATCTATGAGTGAAGAGACTGTAATCTCTTAATCAGTAATCAAAAACCTCCCAGCAAAGAAAACTACAAGACTATATGGCATCAATGGTGATTTCTACCTGGTTTCTTTAAGCATATTGTCTTGCTTTGTCCGTTTTTTCTTTTCAGCTATTTGTGCCCTGTCTTTGAATGCCAAGCATTTAAAATTCTCTTCTACTATGGGTATGTATGTGCCAAGGTTTTTCTCTAGTTATGCTCTGCTCACCTGCTAAGTCTGCCTGGTATATTTGCTGATCTCATAGATACGCTGGTATTTCTTGTCCCTCCTAGCCATGCCTGGTCATGTTCAATGTGCCGAAATGGATCCTGGACAACACAAACAGAGAAAAAGGCAAGGAATCAGGTAATCGAAGAACTATGCAAAAAAGATGTTGCTTCAGAATATAGAAGGTTAGAGGAATTGAGAAGGAATATGTGAGCAATAGATTTAAACTGTCCAAGGTCAGCACAATGTTTATTGAGCAACAACAGTGTGCTAGTAACTATAGATTCAAAGGAAAATAATACAGGATTGAAAAGCCAAAGCAGAATCTTAGAATAAGAAGACAGGCAAGCCCAGTTCAGATGCAGGGAATACAAAAAGATTAGGGTCAAGGTTGAGTCAAAGGCAAGTTGATCAGAGATCATGTTCATCTAAGGACTAAGAGTTTCAAATAGTGGATCAGAGTCAGCCCAGCTGTTATCAGAGGAGTAATAAAAGTAAACAAGAGACTGCTGCCTCTACTCTGGATGTAGAACGCTTCAAGATAATATTGTTCTAACTGTAATGATGAGAATGAGTTAAGAATGTACAGAAGCATAGCTATTTTAAGCCCCTTAGAGAGCTTGCAAAGAAACCTAATGAATGAAAATCCAAGAACTGGCAAGCCCTCCTAGGAAAGAATGGACCCATGGTAAAGTAGCAACTTCAGCAGAAGAGAATATCCATAGATGTACGCAATAACAAAGCAGCTGAGGCTGGGTGCAGTGGCTCATGCCTGTAATCCTGGCACTTTGGGAGGCTGAGGTGAAAAGGATTGCTTGAACCCAGGAGTTTGAAACTAGCCTGGGCAACATAGCGAGACATCATCTCTATTAAAAATAATAATAATAACAATAATAAATTTAAAAAGAAAAAAACAGCTGAATCTTTAATGCAATTGTAATGATGGAATGTGGGACAGTTTCGAATTCCTGGATGGTGAAGACACAGGGGAGTCTGAACCAAATTGATAACTCTTTTCCACAGGACTTTCCAATGAGTGCTCACAAAACAGGTTAGGGTAAAAGACCTGAGAGACAGATGTGCTACACCTGTTGAAATCTGAGGGTGAAGCAAGAGAATGGAGGAGCAATCTGGGCCTTACACAGAATATGAGGGAGCAATTGCCTACCAGTGGGGAAGAGACAGATAAGCTGAGAGACAACCTCCCTGAATCAGGCAGCAGCCATTTATGGCTTGGGGGAGCTCAGTGAGATCCCCTGAGGAGCAGTCACATGGACCCTGCTGACATTTGTGCACACATCAAAAGAAGGAAGGCAAATCCTCCAGGAACTCAGACTCCAAGCCCTGCTAAAAGAAACGTCTTGATATTAGAGGGCCAGGACTAAGGTGAGGCAAATAAGGTGAATGAGGCACTTGCCTTGGGCACAAAAGGGGGAGGCAAGAACACTCAATTAATCAATAAATAATATTTTAATGCAATATTTTAAAAATTCAGTTTGTGCAAAAAGTCCATGATGAGAAAAATATGAAAAAATTTAAAAAGGCCTGAAGTGTGGCTCAGGCCTATAATCCCAGCACTTTGAGGGTCCAAGGCAGGAGGACTGCTTGAGCCCAGGGGTTTGAGACCAGACTAGGCATCATAGGACGACCCTGTCTCTACAAAAATAAAAAAAACAAAATAAAACAAGATTTTTTTAATTAAAAAAAAGTTTTAATAAAGACAGAAATGGTCTTATTGATTTTTCCTTCTGCTTCAGGATTCAATATTTCTTGGTATAGCCCTTACTGATCCTCTCTCTTTCTGCACCTCAGCAAATGCCTCACTTGCCTCATCTTAGTCCTGGCCTTGATCTGCTCTCAATAATTCAAAGTATGTACTAAACTGAGTCTAATTAACATATACAAAGCCCAGTCGCATTCAATTTCAGACTAGATTGTCCCAACCCACTACATTAACAGTATGACAGAAGAAGAGATACACCTTTTCTGAATGTAAGTATTATTTACCCCAAGCTCTTCTGTTATTTGACACACAGTATATGCCAATAAATTTAAGATAGATCCAATCCCCAAGCATCTGAGAACAGCAAGATGCTGCCAGACTCCAGAATCTTGATCTATAAAGTCATCAAGGTGGCTGACTAGAGGTGCCCAACACTCACTTCCTCCACAAAGGACCAAAACAACAAATAACTGCACTTTGAGTAGAGTGCCTAAGAGAGGACAATGGAGTCCAGGAAGGAAGAAACAACAACTCTCTGAAGCACAAAATGTCAAGATGGCAGCATAGAGAGGGAAGTGCAACACCCAGCCAGGATTGGCTCAAAAGAAAGAGGGACACCCTACTGTAGGGAAAAAGTAAGCAGGAAATCCCCAGCAGCCCCCATTACCAACAGTCCTAGCCACAGGAGAACCCCACAGTCCTCATGGGCTTTGAGCACAGTACCAAGAGCTTCCTGGAGTCCACATGGCAGCAATATTCCAGAAAAAAAACCCATGCTAGGAAATTTCCACTCCCTAGGACCAAAGTCACTAAGGCACAGTGCCATTTTGAGAACACAGCCACTGCTAGAGTACATCCTGCTCTGGGTCTCGATAGCCACTGCATCTTCACATTGTTGGGGACCCAACATCAACCCACAATGCCCACACAAGAGGCTGCAATGCCACTACCCCAGCTAGACCCAGCAGTACAGCCATGGCACTGGCACAATTCAAGCCCACATAGCACCATACACCCCAAGGAACAGGGAGTCCTGCACAGCAGGGAGGCGGCCCCAAAGACTGAGGGAGATAATGTGTGTGTTTCCCAGGGCTTGAGAACCTCCTGCCTGGCCCCTGCCACTGCCAGCAACTCCACCCTCTTGACCAGTGGAACTGCTGAGCATGTGCCCCAGGAAATGGAAGCTAGCTTATCTAGTACCCACCACTGCCAGCAACTCTGATCCCTTGACTGGTGGAGCTGCCACGTGCAGAGCTCACCTCAGGGAGTGGGGACCAAGGACCAGCTGATTTGACACCTACTGCCACTTGTGCTGCCCCTCAAACTGGCAGAGCCACCATACCTGACATGGGACACTCTTCCACCCCCAGGGCTTGAGAACTGGCTGACTTGGCAATTTCTGCCCACAGAAAAGCCACACAATTGCCTCCACAAATGCTCATAATCTAGGCCACTCATGCACTTTCAAATACCACTGATGTTAATTATAGCCAAAGAAATCATATGGAGACTACATTGCTGTGCCCAGGCAGAAACAAAGCCAAAGCACCCTATCCAACTGACAGTATAGAATACACAGAAAAAAAAAAAAGTCCTTCCCTACAAAAGCTACTCCACAAAATTGGAAGAGGTAACTGTTCCACCAGATGTGCAAATATCAATGCAGAGACATAAGAAACACAAAAAAGCCAGGAAACATAATATCTCCAAAGAAGCACAATGATTCTCCGGTAATAGACCTCCCAAAAAGGAAATCTATGAAATGTCAGAAAAGGAATTCAGAATAATGATCTTACGGAAACTCAGCAAGACACAAGATAATACAAATAGGCAGCTTGATGGAATCAGAAAAACTATTCATGATCTGAAAGACAAACTCAACAAAGAGATACATTTCATAAAAAAGAACCAGACATAAATCTTGGGTCTAAAGAATTCACTGATCGGAATTAAAAAAAAAAACAAATGAGAGATTCAACAATAGATTGGATCAAGCAGAAGAAATAATTTCTGACCCAAAGACAAGTCTTTTGAAATAACCCCATCAGACCAAAAATAATAAAAATAATAATATTAAGAATAAAGAAGGCATACAGGACTTATGGGACACCAATAAATGAACAAATTTTCACATTTTGGGAGTTTCAGGAGGAGAAGAGATGGGAAAAGTCATATAAAATATATGTAATGAAATAATAAATGAAAACTTTCCAAGTCTTGGGAGAAACATAGATATCCAGATCCATGAAGCTCAGCGGTCCCTAATAGATCCAACACAAAAGGTTCTCTCTGAGGAACATTATAGTCAAACTGTCAAGAGATAATTAAAGACAATGAGATAATTCCACAAACAGCAGGAGAAAAGTGTTAAGTCACATGTACAAGAATCCCTATTAGGTTAACAGCAGATTTATCTGCAGAAACCTTACAGACCAGGAAAGAATGGAAAGATATGCTGAATACTCTGGGAGAAAATCCAAACTCATTGCCAAGAATACTATATCCAGAGCAAACATCCTTCAGAAATGAAGGAAAAGTAAAGTTTCTCCCAGAAAGCAAAATCTGAAGGAATTCATCACCAGTAAGCTGGCCTTACAAGAAATGCTTAAGAAAGTCCTACATCTTGAAGTGAAAAGATGATAATTAACACCATAACACATGGGAGTATAAAACTCAGTGGTAGAGCAGATGCACAAATGAGAAAGAGAAGAGAATAAAATCTTATCCCTGTAGAAAACCACCAAACTGCAAAGATAAACAAAAAAAGAGGACAAAAAATCAAAAACAAAATATATACAAAACAACCAAAAACAATTAACCAAATGAGAGGAGTTAGTCCTTACCTATCAATAATAACTTTGAATGTAAATAGATTAAATTCTCCAATTAAAAGGTATAGATTGGCTGAAGGGATTTTTAAAAGGCCAAACTATTATATAACATATGCTGCCTTCGAAAAAATTCACTTCACCTATAAAGACACATACGGACTAACAGCAAAAGTATGAAAGAAAGATATTACACACAAATGTAAACCCAAAAGAACCAGGAGTAGCTATACATATATCAGATAAAATAGACTTTAAGTCAAAAACTAAAAGAATACAACGAAGGCCATTCTATAATGATAAAAGGACTAATTCAAAAAGAAGATATAACAGTTGTAAATATACGTATGCATCCAACACTGGAGCTTACAGTTATATAAAGCAAATATTATTATATATTATATATAAAAGGAGAGATAGACTCCAATGCAATAATAGTTGAAGGTTTTAATATCCCAATCTCAACATTGGACAGATCATCTACACAGAAAACCAACAAAGAAACATGAAATTTAAACTGCATAATAGGGCCAGGCATGGTGGCTTACACCTGTAATTCCAGCATTTTGGGTGGTTGAGGCAGGCAGATCTCTTGAGCTCAGGAGTTTGAGACCAGCCTGGGCAACATGGTGAAACCCCACCTCTACAAAAAATACAAAAATTAGCTGAGTGTGGTGGCATGTGCCTGTAGCCCCAGGCACCTGGGGGGCTGAGGCGGGAGGATCACTTGAACCTGGGAGGTTGAGGCTACAGTGAGTCATGATTGTGCCACTGCACTCCAGCCCGGGCAACAGAGCAAGACTCTGTTTCAAAAATAAATAAATAAACTGCACAATAGACTGAATGGACCTAACAGTTATTTACAGAACATTGCATTCAAAAGATAAAGAATACACATTCTTCTCACCACCCATGGAACATTCTTCAGGATAGACCGGATGTCAGGCCATGAAACAAGTCAACCAATTTTTAAAAATTGAAATTATATCGAGTATTTTTTTCTGACCACAATATAACAAAATTAGAAATCAAAGGCAAGAGGAACTTTTAAAACTGTACAAATGCACGGAAATTAAACAACATGCTCTTAAACAACCAATGAATCAATGAAGACATTAAGAAGCAAATTTAAATATTTTTTGAAACAAATGAAAATGGAAATACAACACACCAAAACATATGGGATACAACAATAACAGTACTAAGAGGGAATTCATAGCAATAAATGCTTATATCAAAAAAGTAGAAAGGTTTCAAATAATCTAATGAAGGACCCTAAGAAACTAGAAAAGAAAGAACCAAACCCAAAATCACAGAAGGAAAGAAATAATAAATATCAGAGCAGAAATAAATGGAATAGAGACTAAAACAGAACTAGAAAGGATCAACAAAATGAAAAGTTTGTTTTTTGGAAAGACAAAATTAACAAACCATTAGCTAGACAAAGAAGAAAGAAGACTCAAAATAAATAAAACCAGAAATAAAAAGGAACATTACAACTGATGCCAGAGATATATAAAGGATTATTAGAGACTATTATGAACAACTATATGCCAACAAATTGGAAAATATAGAGAAAACAGATAAATTCCTGAACATATACAACCTACCACAACTGAACCAAGAAGAAATAGAAAACCTGCACAGATGAATAATGAAAAATGAGACTAAAACAGTAATAAAAAGCCTCTCAACAAAGAAAATCCCAGGACTGGATGGCTTCACTGATGAATTCTATAAAATATTTAAAGAAGAACTAATACCAGTTCTTCTCAAACTATTCCAAAAAATTGAAGACGAGGAAGTTCTTGCTAACTCATTTCACAATGCCAGCATTACCCTGATACCAAGACCAGCAAGAATGCAACAACAACAAAAGAAAACTGCAGGCTAATATCCTTGATGAACATAGATGTGAACCTCATTAACAAAATACTGGCAAACCAAATTCAACAGCACATCCAAAAGATTATATATCATGATCAAGTAGGAGATTTATCCCAGTGATGCAAGGAAGGCTCAGCATATGCACATCAATAAATATGATACACCACATTAACAGAATGGAAAAAAACACATATGACCATCTCAATAGATGCAGAAAAAGCATTTGATAAAATTCAATATCTCTCCATGATAAAAACTATAAAAAACTTAGGTATGGAGGGAACATACCTCAAAACAGTAAAGGCCACATATAACAAACTGACAGCCTACATCATACTGAGTGAAGAAAAGTTGAAAGCTTTTTCTCTAAGAACTAGAACAAGACAAACATTCCCACTTGCACCACTTGTATTCAACATAGTACTGGAAGCCGTAGGCCAGCCCAGAGGAATTATGCAAGAGAAAGAAAGGGCATTCAAATTGGAAAAGAGGAAGTCAAATTGTCCTGTGTGCAGATAACATGATTTATACATAAAAAAATCAAGACTCCACCAAAAAACTCTTAGAACTGATAAATTCAGTAAAGTTGGAGGATATAAAATCAATCTACAAAAATCCAAAAAATCAAAAATGAAGGTGAGGTTGGGTGCAGTGCCTAACACCTGTAATCCCAACGCTTTGGGAGGCCAAGGTAGGAGGATCACTTGAGGCCAGGAGTTTGAGACTAGCCTGGACAACATAGCAAGATCCTGTCTCTAAAAAAAATGAAGGTGAAATTAAAACCTATTGAATAGATGAAAGCTGAAATAATTTATCTCCAGCAGGTCTCAACTTCAAGATATACTAAAATAAGTTCATTAGAGTAAAATAAGAGCTAGACTTTACCTGAAAGCTGCAAAAATTAATAGTTTAGATTTATGTATAATAAACTTATTTAAACTTATTCCATAAGAAGAAAAATTAAGACAACTTATTTGAAAACAAAGATGAAGTCTCATCTTCCAATTGACTTTCTCATTAGTTTCTTCCAAAGTAAGGTCTCAAAGTGGTGACTGACACTTTTTTCATAATGAACCCTTTCACAACATTGTATAGCCTGTGGTAAGTACAAAGGTAAAGGAAGACATATTTAAGAGCTTTACTATCAGTATTAACTCTTCCTGGTTCAATTGTGTTCTTTTTTTGTCTATTAAGTTAAAATACAAACCAACATTGATATTCACTTTCCAATATGTTAAAACATAATGTTACTTATGAAAAATATTTTTCATGTAATTGTGTTATGTCTTGTATATATACCTCAAAGTCAAATGAATATCTTTCATGTATGTTCTAAAACAACATAAACAACACAACATTAATAATATCCTTAATTATAAACATAGTAAGATGTTTTGCCATTGCTGCTAAATGACATTTTGTACTTCTTTCCTTATGCTCTCTGTATTGTATTAAACAACTCCCAGTGCTGTTGAACTGCTCTTATTTTAAAAAACAAAACAAGAAAAAACCTTGACATTGCATACATTTTTTGGTTAATCAAATCATATACATAGAAACATGTAATGCAACTGAGTTGAATATATATCAAATTCTTGACTTAGTATTACCAATGAGCAGAAATGCACAGTAAGCAAATATTTTATTATGCCCTTTATTTGTCCTTATTGATATCTAAATTACTGAAAAAGGTATGAATCTATTTCTTAAGGCTGATTAGGCTGAAGGGAAATTATATCAGATGGAAGTCTGGTTTTTCAGGAAGAGATGCAGAAAGAGTAAAAATGTTGGAAAATATAAAGAGCAGAAAAGGAAAACAAATAAAACATTAAGAAGTGTTTTTAAACCCAAACATATTCATCGTATCCAAGAACTGAAAACAGTTCAGATATCCATCAACAAAGCATGGACATATTGGCTGGGCACTGTGGCTCACACCTGTAATCCCGGCACTTTGGGAGGCTGAGGCAGGTGGATCACCTGAGGTTAGGAGTACGAGACCAGCCTGGCCAACATGGTGAAACCCCATCTCTACTAAAAAACTACAAAAACTAGTCAGGCATGGTGGCACGCCCCTGTAGTCCCAGCTACTTGGGAGGCTGAGGCTGAGGGAGGAGAATTGGTTGAACCGCGGAGGCAGAGATTGCAGTGAGCTGAGATCACGCCACTGTACTCTAGCCTGGGCAACAGAGCAAGATGCTGTCTCAAAATAAAACAAAACAAAAAAAGCGTGGACATACAAACTGTGGCATATTCAGACATCGGGATACTACCCAGCAATGAAAAGGAACAAAATTCCTATAGATGTGATGACCTGGATGACTCTCAAAAACATGTTGAGTAAAGGAAGCTAGACACAAAAGAGTATATACTGTATTACTGCCTTTAAATTAAACAACGGGCAAAGGTAATTTATGATGATAGAAACTGGAACAACAGTTACTCTGGGAAGGAGTACTTCCTTCCCAGCATGAGGGAATATTTAGAGGTCATGGAAATATTCTGTCTCAGACTTTGGCAAATCTTTTCTATAAGGAGCAAAAGTATTATTATTTTTGGCTTTCAAGGACATACAGTCTCTGTTATAACTACTTAAGTTTATCACTGTAGTGTGAAATCAGCCATAGATAAAACATAAACAAATGGGTATGGCTATGTTCTATTAAAATATTCTTTATAGCTGAGTGCAGTGGCTCAGGCCTGTAATCCCAGCACTTTGGGAGGCCAAGGCAGGTGGATCACTTGAGCTCAGGAGTTCGAGAGCAGCCTGGACAACATGGCGAGACTCCATCTCTATTTTTAAAAAAATTATTAATAAAATAAAAATTAAAACAATATTATTTGTAGACACAAAGAATATAATAATAATATAATAATTTCTCACCAATTATATAAAATTTGAATTTTATATAATTTTAATGTGTCACAAAACATTGTTCTCGCTTCCCCCTCATATATTAAAAAATGTAAAAACCACTCTTGAAACGCTGTAGAAAATTAGGCAGTGGAACAGATTTGGCCTGTGGCTGTAGTTTGCTGACCCCTGTTCTATATCTTGATGGGGTGTAGGTTATTTGGATGCATGTAATTCATAAGCTGATAAAAATGTTCACTTAAGATCTATGCTTTTCTCTGGATATAAATTATTCCTCAACAGAAAAAGTCTTTAAAATACCCAGAGGCAAGGAGCTTAGCGCTGACACTCTGGGATGACTTCATTAATTGTCACAGGTGCTTTGCCTTAACAGAAATAGCATAAGACATTTAGATTTTCACATAAAACACGAGTTATTCTTGTGCTATTTCAGGGAAGCAGATTTAGGCAAAAATATTGTGCTCTAATTGTTTTGAAATTGAGAAATCAAGGTCAAGCATATTCCAAATTTTCTGTTGCCAACTTTCTTAAGGCATTTGGGAACTTCTGATGTCCTCTGGAGCTAGGGTTGACACAGCAAGTTAGTGTCAGGATTTGACTGGAATATATACCCTGAAGCTTGGATAATTTTTACTAACCAGTGGAAGTTATTTCTGGCAATACCCAGTGGCTAAAATATATTTGTTGGCAGTTTCAATATCCTGCTGCTCAGTCCTCCATCTGTCTTCACCTCAGTGTATCCTTTGACCTTACTGCATGGTCTTCCAAGTTGAAACTCTTTTTGGCTTGCTTCCAGAATGTACCTCTCACCTGGTTCTCCTGCTGCTTCTAAGAGATCTCTTGGTCTTTTCAGTGCCCACTGCTGGTCCCTACATGAATGCCCTCCTCACCCTCCTTGGGGTCTGACATCCATGTCAAATCACTCTCCTACACACTCTCCTCCCCCTCCTCAGGCTCTGTTACTCATGCCAGGCTTTCTTCTCATGTAAACAGTCTCTTCACTCTGTTTGGGCTCCAACATACCACACTAGGCTGCCCCCATTCATGGATGCCCTCCTCACCTCACTTGGACTCTAGATAACCCAGGCTAGGTTAACCTTTTGTGTGTCTACCCTTCTCACCCCACTTGGGCTCTGACTGTCTATGCCCGGCTATTACTCCTTACTCTTTAGAGCTCTAACATCCCATGGCTGACAGCCTCTCCTTATTAACACCTATCTTGCTCTGCCCCTCCTAATGGCCTCAAGACTGAAATGTTTAGAAAGAGGAAAGGAAAGAGAAAAAAGTAGAAGAGAGGAGGGAATTTTAAAATATTTTATTGGATTTTAAAATATGTAGCATTTTGATCTACCTGGAACTTATTTTCGTGAATGTTGGTGTAGGAATCTTGGTTATATATACATTATATACTTTTTTTTTTTGAGACAGAGTCTTGCTTCGTCATCCAGGCTGGAGTGCAGTGGCGTGATCTCAGCTCACTGCAACCTCTGCTTCCTGGGTTTAAGGTTCAAGTGATTCTTCTGTCTCAGCCTCCCGAGTAGCTGGGATTGTGGATGTGCACCACAACAGCCAGCTAATTTTTACAGTAGCGATGAGGTCTCACCATGTTGGCCAGGCTGGTCTCAAACTCCTGACCTGAAGTGATCTGCCACCTCAGCTTCCCAAAATGCTGGGATTACAGGCATAAGTCACTGCGCCCGGCTTATATATACATTTTTAATGGATAATCAATAGACCTCAAAGCATGTATTGCATAGTTTATTCTTTACACCCACTAGAAATATGTCGATCACAAACTAATTTTTAATATACACTGGGTCTGTTTCTTTGTTCTCTTCATTACTTATATATTTATGTCTTGATGTTTTTATTTGTTGTTTTGTTAGAGGAGAAATGACATATTTATCAGATCATATCAAGAGACAGAATTTTTCATCTTCTTTATACATGTCAGCAAAGTCTAATTTTCTTCATATAGGTTGTGTTCATTTCATGTATTAATTTTTAGGGATTACATGTTTTATTATCATTAATGGTTTTTATTTTTCTACTGTATGTTCTAATTGATGCTTGCTAAGGAATAGGAATTCTTTTGATTTTCGTTTGTTGATCTTTTATTGCATTATCTTTTTGATTCTTGTTTTAATTCTAATAATTTGTCACTGATGCTTTTGATTTATCTACAAATGTTTTGGGCTTTTTCTTCCATTCCAATGTTTACATTGTATTATTTTTCTTGTCTTATTACATTAGCAATTAACCTCTATTGTAACTTGAATAGTAATGACAGCATTGGGCATCCTTATCTTGCTCCTGACTTTATTGGGAATTTTTCTAAAATTTCACAATTAAGTACAATGTTTAAGTATATTTCTGGTAGATATCCTTTATAGAGTTATAAAATTTTCTTTTCTTGATAGTTTGCTAAGAGTTTTTATAATGAATGAAAATGAAGTATATAAAATTTTTGGTGTATCTATTGAGATAATCATATGTATTTTCTCCTTTAATTTGTTAATGTAGCAGATTCCATTAATGAGAGTTAAAAATTAAATTTTAAAAGTAACATGTGAGTACATTTACCTTATAAAATGAGAGAATTACAGGGAGTGGGGAGATTGGGTAGATGTTGGTCAAAGGACACAAAATTTCAGTTAGACAGGAGGAATAAGTTCAAATGATCTAATGTACATCATGGTGACTACAGTTAATGACAATATATTGTATATTTGAAAATTGCTAAGAGTGGATTTTAAGTGTTCTCACCACACAAAAAAAGATGAGTATGTGAGGGAATGCATATGTAAAATAATTTGATATAGCCATTCCACAATGTATATCTATACCAAAACATCATATTGTACACCATATAGTTTTACCTGTCAATTAAAAATAAGGTGATAAAAATGTAAATACAAAAAAAGTGTATTTATAAAAAATTAGAATTACAAATAATATGTGTTGTCTTTGACTAATACCCCTAATTCTAGTGTGCACCCCCTAATACCAGTAACCATTACTGTAAGTTTTAATAACCATATTTAACAGAACATATATACTGTTGTTTTTGTATGTGTATTTTGAAATAGTACCAAATGCAAATTTCTTTTTCATTCATAATGTATTTTGGTAACTATTTTTATTGGAACATCTAGCTGCTTTGACTCCTTTACAAATCCTCTACAACTTTCCAATATATGCATTACATTCCATTTATTGTTAATAATTTTATTTATTCCTTCTCCAACTGGAGTACACTTAGGTTATTTGCAGATGTTTTTTCGTTCATATGTGTGTGGGTGTTTTTCTGTGGTACGTAACTTATATTCCTAGGTTTTTAGAAAGTTTAAAAACATTTTTTAAAAATTATGGGTGGTATTGAATATAAGTGTACACTTATAATCTTCTTAGTTTTCTATGTAATTTAAAAATACTCTTAAGATCACAAGTGTTCAATGTGACTGCATGCTCTATTTAGCCCTAAGGTGAATATACGATTTTTCTTTTTTAACCTGTCATGGTGAATTTTAGTAATTTTCTAATCTTGAAGTATCTTTGCATTCATATAACACTAATTAATCATATCAATTACCTAAAAAAAATGCTGCTGGATTTAATTTGCTGGTATTTTATAAAAGAATTTCCCATCTATGTTCCTAAGTATAATTGAACCATAGTTTTTCTTTCTTATACTCGCCCAGTTCAGAATTTGTGAAACGGTTTTATAACTTTTATAAAATGCATTGGATATCTTTCCATCTTTTCTAAGCTCTGAAATAATGAATTCAACATAGAAAGTATATGTTCCTTCAGGTTCAATAGAATTTTTCCCTTGAGTTGTTTTTCAAATTAATATTTAATTACATAATCTAAGTTCTCCATATCTTCCCTTATATTTTACATTTGAGTTGCATATTTCTGAGATATTTATGTCTTCTACTCTGAAAACAAATTGTCAAATTTGTAAAATTTCTCATCGTTCATAGCGTCACCTTAGGATAGGCCATGTTTTTAGATTCATAACAGTTCAGGAGACCATACTGTCTTCATGGACTTTATCTTTAATATAAAATCCTTTCTCTTTTGATACTTTTAATTGTATTAATATTGCTATACTGCTTTCATTTGGCTACCATTTGATTAAATATTTTAGCCCAGTATTTTCAAGCTTCCTGTTTTGTAAGCATTTGCTTATGGTCAATTTATAGCTGGATTGTCCTTTTATTCCCAACTGTCTTTTAAAACTTGTGAGTGAAATTAACCCATTTACATTTATTGTAAATACTGATGTTTGGACTTTTCACATGAAAAACATTTTTACCATATGTTCTGGTTTCTTTTGCTTATCTCGTTCCCATTTCTGCCTTCTTTCAGCTGGATAGGTTTTTTCTTCTCATTTAGCAGCCCCCTTCCTTTAAATGGTCTACAGATTATAAATCCAATTTAATTCTTGTTACTAACTTTAAAAACTTAAAATCACATTCAGAATATGTATATTGAAAATCAACATCCAGAGTTGATTTGCATCTATAATCCCTTATATGTTTCCAAACATTCTCTGATTATACGTTTCCACGCTTGTAAAATGGGAGGCATGAGTTCTTCTTAAGGATTAAATGTGATGTAATGTCAAACACTAGCCTTTATGAACATATCTTCAATTTCTTCATTCCATTTCTTTTTCATTCAATCAAAATACTTCAGGTCCAGAGCACACAATCACCTCTAAACTCCTTTGTCCTTCAAAGTCACCTTCTCTTTCATCTCTTCCATCATTCATTATGGCCTTCAACTACTTTAAATTTCTTTGTAAGTATCTGAATACCTTCTCAATCCCACTTTGGAGAAAAAAAAATCTCATTATACATTGTATTTAAAGGTCTCTTTTGCTCTAAATTTAATGAACGTCATTATCCAGTAACTCCACGCCTTTCTTCATTTATCCTTCAAAATGGCGGACTTTAGACGTTCCACGATCAGTACCACGTGCGCCTGCGCCTCCCGCAGCCATTTCGCCCAGCAGCCTAAGCTCGGCGAGGCGCCTGCGCACGAGCCTCCAGAGCACTATCGCTCCTCCCTCTAGCTGAGTACGCCTGAAACCGCACGTTCTCTTCCCTGCCCTCCCCCGCTAACCCTGCACCGCCCTCACCCTTTCCTGTGAGATTCTTCCGCCAAGTGGAAGGCTCATCTTCGGTCGACAGCCTACGCGGTTGAAGAACAATCCAGTAGGCACTTATAGCTCAGGGTCTCGCCATTCAGTCTTATCTATGCGCCACAGCAATTTTCCTCCGGGCCCCAAAGTTGATAACCGATTTCGCGGGACTTTTTTTTTGCATACTGTGAGGCAACAAATGGAAAGAATAGGCCTATGGCGGAGGGATCACTCGCTTATTCTCTGTGTACTTTAACCTAATGGGGGTCGCCCGGGAGTCGGAAGGGGGAGGGGAAAGGGAGGAGGCAGCCAAGGAATTGTTTTTTTCTCTGGCCCCGCCCTCGCCCGGGGGGCCAATGGTGATGATCTGTTTCCCCCGGAGCCTCGCCCAGCTCCTGTGTTTCAGCCAATGAGCGGCGGAAGCGGCTCCGAGGGGGGCGGGTCCGGGAGGCTGTGCGTGTCTTGTGAGAGCTCTTGAACCAAGTCAGCGCTGGAGTCGGCTAGGCGGCTGGAAACGGCGGCTGCCGCCGGTGACTCAGGGAGGCGGGAGGCGGGGTAAGAGCGCCGCGGCCTCGGCTGCGGGGAGAGGGGAGAGAAAGGTGAAAGCGCCGAGCGCGCGGCCCCGTCGCCCGTTGGCAGCGGCGCAGGCCCGGGAGACGGGCGCCCGGGGTTCGGGGCCGGGGAGCTGGGCGCCGGGGCGGGGCGGCGGGGCAAGTGCGGAATCGCGGGCTCGCCCACCCTCCCCCGTGGGGCCGCCCGGGGCGGGGACCCAGCCGCCCGGGACCGGCTCTCTGCACCAGGGGCCTTTTCTTTTCGGGGCTGGGGGCTGAGCACTTTCAAATCCACTCGAGCCGCAGATAATTTTTCCCTCACTCCCTCTGCGGTTGCGTTTGAGCTGTTAGAAAAGCCAAACTTGGGAGAGCGAGGGTCACGCGGCGCTGGGGCCCGGGTGTGTGGCGGGGGAGGGCGGCGGGGGGCGGGAGGGCGCAGGAGGGGGGCTCGGTGCGGGTCCGCCCGGGGCCGCGTCCTCGCGCGGGTTCGGCGCCCTCCGCCCGCCCTCCCTGCTGTCTCCGCCCGGCCCCCTCCCACCGGCCGCCCCCGTCGCATTTTGTTTTTGTGTTTTTGCAGGGAGGAGCTCTTCCTGCAGGCGTGGAAACCATGGTGCTCACGCTCGGAGAAAGTTGGCCGGTATTGGTGGGGAGGAGGTTTCTCAGTCTGTCCGCAGCCGACGGCAGCGATGGCAGCCACGACAGCTGGGACGTGGAGCGCGTCGCCGAGTGGCCCTGGCTCTCCGGGACCATTCGAGCTGTTTCCCACACCGACGTTACCAAGAAGGATCTGAAGGTACAGGCGGCTCCGGGCCTCTGCCACCGGACGTTTCGCAGTTACCGTGGTAACGCGACCATCGGTTCCCTCCTTCCGTTTTCTGAAAACGGAGACCAGAAAGTTGGCATATGATCTGAAGGTGCAGGAAGCTAGATCTTGAAAGTCTTTGGAATGGTTGTATAGAGCCGAGTTGTGTTTGGCCCACAGCTCC
The DNA here is from genome assembly GCF_000001405.40 of Homo sapiens. Lineage (NCBI taxonomy): Eukaryota > Metazoa > Chordata > Mammalia > Primates > Hominidae > Homo > Homo sapiens. Next base: position 86,442,427 of record NC_000002.12, read on the forward strand.
TGGCTGCCTGGCTTTAATAATGGGCTTAGGGTTGTTCAGACACGCTTCATTAATGCCGGTGCTGTGTCCCACCAGGACTGTCTCATCTTTACTGCAGAGGAGGAGGAGTATTTTTGTTAGCGTTAGGTAGGGCCTGTAAGTGACGTTTGGAGTCATTAAGAATTGAAGGTTAGTGCTTGGAAGTACTTTCAGCTGGTTTTGTTTGTTTGTTCCTGTTAATTTATTCACTCAACTTTTAAAAAAACTTTCAGACTTGTTAAAAATGAAGTGAGTGTAGAGGGAGGAGCTTAAGTTCTGTTTGGCGTATTAGGATGGGTGTTTGTCCGTATATGGTGGGTCAGGGCAGGAGTGGGTTCCTGGTTGTCTGTGATGAGCCGGTGGGTGGGTGTGGGATATGACCATATATGGAGGGATGGGGTGGAGCTGTCCCATATATGGCATATTGGAGGACTGGCTTAGAAATACTGCACTTGGACGCATGAGGGGAGGGAGAGAATTGGGAACAAGTGCGGCCAGTGATTTTTTTTTAAATCATTATGACACTCAGAACCTTTTTCTGTTAGATCTTTTCAAAGACAGATGAATTCTGATTGTGCTCCCTAATAGAAGTATTGATGTGAAAGGATTGTCTGGGAACAAGCAGTGAGGAAGCCATTGTACCAACAAAGACTCCTTTGTGCGAAAATAACTGAAAAAAGGTTCCTAACAAAGACTCCAAAGTGGTGATAACTTGAAGGAAGCTTGTCAGAACAGAAGATATTTCCACCCTGCCTAGTAGATGTGTTTCAGAATCTTCACTTGGCCATCATCTTTGCTTTTTCTTAAACTATGTTCAAATAAAGGCAGCAAGTTTTAGCATTGGCAGTTGATTATATGTTGATTTCTGAAACACTGTTCATTTGAACACTTTCAGGGTGACAGTGTATGCCCAAACTGGTATTTATCTGCAAAGAGTTGTAGGAAAGGGGTATGCTGTTAGGCATGTTTTAAAGCTTCAGTGTTGTGCCTTGTCTCTTGTTGAAAAGGAGGAGTGACCGAAGAGCATTTAACCATGTGGCAAGCACTTCACAACTATGATCTCGTTTAATCCTTACAGCAGTTCTTGGGGGTAGGTACTAATATTGCCCCCATTTTATGGATGAAACTACTGTGCCTGAGGGACGTTAAGCATCTTGCCAAGGACACATACGTAGGAATTGACATAGCCTGTATTCTGTCAAACCCAGGAAGTTTTACTCCAGAAGCTGCCCTCTTAACCATCAGGCCAGTGATCAAGAGCTATGCCACAGCAGAGCTCCTGTCATAGGCTGTGAGGTTTGGTTTTTTCCTGCATTCGGCTCATTCTCCTGCCAAATCAGGTTTTGATGTTTATAGAGATAATATATTGTGGTGCAAGAATGGCCAACCTTTTTGCTTTGGGCTTATAACCTTTCTGTAAGCTGGGCTTTGTGTACTAGATTTCAGTCGTGCTTGTTGTGGTTTATTTCGCCTGCCAAATAAAATTTTCTCTAGTGCATTTGTTTTTATGTGATTTGAATGGAAACAAGATTTTATTTAAACTTTCCAGTCTTTAGTTCTTTGGCAGATGTTGAGAGACTAGGCGTTCCCTTCCCTTCTGTAGCAGCAATTGAGGACCTGTTGGGTTAGGCAGGCAATCTAGGAGGAACTTCACATGTATATATTTTTTAAATCTCCTCCCTCCGCCCCCATCCTTTGAGGAGGTGGTGATATCTTCATTTTCAGAATGAGGAAATAGATTTAGGAAAAGGAATCTTGTCCAGATTTGCATAATTAGCTGCGGAGGGAGGCTGCGAATCCAGATTGGGCCCAGTGTCTTCTCCACTGCACTTTGGTGCCTAACCTGAAGACAACTGGGAATTCATGTCAAAAACAATTTTGGCTAGGTTGGATTTTTGCCTTACTTGTACACATCACAACTCAACCCTCATGTAAGATGCCAATCTTCTGTCTCTTTTCTAGTCATGATTTATCACTGCATTCCTTAGTTGAGTAGCAGATGTTAAGTTTGGGGGCCATGTTGCATTAAAAAAAACCAGGATTTTATTTTACCTTGATTTTAGAGTTGGGGGGTCTTGTTGCCCAGGCTGGTCTGGAACTCCTGGGCTCAAAACACCAAAACCAATTTGTGCTTGGTGAGATGGAGGCAGGAACCAAGTAACTAAGACCATGCTTACACTAGGGTTTAGGGGCATTAAGTTTTTGGGGGGTGAGATGGGGGTGGGGCGAGGGGCTGAGATGAATGTCAATAAATAACATTCAAGTAATATGTAACCATTCTTCTATTATTAGGACAAATACAAGTCTGTCTAGACTGGCTTGTTTAGATAGTTATGGATGATATTAATGAGGCCAAGGCTTGTTAACTTTGTTTCACCTAGAGAGACTTTATAACAAAACCACTTACTTAGATGACAAAAAGAGAATATGTCTAGTAGTTGGTTACAGAGAAGTTAAGGTGAAGACATAATAACAGTGGATAACTATGATTAAATGGTTACATCAGGATTTAGCAAAGAAAAAATAATCATTAAATGGATATTATGTGGCGATTACTTCATTTAATCCTCACAAATATCCTAGATGGTAAACTACATTTTTAGTGTCAAAAACTGAGGCTTAAAGAAGTTAAATAACTTGAGTTTGTCTCCAGACCTTAAACACTAGGCTTTAATATTCAGGTAGAGCGAGGTTAGAGCATTTTATTTTGCTAGCCTCTATATCCCTAGCACCGAGAACACTGCTTGGCATGTAGTGTGTGCTCAGCTATTTGAATGGATAAGTGAAGGAATCATAAAATTATTACCTCTCCTATGGAGAAACAGTTTAGAAAGAATCTACTGATGAGGCAGTAGCATTCTCTTCATCTGGAATAACAACAGATCTTAATTAGATGTGGCTATAAAGACTGCTTTAATCTTATTTTTATCCTGCTCTTTCTACTTGAGTATGAAATGAGTTGCTTCCTAGCTGATTTTGTTCACATAATTATGCGTGGTGGGAATGCCCTGCTTCCTTAACTTGTCCTTTTTTCTTTGAAGCCTACCTTTTTCTTGAGTCTAATGCCCTGCTTCCTTAACTTGTCCTTTTTTCTTTGAAGCCTACCTGTTTCTTGCGTCTAATGCCCCTTCTTAGTCCTTACAGGTGTCCTTAGCAGGCAATTAGTCCTTGCCATCTGTATGTACCATTTCCTGCTATTGTCAGCAATTTGGTGCCTTGACTAATGCCTAGCCTTTCATTTTTGCACACCATTGAAACTTTAATGTTAGTGCAATCTGCTGCCAGTCAAGCCATGTAAAATGAAAAAACTTCTAGCACGGTATAAAAACTGTTTACCCCTTTTAATTGAATGCTGGACCTTGGGATCTTCGACAAACATTTAGGCATAAGAAGACATAAGTGGAAGCACAAGGAATTAATTTCTTTGTGGAGTAGTGAATTAAGTGGTATCCTGCATTGTAGTGCAAGGCATAAAATAGACATGTAATTAAAAATTTGTCTAAAAACCATATCATTCTGTGCTCCTGCTTTTAAACTTGGAAACATTTTCATTGGTGTTTCTGATGGCCTTTATAATCATATAGTCAGGTGAGATGAGAGTATGGTAAGAGTGGGAGATTTTGATATTAGTTTATTAGATACAATATTAATTCATATATCAGAAAGATTTTCTGTTGGGGAAACATTGGCTTGAAAAATCTGAAATATCGAGCATTTGGTCAAGGTGTTTCATAGGTACTAATAAGGTACACATTTGCAAAATACCCATTAAAAGAAGAGCAGATTTCACAATTATAGGTAGTGAATCATAGTTGACTCTGGCCTTTGAAGCCACACAGTGTAAGTCACATCTCATTGTGGGCCAAAGGAGCATGGGTGAAATAACACAATTTAGAATAGAAACTAGCTGCATCTGTCAGCTTGCATGAGCTTGGTCAAGTCACTTTAGTTCTTACTGAATTTAAATGTCTTTTTAGGCCAGGCGCAGTGGCTCATGTCTGTAATCCCAATAATTTGGTAGGCCAAGACGGGTGGATCATCTGGTCAGGAGGTCAGGAGTTCAAGACCAACCTGGCCAACATGGTGAAACCCAGTCTCTACTAAAAATGCAAAAATTAGCCAGGTGTGGGTGGCACTCACCTGTAATCCCAGCTACTTGGGAGTCTGAGGCACGAGAATCACCTGCATCTGGGAGGCAGAGGATGCAGTGAGCTGAGATCGCGCCACTACACTCCAGCTTGGGCAACAGATTGAGACTCTGTCTCAAAAAATAAAATAAGTGTTTTTTTGTAGAAATGTCCACAGAAGAAGCTTTTTTGGGGGATGTCATTAAGTGTAAAACCTCAAACCTTAAGGCACAAATGAAAGATGCTTTGTTTTTTCTGGAAATGGGGTCTCACTCTGTCACCCAGGCTGAAGTGCAGTGGCACAATCATAGCTGACTGCAGCCTCAACTTCCTTGGCTCAAGCAATTCTCCCACCTCAGCCTCCTGAATATCTAGGACCACAGGTGGGCACCACCACTCCTGGTTAATTTTTGTATTTTTTGTAGAGACGAAGTTTCCCCACGTTGCCTTGGCTGGTTTAGAACTCCTGGACTCGAGTGATCCTCCTGTCTTGGCCTCCCAAAGTGCCGGGATTACAGGTGTGAGTCACCATGCCTGACTGACATATATGGTTTTGATAGGAAACTTTTGAACAATATTGAAGAAAGCTCACAACTTGTTGGTTTTCTTATATATTTTTTAAAGTCATCTTTTTCCAAACCAAAATAATGTGATTTTTGGCTAATACAGCATAATATTTGAAAGTCATAAACTTAAATTGTTTTTAAGGAGGTAAACTTTTTTTTTTTTTTTTCAAATCACTCAAAAATTGGGATATGGAAAGGGGCCCTGTCTGTCTTTTGGTTTAGGGTTATCTTAAGCTTTAGATAGTGATCTGGTAAGAACTGTGATGTTGCTTAAGTTTTGGGAAACCACTTAAGATCTTAATCCTTCTTAATTCTGCACTTTTTTTTTTTTTTGCTGAATAGATATTAGATAATTGTGTTGAAGATCCTCTTTCCCCTGCTCCTAACTTAATAAGTGATACCTTGATAAGATTTGAATTAACCATGGAGGTATTAAAACTACCTAGTTGTCTTGCCAGACACTTTACATACACTGTCTTTTAAAATATGCCTAACTATGCAATGAGAGGTGTCACTTTTTTCATTTTGAAAAACATTGAGAGAACTTAGATTTTCTAAGTGAGGGTTCTTAACCTGGGGTGCAAGTTAGTTGGTTTCCTTTGTAATCATAAGTATTTTATTTTATACATGTAAAATCATTCTAAGAGAGATTCAGTGTAGCTGGGAATTCAAGGTCTCTGAATCTGGATCTAGAATTTGTGTGTGCTCATTCCTCTTATACCACATTGCTGATAAATAAGAAAACTGTCTACCTAAAGCTTGGTTGGGTTTGAGGTTGATGTGAATATGGAGCAGAAAGACTAGCCAATTTAGGGGAGATGTCAGAGCATATGGATTCTGTGGCTAGGAAACAGAAAGGAAGATGGGCAGTCTCTGCCCACCTTTATGAAAGACCATTTGGTTGATTACAGTGATAGAAAACATATAACCAGGGAGAAACGTATGTGGGCCTTGCCACGTGGGTGTTCACATTTATTCTGATTTGGAAAGTATTCAGTAATAACTGCAAAGTTAAAAGCCTAAAATACCAAGAAGATATGTAGTTTCCTAGGTAAAGTCGCCTGGGAGGTTAGGGATGCATGTTTTGTTGGCTGAGAAGGGTAGGATAGATCTTAGATTTCATTTATTTTTATCCTGTAGACTGGAGAAGGTTTGGGATTGGGGCTAATGTGGGAATTTAGTGCCTTCTAAGCAGGTGAGAGAAACAAGATAGGAACCCAATGCAGAGGGAAATTTATTCATTAATCTATGCTAACAAGTATTTGAGTACCAATTAGATTCCATATACTAGTGATATACAGTTGTAAGCAAAAGCAGAGACAGACTTTGACCTATTAGAATTTAATTGTCAATCAGTTAACAAATAAATAATGCAAAGTGTGGATAAGAGCTAAGACGGAAAAGTACAAAACTTTGAGTACAGTTAGTATGGGGACCTCTCTTGGGAGAGAGAGGCACTTTGGTAAGGGAAGGTTTGTTTGAGGAAAGGATATATGAATTGTGCTCTGATAGATGAAGTTAACTAGTTAATAAACTGAAGGTTGAAAAGGGATGTATGAGTGATGTCTGTAAAATGATGAACAGATTTGATAGATGATAGATGTATTAACTAATTCCTGGAAACCAAAATGAGAGACCTCTTTAGTAAGAGGAGGAATTTTAAATCAAATAAAAACAGTGATTTTTACACTGAATATCGAGGGAGTTTATTGTCATTGGTAGAATACAAAAAGCATTGAAGAGGACCTAGAGTAAGTTAAGGGGTAGCATATTTATAATAGGTTAAGGAAGCTGGAGTGTTTCAATGCTTTTATATGACTTTGAGTTTTATGGTTTTGTAAACAATTCCTACTCATAGATCACTCCCAGAAGCCCACTTTTAGACTGAATTTTCTTAATGTCTTTAAATATGTATACAGGTTTTAAGAGTTGTAGCCTTAGGGTTAAAAGTATTATGCAGGTCAGAAGCAGAAAACATTACAATTACTTGGAAAACAATATTTCAAGGTAGTTTAACTTTCATATAAGAAGCTAGAGATAGTTCTGAAAAACTTTGTGGTCATTTTGTTAATCACTCGTTTCTATGTTATCCAACAAGTAGTTTAAGACTCCAAATTCTGTGGTAAATTTCCTAGCTTATTCAACTGAAAGGGATATTGAAGATGTGCTGTATATTAGGCCTTGTGCTAAATTTACTCATTCCAGAGGAATTCAAAAGGAGGTGGTGGATTGTGGTGATGGGGGGTCATCTTAAGCCCACTTATATTGTCAATAGACAATTACAGTGCAGTTTTATTAAGTACATCTTTTGAGTTTCAAATTTTTGTCTTGCAATTCCAAAAGCTCAGATGTCTAATTAATGTATGTAAACGCCTGATAAGTAGGGGTTGTTTGGTTTCTGGGCTTCCCAGGGGTTTACTTTAGGGACACAGACTGGCCCAAAAAGCCTTGACTTCTGCATCCCGAAGTGAGTTGGGAGCCAAAGCCTGGTTCATGTGTGATTATGTATTGTGGGCTGTGACAGGAAGTGAGGGAGCTGGAAGGGGGAAAGCACATCCAGATAAAGGATTCAAATAGAATAATGAAGGTATAGTTCAGCTGGGGCATTTGTAATGCTTATTTTAATAAATTGAATCTGCTTCCCCCACCCCCCAATTTTGTCTGTCTAGGTGTGTGTGGAATTTGATGGGGAATCTTGGAGGAAAAGAAGATGGATAGAAGTCTACAGCCTTCTAAGGAGAGCATTTTTAGTAGAACATAATTTGGTTTTAGCTGAACGAAAGTCACCTGAAATTTCTGAACGAATTGTACAGTGGCCTGCAATAGTGAGTAAAACTTGGGCTTATTGAACTCCTGAGAAGAGGGCATTTTATCCATTGTGGGTACAAAAGGAATATGTAAATGTAATGCCAGAAAGTCAGAAAAGCTCCCAGGATCTCCTGCCAGCCCTTTTAAGAACTCTGCACTTCTGAGCGAGTCCCTTGACTTTGTTGGACCTCGTGTTCACTTGACAAATAGGGATGGAGGTAGTAGTGGGAATGTCTAGGTCAGAAGGCAGGAACTAGCAGTCATATGCAAACATATAGATCTGTTTGGTTTGGCCCTTGCAGTACTTTCAAAACATTTGAATTAATTGCCTACTTTAAAAAATGTGGAGAATACATCTGAAAATCTAGATTTCCATTGTCTCTTAAAAAATCTACAAGATAATGGCAACACTGGAGCCTTATGGCAGCAATGGGCTAGAGCCAAATAGTAGCTGTTGCCTTGCTCTCTGTAGGGTTTCCAGTCTTGATCTTATGATCTTTAAGGTTCCCTCTGGATTATTATATTTTTTGGCTTTAAAGATACTATAAGTCAGTATATGATTGTGCTATATCCACATTGTAAAGTGTGGTGCAAAGAGAAGAGTGAGCGCTGTCTGGAGAGGGCACTTTAGTCTTTATGGGACTTGAGCTGGTGCTTCAAGGAGGGAAGGTTGGATCTGGATAGTTTGGAAAGGCCGGGAGAATGGTTGAAGGCTGATCAGATTGTGATCTGATTTTGCCCATGAGTGAAAAGAGCTGCTATGGAGATTCTTGAGAGATGAGGGTTGTGGTTAAAGTTTTATTTTGCTCTTTGTATTTTTTTTTCCAGCTGTTTAGAACTGGTTAAAAACACAGGCCTGTCTCCCCAGAGAAGTGTGCATACAAACAGTTTTTGCATAAATTTTTGGGACACCATGAATCTGTGAACCCAGTCTTGAATATTAATAACTCCCAAATGTCTATCTGGTTTAAATTATTGGGTTTGAATAAAAATTGTATTATCTATGGCTGCATAAATAGTTGTTATGAGATAACTTGCAGTAAATAAAAAAAATTAGTGGCTTTATCACTTTCTCTGTGTGTGGAAAATTGCCAGTTCCTATTTTCAGAATTATGCTGACAGCAGTTATGATGCTAAAGTGTTTTCTTTTGTTTTAGACGTACAAACCTCTGTTGGACAAAGCTGGTTTGGGATCCATAACTTCTGTTCGCTTTCTGGGAGATCAACAAAGAGTATTTCTTTCTAAAGACCTTTTGAAGCCTATACAGGTAAAACATAGAAACAGTAGTAAACATTAGAAACAGAAATACGAACTCCTTTAACATGAGAAGTAAAGTACAGTTGAACCTTAAATAGTGTGGGTATTATGGATGCCTACTCCTTGCACAGTAAAACATCTACATATAACTTTGATTCCCTCCAAACTCTACTAATAGCTTACTGTTGACCATAAGCCTTATTGATAAACAGTTGGTTAACATATATTTTGTATATATATTATGTACTGTATTCTTACAATAAAATTAGCTAGATAAAAGAAAATGTTATTAAAATCATAAGCAGAATACATTTAGTATTCATTAAGTGGAAGTAGATCATTATAAAAGGTTTTTGTCCTTGTCTTCATGTTGAGTAGACTTTCGGTCTTGCAATCTCGGGTGACAGAGGTGGAAGGAAATCTGTTTATAATGGGGCCTGCACAGTCCACAACTGTGTTGTTCAGTGGCCAACTGTATATTGATGTTGACTGCTCTAATTTAAATACCTAACAGGAAAGAACCCATCCCATCAGCAGTTAGGTGTTAGACATCATTCCTCAATGTTAGCTTTTAGGTTAGTGCTGTCCATTTACGGTTGAAAGGACAAGGGTATTATAGTTGATGGTGTGTGTGTATGGAAACACTTAGGTGATATGAAAATAATATTTAAAAGTAGACCGTTGTTTATATACATATATGTGCATGCATACATAGACACTCATGCATACATATATACAAGCAATCCTCATTATTTGTAGATTCTATGTTTGTGAATTTACCTATTTGCTAAAATATATTTGTAACCCCAAATCAATACTTGTGGTGGTTCATGGTCATTCACCAGTACTTGCAGAGCTGCAAATAATTTGAGTTGCATGATGCAGGTTCCCAGCTCCTAGCTAAGGTTAAATAAGGTGATGTTCCACCTTGTTTCACTTATGCTGTAAACAGGTGTGCTTTTTGCAGTCTATTTAGTGCTGCATTTTTGTGCTTTTTTTTTTTTTTTGGTGATTTCACTGTTTAAAATGGCCCCCAAAAGCAGTGCTGAAGTGCCATGATGTGTCTTAAGAACAAAATACATGTGTTAGATAAGCTTCATTCGTCTGAGTTATAGTGCTCTTGGCTGTGAATTCAAGGTTAGTGCATAAGCAGTATATATTAAATAAGATGTCTTTCAACAGAAACACATAAAACAAGATTATGTGTCAATTGGTTGTTGAAAATGTGACCAGAGGCTTGAAGGAACCTACACCTGTATTTCCCCTAGGAGCAATGGTTCAGTATTTGTTAATAAAACATTTTTTTGCAACTTGATAAAACATAACTACTGCAAATGATGAGAATAGACTGCACACACGCATACAAACACACACATTATAATAATATTCATCTTTTAGATATCATTTATAAAGCTGAATAATCTTCTTTACCGCCTTCTGTTTTGTGACTTCATACCTGACTTGTTTCTTTGGGGTATAGAACTATGAAACCTATTTGCTAAAAGTAGTTTGGGGTCAGTGGTTATCAGGTTGCCGAGCCTGTATCGGGAAGCCCAAAGCACTGGCTTTTCCTCTACTTGAGTCTCATCCATACTTCCATATCTGGAAAGTGAGTGAAAACAGGATTCATAATCTGAACCTTATTTTATAATGTTTAAGTAATGGAACAGAGGAAGATGCTTTCACTTAGTTAATTTCAGACACAAGTTCTTGTGTTATACCCATCTTGATATTTTTCCTGACTTAAAAGGAAGACTGACTTGCTTGCAGGGATCAAATAACATACAGGGGGGTTGTGGATATTTTGCTTTACTGAGTAATAAAAGGAATTTTTTATTCTTAGTGCTGTTTTCTGAATTTACATCTTTCCTGTATTTAAGGTTTTCAATTAAGGTAGAACCCTAGTTTTGTTTCTTGGGATTGAGAAAGAAACATCTAAATTAGTAAGTTTATATTTGTTCTCGGGAAGAGGGGCTGTGGGGCTGTGAGCCATCAGTGTGAATGTTGTCATTAATACGATATACAATTAACTGGGAGAACTATAATGTGTGGTCTTGACTTTTAGTGATGTTGAGTTTTCAAAGTTTAGTACTTCAGAGAATTATCTTGTAGATATGGGTGTTCACAGTAGGCTGTACGAAATTCCACGTTGGGGGATGTGATTACCCCAGTAGGATACTTGCTCTAGATAATGCACAGAGCACCTGAAAATCATTTGGCATGTGGAAAAATTGGGATTGAAAGTTAGGGTCCGTCTTTAGATTGAATTTTACTCAGTTATCTGTTGGTAAGAAAAAGATAAGGTATCTGGACAACTATCTTGCACTTTCGTTAAGCCCTAAACTCTCCTAGGCAGCCTAATATTTTTCTACTTTATTGAAGCCCTTTGCGGCTCTTTCCATTGATACATACTTTCATCTTGTAGTAGGAATTGGAGAATATAATTAAATTTTTTGAAATTGCATAAACAATACATGCATGAGAAAAAAACAAAAACTAACCCATTCTGGTAATTAATGTTGATCTCTTATGGAGTCCCTAGGTTTGTCTAATGTTACTTGGCAAAAGAAATACATTTTTCCAGCACAGCTTCTCTAACAGACTAGTTATCCTTCCCAGTGGGAAAAATGGATGACCCATTCTTGGTCATTATCCATTTCACAGTGGCAGAAAAGCATAAAGCCCTGATATTGGAAGGGCTTCTGTGTTGAGCACTGTTTTTTCTTTGCCCTGCTAGAATTCGGTTTGGCAAGTTATTCCTATTGACAGTTTCTGTATTACATTTATCATAACTGGGTGTGCACACAAAGCCAGAAGACTGTGGAATAGTGCCAAGAATGGAGCTGCTGCCAAGAATTGAATGTTTCAGAACTGGCTTACTCTGACGCCTTAGGCTATTCATTCAGATTTTCTGTTTGTCCCCCCACCTCCCTTTTTGTAAAAAAGAATGCATTTTGTAATACTAGTTAGGTTAAATGAATCTGTGTGAAATGAGTTGTTAAAAACAGCAGTTTCTTACCAGGAAGGGAGCTGAAGCTTGGTCAGCTTTAAGGGGCCTTAGAAAATAGGGTTTTGGCCTAGGTAACCAGGCTGAGATGTGGTTCAAAATTTTCCCTAAAATTGCCATCATGGGTGCATGCTTGCTCATCCCCAGGGTGGCCACTGGGCACAGCCATGGGTTTACTAATGGGAATATGGAAAAAAGGGCTGCCCATTATCAGTGGACTTTGGTGGAAAGAGATATGTGTACCTCTGGAGTTAATCTTTACAATGTGTCAAAAGGTTTGGAGAACATTGATCAAGGAAACATTTTTCTGATTGATGAATAAACTAACTCTCAGTTATGGTCATCTACCCCTGCTAGTAGGTTACACAGTGTATTATATAGTACATGCAGTGTGTTATATAAAATAAAAAAAAAACCCAGACAGTAATTGCAATGAATCGACCATATACATCTGTCTCTTGTGTGTCATATCTGTGTTTTTTGTCCCTTGGATTTGGATTGTGATTTCCCCATCCCCAGTATTTAGGATACAGAGTGTTTTTTACTTGGATTGACCAGCTGTTTGTTTGCTTACTTTTTTCCCATTGCCAAAGTTAGTCATTTTTAAAATTATGCTTTGAGTTCCTCTTAATATTTCTCATGCTTCTAGCTTGGGATGACTTTACTTCAGTCTGCCTTATAGCTGTGATCATTTGATGGTCTAGGACTTTTTGAGCCATCTGGTTTACTGGAATTGGAATGATTTGGGCTATCACATGGTTTGTTGACACTACTTTAACCCATTTGATTAACCAATTGAAATAGCCCACTGGAATTTAAATAACTCTTCTTATTAACTGTTACCCTTAACATGTAATGATCTTTCATTTTTCAGGATGTAAACAGTCTTCGACTTTCTCTTACGGATAATCAGATTGTCAGTAAAGAATTTCAAGCTTTGATTGTGAAGCATTTAGATGAAAGCCATCTTTTAAAAGGTATATGCATTATCTAGTGGTGATAGTTCACGAGTTGACCAATGATTAGCTTGTGAGAAACTAGGGTTTAGCCTCTCATTCATTTGCTCATGGAAATTTCTTTTTTCTTTTTTTTTTTTTTTGAGACAGTCTAGTTCCTAGGCTGGAGTGCCAGTGGTGCTGTCTTGGCTCACTGCAACCTCTGCCTTACAAGTAGCTAGGACTACAGGCACGCACCACCACACCCGGCTAGTTTTTGTATTTTTAGTAGAGACAAGATTTCACTATTTCACCATGTTGGCCAGGCTGGTGTCAAACTCCTGGCCTTAAGTGATCTGCCTGCCAAGTGTGAGCCATCACGCCGGGCCATTTCTTACTTTTTTTCTAAAATAAATTTTTAAGAAATTTAAAATTTAAAATTCAAAAAATGTGTGTGTTGCTAAAACCTCTGAAATTTGGAAAGTTCAGGGATTATATGAAACTAACAGTAAAGTAGGGCCAGGCACAGTGGCTCAAGCCTGTGATCCCAGCACTTTGGGACATCCAAAGTGGGAGGATTGCTTGAGCCTAGGATAGGAGTTCAAGACCAGCTTGGGCAACACAGGGAGACGTCGATCTCTACAAAACATTTTTAAAAAAATTAGCCCGGTGTGGTGGCACATGCCTGTAATCCCAGCTACTCAGGAGGCTGAGGCAGGAGGATCACTTGAACCCAGGAGGTCAAGGCTACAGTGATCCCTGATTACACTGCTACACTCCAGCCTGGGTGAGAGCAAGACCCTGTCTCAAAAAAAAAAAAAAAAAAAAGAAAAGAAAAAAGATATTTTTAAAGCTCAGCTATATTTTGATGTGGAATTTGATATGTTTGGAATATCAGCCATATAAAATGGATAAGGCATTAATTTGATACTCCTTACCTTCCCATTTGTGTTACTGAGTTTCTACAATCATACATTTTTTTTCTGTGTTTTTTAGATTATCAGACATAGTATTTTTGTTGGGGTTCCTGAATTTGATTCCTCTAAAACTACACAGGACAGTGAGTGAGGTCTTGATGAATTGTCTAATACTACTTTGGTCCGATACAAAATAAAAAGTTTAAATTTTCTCATAGCTTTTCTGAAATGTCAGTCATCTTATGTTTGTAGTGATTCTTTTAATGTTTACTTTTGCGTTTTTTTAAAAAAGACTTAGGAAAAGATTGTCCTGGATGATGTTGCTATTGGGAGATAATGCAAATTGCTCTAAGATTTTTTTTTTTTTTTTTTTTTTAAGGTGACAAAAACTTAGTTGGTTCAGAAGTAAAAATTTATAGCTTGGACCCATCTACTCAGTGGTTTTCAGCAACCGTTATAAATGGAAACCCAGCATCAAAAACTCTTCAAGTCAACTGTGAGGAGGTAAAGACAACAATAACTCTTTGTAAGATAACTCGACAAAGCATGATAACTATACAAAGCATTTATGATTTTCTAGGCACTAAATACCTTTATTATTTTATAGGGTAGAAATAATTACAGTTGTTTTAAAAAGAAATTATTCATAAGAAGCTCCTATTGTTATGTTAATGAACCTGATTTTCAGTATGTTCTTGAGCATTTTTTATTTTCCGGTATCTTTGTTTCATTTATTTTTAAGATTCCAGCACTGAAAATTGTTGATCCGTCACTGATTCATGTTGAAGTTGTACACGATAACCTTGTGACATGTGGTAAGATATGTTATTAAAATCTTTCTTCTCCTTCCTCCTTTCCTCCGTTCTTCTCACATTAAGAGAAACAGGGAAGCCAACTTAACCTATTTTTAAATATTTTAGGTAATTCTGCAAGAATTGGAGCTGTAAAACGCAAGTCTTCTGAGAATAATGGAACCCTGGTTTCCAAACAAGCAAAATCTTGCTCTGAGGTAACCTTTATTTATGTCACTTGTGTAAAGCTTTCCTTAACTCCAACATTGCATGGCTAGTTTTTATTTTTTATTATTTATTTAATTATTTTTATTTTTTTAGAGATAGGATCTCACTCTGTCACTCAGACTGGAGTGCAGTGGTGCAACCAGAGCTTACTGCAGCCTTGAACTCCTGCCTCCATAGTAGCTGGGACTGCAGGCATGTGTCATGCATGACACCTGGCTAATTTTTGTGTTTTTTGTAGAGACAGGGTCTTGGTATGTTGACCAGACTGGTCTTGAATTCCTGGGCTCAAGCGATCCTCCCGCCTCAGCTTCCCAAACTGCTGAGATTACAGTCATGAGTGAGCTACTGCCCCTGGCTGCGTGGCAAATTTTTTTAGTGTTATATTGCTGTCTGCTCTTCTTTGCTAGTTCCAGATCTTGGCCATAATTTCTACACTGAAGCAGATGGAGATAATATAAGTTTATGGTTCACTATTTTATGTAAAAAAGTTTCATTTTTTGGTATTTGCTGGAGATTCTCAATAGATTTGACAATTTCACCATGTGGAAGTGTTCTTAAAGGTAAATTGAGTTGTGTGTGTCAATGCCTGGCATGAAAAGAGGGAAGGAGCCTTAGAATTCTGAGTAGTTTGGGTGTTGAAATAGGACCTTCACCTTCTCAATAATAAGGAATTTAATTGGTCATTTATGATTGGGTAAACAAATGTATTTCAAGGAAAGTGATTGGTTTGCCATTACTAATTTCTGTCCAGAAAAGTATAGGCTTTTGTGAATGCTACTGTGGGTTCAGGTACCAGATTTAATTCTATTCTGAAATAGTTACCATTTGGACCGAGACTATTTCTCTTTTAGGTGAATTAAATCATTAGGACCTATTCCAATACAAATAACTTTCTGGCACCTTAGGAATCCAAATGCCTAAATGTCACATGGATAGTTTCCTGTGTTATAATTATCAAAAACTCCTTTATAATGCTCTGCCCCAGGCTGGAGTTTAAAATTTAAAAACTGACCAAGGCCAGGAGAAATGGCATGGGGAGTGGGCCAGGAAGCCAATGAATAAATCTGGGTTTCTTGATTAAGGGCAGACTGGACTACAGCATCGACTAGAACCAAAGCTAGCACTGTGCCACACAAACACTTGAGTCTGTGTAGCTAGGATGGTTAATTGGCTTTCTTGAATCTTTCCTGTATACAGGCAACAGGAACTTTGATACTTCACCAAAAGCTTTGTAAACCAGTGTCTGAAGCCTCTGTCCTCCTTTGAAGGGTATAGGCTTTGACCTCTTGAGGCTCAGGTTGTTTAGGAAAGAATGAAGAGTTAAGTATGGAAATTAGTCTTACTACCTTTCATTTTTGCCTTAAAGTTTACAAGGTAATTTCAAGTACATCCATCCAAGAAACCATAGTTACTGTATTAAGTACTCACTGTGTGGTGGATACTTGGTCCTGGAGATTGAAAGGTATCTGGAGTTCCTGTCTCAGATTCCATAGGATAGTGAGGGAGACAGACTTCCAGAGGGCTCCCACAAGTGCAGGGAGAGTGCTCTGGTCAGGAGCTCTGCAGGTGCCTCAAGAAGCAGCCTGGGCAGAGCCTCTCAGACAGGGAGGACGTGTCTTGTTTGGTGAAGGGCAAATGTTTCATTGTGGCAGGGGCACAGGAGGCATGGAAAAAGAGAAGCAGGGTCAGAGATAGGAAGTTTGGGTTTTATGCTGCAGATGAAGAGGGGGTGTCTGGGGTGTTCAGGGGTTTTAAGTTCAGGAGATTGACTTAAGCTCTGTAGATGATGGATGAGGGAAGGACATGAGAATAGAAATGAGGGCACTGATGAGGTTAGTTGTATTGCACATCATAAATAGGCTTGAGGTGAGGCGGTAGCTAAGGGGGTGGAGAGCTATTTAGGAGACAGCAGTAGTTGGATTTGGTGGAAGACTAGGTGTTAGGACTGAAGAAGCACAGGAATCTAGCTAATGAAGTAGGTAGAACAAATGGAATGTCTGCCTCAAAGAACATGACAGTTCTAGCTTAGGAAGCCCAAGTGACATGGTCAGGCAATTATTTATGATACTATATAGTCTCCCAGTATAGAAAGGGGCTGAGCTGCTGAGGAATAGGGGTCCCTGGTCTAGAAGGGAACAGATAGTAAGGCTCTGGGTAATTAATGTGGCCAGGACTACACAGAGGATGTCAAGCTCAGAGACAATATTGTCAAGTAATCCATAGTATTAGAAGCTGAGAGATAAACAGGATATAATAATAATTTCTTTATGTCAGGTTTTAACGTTAGAGAAATTGTTGGCAGTCTAGAGTTAGAAGTAGTAAATATCAGTTTGGAGAAGTTGGTTGTGTGTTGCCTGTCATGGGGAATGTGTCAGTGTAAATTGGGAGTATGATGAAGAGGAGAGCTGAGCTGTGAGACTTGCTGAGGAAGAAGGGTTGGGAATAGGAATGACGTATCCTGTTGGATGGTGGAGCGATCAATCTGGGGTGCAAGCAGAACTGAGGTCAGTGGGAACCTCCCTTGGGGGAAGGTGCCTTCAGAATGTTGAGTGTGTCAGCAATGAGAAAGGTGTTTGAGCAAGTAAATTTCTAACCTTCAAGGAGGTACTTGTAAAATGTGGGCATATAGACATATATGATATGATCCTGTCTCCTTGATTCAAATTCTTGCAAGGCCAGAAGCATTACTTTTTTATCTTTCTCAGCATGTTGCCCATACTATGTGTGCTATTGAGCTGATTGTTGGGCACATTAGAAGCTATTAAAAAAATAAGCCTGCACTTCAGCCTGGAGATAAGTTTCTTAACTTCTGCATCTAATATGATAAACTAAATTAAGTGTTTTAAAAATGTACATTGCAGCTCTTGAGCTCTATGCTAGTCACGTCATTCTAAAGGAAGTCGAAGGTGGATTTTTACCTGGGTTTCAGAAGTTCTTGAAAATATTTTTTTGATTGTGAAGCTCATCTCATTTGAAAATTTTTGGTTAACCTAGAAAAGTATAGTAAAGAATAGAATCATCACTTGTAATCATACTTCTCAGAGACTCTCTGTTTACATTTTGAAATACTTCAAATGTAATGTAAGGAAATACTTTCCTTCTGTCTCTTCTCCCCCTGTATTTATCACAGAGACCTGATTTTTTTTGTTAGTTTTTTAAAACTAAAAACCATACTCTTGTAGCCTCCTTGATTCCCTTGCAATGTATTATAACTATTATTCCATATCGGTAAATGTCTTTCGTTCTGGGTGATTCTTGTAGTCAGACAAGTTTTGGATACACTGGCCTGGCCTAGATTTCAGGAGGGCTGGAGAGATAAAGGGAGCAGTGGGGAAAGAAAGTTTTTGAAAATGTATGAGTGAAAGGTGAGTACAGTAATGCACTCAGCACGATTCTCACTGTGTTTGCACTTCCCAGATGTGTTGGACTGGCACTTTTAGGGTGGTCTTTAGAAGACAGGCATTTGGGACTAGTAGGCAAGACTCTTGACTGTCTTGATGAATACTTTTGGTTAAGATAAACCTGTTTGCCAGTGATACCTGGCTCCTTGAAGGTCTTCTCTGCCTAGCAGACTATTCCTCAGAGTTACGACGTTGCCTGGTTAGTTGGGAAAGAGTCTGCTGAGGAATGTGAGCCGGCAGTGTCCTTTTTAGAATTCTATCATACACTCAATTATATTATCTCCGTCTGCTGGCAGGGAGGAACTATTGCCATGACTGGTATAGAAGACCTTCAGGGAAAACTCTTCAGGTAAGAAGAAACTTTGACCCTTTGTTGAGTCAGAGGCCAGTGCGGAGGTGCACTCGTGAACATGGGTTTGGGAATTGGAGTCCTGTTCCTGTTGAGCTAAACCTTAGGAAAGTTGTAGAAGGAAATACTTGAGTTTCTTAAAGGAAAAGCACGCTAAGTTGTGCTAATTCTAACACACGGTGACAGAATTGAGAAAATTTTCGCAATGTTTTTCTGCTTTAAGACAGCTCATCTCTAAAATTGATTTCAGCGCCAGGCACTATGGTAAAAGCACAGCCCTGTAAAGTATACTTCATGGGAAGAAAGTGCTAGGAAGTGTTAGAGACTGAATTTCAAACCAAAGGCTAACACCAAAATCCAGTACTCTTCATCACTGTGCTGTTGCCACTGCTCTCCAAATCTTCTCCTTGGTGTGGTGAATCACCCTTGTAAAAATAGCAGATTTCTCCTTTCTTCCCTCCTTCCCTCTGTTCCTCCATCCCTCCTTCCAACAAGTATTTATTGCATATTTAGTGTATGCTAGACTGATCTACAGTGGTGATCATCACTTCCTGTCACTTCAGGTAACTCATAAGACTTATTGATTTATAGCTATTTAGAAATGTTACATGCTAACAGCATTCACTCCTTGGTATGTTCATTCCACCAGTCTTATTTATTGAGCATCCACTGTATGTTTGGTTTTATGAGGTTATAACAGTGGGCGCAACAGCAGGGCCTCTGCCCATAAACAGTGTGTGTCCCATTGTGAGGAGACTGACAGTGAATAAGTGAAAGGTACTTTCATGGTGTGATAAGGGCTATGAAAGGTATAAACAGAAAAATGATAAAGAGTAAGGGACGGCTTTTGGGATGCTACTTCAGAAAGAGTAATCAGAAATTCTGAGAGTGTGACATATTAACAGACTTGAGGGTGAACAGAGAGAACCAACCAGCCACTGAAAACGATGTAGCCAGAGAGATAACAAGTACAAAGGCCCAGGCAAGAAAGGGCTTAGAACACTAGGAGATGAGAAAGGAAGCAAGTGTAGTTGGAGTACTGTGAGCAAGCGGGGCAGTGAAAGAGATGGGGGGAGGAGGAGCAGGAGTGGTAAGGAGACTGGACCACATGGGATTCTTGTAGGCAGTGGACTGCCGTGATCTTATTTGATTTATGTTTTATAGAGATTGCTCTGTGGTAGAAGAGATCTTGGGTAGGATGCAGAGGATTCAACAAGAATGGAAGGAAGGTTGGTTAGGACATGTGTAGCTTAGGGGAAAGATGGTAGTAGTAGTGACATGAAAAGAAATGGGTAGATTCAATACATACTTTGCAAATAGAGGCAAGATTTATTGGTTTATTGATTACATATGGGAAATTAGATGGAGGGTTTTTTTTTTTAACTTGAGCGGCTTGATTTTATACAGAGTAAAAATTTATGCTTAGGTTTATAATCCAAATTTCTTAAGTATGTTGCTCTTGGGAGAGTGAGGAAAGGTATTAGTGCATCAATTCTAAACATATTCAGAATAAGGAAGGTGACCAATATGAGGAAAGATAATTGGTAAAATTGAGCCTTGAATAAGCATTTCAAAATGATTTAGCATTAAACTTTGGGAGACTAACCTCAGATTAACAGGGAATTGCAAACTATTACAAGCAAAAGGGACTTTAGGAATAAACAAATTTCCTCATTTAAAGGATTAGGAAACTCAAAAAACACCCAAAACCAACCATCACACCTTCTGGAGAACATTAAGGTACTATTTAACCAAAATTGAGTTGACTGAAATAGTGTAATATATGATCAGATAATTTAGTGCCTAAAAATAGTTGAAACTATGCCAAAACTTTGCCAGTGATTAAATTCTTATTTTTCAGATATATCTGTATATGCTAGCTAGTCTTTTCAAGGCTGTCAAGTAAATTTCTGAGAAAAGCATTCATGAGTAGAGTACATATAAATATATTCGAAATTGTCAGGTTTTAAAAACCTGCTGGCCAGGCACAGTGGCTCATGCCTGTAATCCCAGCACTTTAGGAGGCCAAGGCAGGCAGATTACTTGAGGCCAAGAGTTGGACACCAGCCTTAACATAGCAAAATCCTGTCTCTACTAAAAACACGAAAAACTAGCCGAGCATGGTGGTACATGCCTGTAATCCCAGCTACTCGGGAGGCTGAGCCCTGAGAATTGCTAGAACCCTGGAGGCAGAGGTTGCAATGAACCAAGATGGCGCTGCTGCACTCTAGCCTGGGTGATAATAGTGAGACTGTCTCAAAAACAAAAAACAAAACAGAAAACCTATTAGTGGAAGTTGTAATCAAACTTTAGAAGTTAATGACTAGAAGATGAAGAAACTTTGGAGATTCTTCAAGTTTAGATTTGGTGGTAAGGCAAGACGATTGAGAAAGGTATATGACTTAAAAATTTAAGGTATATAACTTAAAAATTTAAGCACATGTGAGGAGCCTGGTGAAATGGGTGAATTGGTTTCACCTGGTTCAGCCTTAGACTAGTTGTCTTGAGTTTCTCCTTTCTTTTTTATGGTGGGAAGTTTATTTTTGTGAATGGTATAAACTGTTAAGAAGTTGATTCAATACTTCCTTTTTTTGAAGATTAAGTTACCTGAAAAGGGAACTGGGACAGGTGTCCCAACTTTGCCCACAGGCCTGTCATAACTTGATATTTTTTGCAGCTTGGGATGACTTCTGTGACTTGATGAGCCACATAAGAGCAAGAACTGTCCTCAACTTTTATTGCATTGCAAAGGCTTATCTGGGTACCAAATAGGCATCCCTGCCTACAAGAGTCCTATGTGGTCTGGTCTCCTGCCAAACTATGCAGTAAGTGCGTGGTGGGCACTCAAGTCATGCCAAAGTGAATGCATGTGAAGCTGCCACCATTTAAAACTGTCACTTAAAAGTTCACCTCTGCGTTGCATTAGTAAAGTAATTGCCACCTGACTGTTTTCCTGGCACAGTGGTTCAGAGGTCTGAAAAAGATAAGCTTGTGATCCTTTGTAGGAAGACATAAGTTTTGTGAAAAGCTGGAGTGATTACTTACAGTCTTAAAGCCCTGAATTGTATAGTTTATCACTTGTTTCACTTTCCTGTTTCTTTTTATTTGGCAATGGTATTATGTTTGTTTAGTATTAAGCAAATGATCTTAAATTTGGTAGCATTTTATTATTTCCTAACTAGGGACTTCCTTTTAATATCTGTTGGTTTGGTATCTTCTAGGCCTCTCCCAGTATGTGTCCTGTGCAGTCTGTACCTACAACAGTTTTTAAGGAGATACTGCTTGGCTGTACTGCGGCAACTCCACCTAGTAAGGACCCAAGACAGCAAAGTACTCCCCAGGCTGCCAACTCTCCACCTAACCTTGGAGCAAAAATTCCTCAAGGGTGAGTAGTGATTTGTTAAAGATGTTTAATTATAATAATAAAAAATTATTTTAGTCATGGCTCATTGTTTTTATCCCTGGTTGTCCAGGGAGGTTTTTCGTTAGAGTTTCTGAGAAAAGATGGATAGATGCTTTTGAAGGTGAAAAGTATAGAAGGCACACAGAGCAACATAGAAAATGGTATAGAAGTGAAAGGGGGCATGAGAAAAGAGACTGTCTTGATACAGTGTGAAGGAGCAATTGAAATAGTACCTTTGTAAAACAGGTGTCTTCTTTTAAGGAAAAGGGAACAGATTGGTTGTACATGGAAGACTGAGGTCAGTGGGAGTGTGAAGAAGCAGTGAGACATGGTTACAGTGAGAGATTCTCCGCAGCCTCGACATGAATTGACCCAAGTATAGTTGAGAAATTTGGCAGTAGAGAGGACTCTAAGAATAATAGAAATGAGGAAGCAATATCTGTAGGTGGTAACTGTTACTAACTTGTAGAGGAAGAAAATGAGTACGAAATGTAAAGTTTCACTAGAAAGTTTAAAGTAGGTACAAGGTTGACAGAGCAAGTAGTTTCAAGGGAAGGATCTCTTCTGGGAAGTGGTGGTGGCCTGCGTAGGCAGGCAGTTGATACAGCCTTAAGATGTAGGTCAGAGAGACTGTGGTATAGAAAAGTAGGTTTGGAAGGTGGGAGAGTGGCTGAGCACACTGGTTCACTGGGAAAAAGTAGTCAGTCTGGGATAGAGCTTGGAGGATGGCCATGTGGCAGTCAGACAGGAGGAGGAGCAGTCTTCAAAATAGAAACGGAGGGAACATTAGGAAGTTCAGTGATATCCAAGGAAAGATTTTTCATCTGAGTGTTTAAATGAAAAATTCTTCTCCAGGGTGAAGTCCTTTGGTAGAGGCAGGAACAAACAGGTATAATAGAAAAAAAGGACTTTGCATTTTTCTGGAGAAAGAACTCTAGGATGCTAAGAAACAAAAGTTCTTCAAGGCTATCCCTAGTAAGATGTACAGGGAAAATACCAAATCGTTCTGTGAATAACCAAGTAATCAATCAGCTATTCTATTTGCTCTGTGTGCTGATCACTGAACAAACAAGAATGAAATTATTCTCTGTTAGGGCTGGTTACATGTTGCTCATAGCAGAAAAGGGTTTTGTGCTGCTGCCAGTTTGTTAGTTTTTTTTTAGTTTTTGAGGTTTTTTAGAGACAGGATCTTGCTCTGTTGCCCAGGAGGGAGTGCAGTTGCAGTGGTACAGTCAAAGTTTAAGTTTACTGCAGCTTTGAACTCCTGGGCTCAATTGATCCTCTTGCCTTAGCCTCCCAAGTAGCTGGGACTACAGGCGCGTGCCACCACACCAGGCTAATTTTTAATTTTTTTGTAGAGATGGGGGACTTGCTATTTTGCCCAGTCTGGTCATGAACTCCTGGCCTCTAGCAGTCCTCTCATCTTGGCCTCCCAGAATCCTGGGATTACAGGTGTGAGCCCTTGTGCCTTGCCCATTGTTCGTTTTTAATTAGATTTTGTGTGAATATCTTTGAAGGGATTTCTAACATTTTTTATATACGTATATATTTTAGAATTTTTATCTTGACACATTGACCTTTACTAGAGGTTCAATTTTTGACTCTTGGCAAGTAGCAAGAATGGAGTTTTATCTTTAAAATTCAAACATAATCTTTACTATAGAAGAAAGAGTTTTAGCAGAGGTTTCTCTGAAATTTACACACAAAAAAAAAAAAAAAAAAAGAAGAAAGAAAACTTTCGGAATTGCCCCTACACAGACTTCTGGTTTTGATACTTATAAACCAGCTTATCTGCTGAGTATATTCTTTGGTTTCATACAATATTTTGTTTTGAGGGAAAGCTAAGGTTCATTGTGCTGTGAGAAGTAGAACTAACGTAAGAAGTTAAAGATTTCTGAGAACGTGCAGACATAATTTAGGGTTGTATTTTTCTGAGTGTTTATGATTTTTGCAGAACCATTGACTGATGACTTTTAACTCTAGCTCACAGAAATCTATCCTAAATTCTGTAACATATGAGAAATTTTCTTTTTTCTTTCATACTCGTTACCTTAGGGAACCAAACAGTTTGTTTGGGGAAGATAATGGAGAGATAAAAAGAGGCCTGGATGCTAGCTTTCTATATTATATTTTTCAGATGTCATAAACAAAGTTTACCAGAGGAAATTTCTTCCTGTCTAAATACAAAGTCTGAAGCTCTGAGAACAAAACCAGATGTCTGCAAAGCAGGGTTGCTCTCAAAGTCCTCTCAGATTGGAACTGGAGACTTGAAAATTCTGACTGAGCCAAAAGGCAGCTGTACTCAGCCTAAGACAAACACTGATCAGGAAAACAGATTGGAGTCTGTTCCACAAGCATTGACTGGCCTTCCTAAGGAGTGCTTACCTACAAAGGCTTCTTCTAAGGCAGAATTGGAAATTGCCAATCCTCCTGAACTGCAGAAGCACCTAGAACATGCACCTTCCCCATCGGATGTTTCAAATGCACCAGAAGTGAAAGCAGGTGTCAATAGTGATAGCCCTAATAACTGTTCAGGAAAAAAGGTAGAACCTTCAGCTTTAGCTTGCCGATCACAGAATTTAAAGGAATCTTCAGTAAAAGTAGATAATGAAAGCTGTTGTTCAAGAAGCAACAATAAAATCCAGAATGGTGAGTGTTTCTCAATATCTTTATTGGTAGAAGGTAAGAAATGGTAGATATATATATCTCTTTCTTGTCCTATGAGAAACTATGTGAAAATGACTTTGTAGAAATAGTTTATACAGTCAGAAAAGTTGAAAGAAGGTATAATTCCCAAATCTCAGAAACGATTACTGTTAATATTTTGGTGTACCTGGTTTCATGTATATAGAAATACAGATAAACTGTATTACACAAATGGGTTCATGCCAATAATTTTACCCTGTGAATTAGTGTAGGTGTCTATTAGTATTTTAAAGCAAGGATTCCATTATGTTCATTTACCATAGGATTTAACTGGTTCCTATTAGGTGGGTAATTAGGTGGTTCCCAATTCTTAGGTTAAGAAAATTTTGAAACAAAATCTAAAGTAATCTGGTGTTTACTTTATTTCAGCTTGTCACTGATCTTTCTGTTACATCCAGGTTGGAGTAGGAAGAGGTGATCTGTGACAGGTAGCTAAGATTTGAAATTTTAGAAAAGATGCAGAATTGTATCATTTCTGGAAAAAGGACTTGGGTTAAAGATGTTACGGATAGGGCTGAACTACCAGGAAGAGTCTCTTTGCTTAAGGGGAGGTCCTGCTGCACCCACAATTTAAAACTACTCTTCTTATGGGGAAATTGGTACGTTGTACTTGATGCTACTTATATGAAGTTTGAGGATGCATTATAATGGTGGTAGTTATCAGAAGCTCTGTTACTAGAGTTAGAAGAACAAAATGTTTTCAGCATGTCAAAAGGTTTAGAGCTATTAGAATTTAAAGATGCCTTTTGATCACTGTTAGCTATGTGGGAAATTGATATGGATTTTGTTAATGTTTTAGGCTGGGCATAGTAGCTAACACCTGTAATCCTAATACTTTGGGAGACCACTGTGGGAGGATTGCTTCAGACCAGGAGTTTGAGACCAGCCTGGGCAACATAGTGAGACCCCATCTCCACAAAAAATTTTTTTAAAAATCAGCCAGGCATGGTGGGGCACACCTGTTATTCCTAGCTACTGGAGAAGCTGAGGCAGGGGGGTTGCTTGACCCCAGGAGTTGGAGGCTGCGGTGAGTTATGATTGTACCACTGTACTCTAGCCTGGGCAACAGAGTGAGAGCTTGGCTCAAAAAACAAACAAACGAAAACAACCTACGAAAACAATTTATTTATTTGGATCAGTAAAAATGAATATATCTACACTATCTTTTTAACTGCAGGCCTCTGTGAAATTAGAGGGCAAGATGGCTGGATTTGACTTGCGAATCTTTTTAGTATAGCATTGGAAGAATAGAAAGAACTTTCTTTGCCTAGCAATACTTCTAACCTAGCTTCTTCATTGAGGCTTAAGTTAATATAGCTGTTAATTTGCATAAAATTAATTGCATAAGATTATCCTGTTCTCAGAAATTAGGTAACACTCAAAAGAAAGTACATATTCATAACCATATCCTTGTTCTATTTGTTGTTTTTGAATCATCAGCTCTCACACACAGCTAGTTTTTGAAGCAAATTTAATATTATGTGACGAAACAGTAAAGATTCTAGTGCAATAAGCACATGATAGATACACAAGTGAGTTACGGAGTCCAGCTTTGTCTCATTTAATATGTTATGTAGCTATTCCCCATCTAATGGATTTTAAAAGAAGTGAAAAACTTACATCCTGGAGTAGCACATCCTGCTATCTACTGTGACTTTTTTTTTTTGGTTGAGGTGTGAGAGTGTGATCAGAAGCCTACCGGGACTTCTGAGCTGTGTCCACTAGTACTGCATGTTAGTACAGAAGGCTTGGAAAACTTTTCTGCTCCTTTCTTCCACTTGGGGTCTAGAAAACAAAAGCAAACTGGAGTCAAACAGCTGCCTTTTTTTCCGTTCAGATAGATACGTGGCTCCTCGGAAGTGGGCGTTGCATTTTTCTCTTGACTTGGCTTTGAATTCAGAGAATCACTGATGGTAGCACCTGTTGCTCTCCTCAGTAAAGAGCTAGATTTAGACAGTTCAGCTTTCTTGTTTCTAGATATTTCCTCTTGTGAGCCAGGATAGAACAGATAAGATAACCTTCTTGCCTGTGATCTGTGGAAGCCTGGCTCAACTCAAAGGATGTCTTTCAATATCTGAGTAATTAAAATTACATCCTTGAACTACTAATCTCTTTATTTTCTCTCCTTTCTTACTTTACCTTCTCTTTCACTATAACTGAGTAGGAGTGTTTAAGGGATCAAGGACTAACAGCATCATGTAGAAATTTACATGTGGTCTAGTCCTGCTTTAAAAGAGAGGTAAGATTAGATCACCTCTAAGGTAATTATTGAAGATGTTTACTTTATTTAAAACCTTCTTTGGTTTGGGATCTTCCAATTTTCTCCAAGACTCACCTCTCCCACCCATCTCTCAACTAGTTCCCCAGAAGCTGTTGGTTTTTGACTTTCGTTTGTTTGCCTAAAAACCCACTTCCCTCTTCTCAGCTCTCTGGGACCCTAAGAAAAGGTCTTTTCTGTTTTCTATGAAATACTCCTTAAGGCTCTTGACATACAAATGGATTCCTTACTTTGTTATTTTCTCTGACACGGTGATTGCTCTTTCCTGATACATGTCTACCTTGTCTTTAGAAACCATGTTAACATTTCAAATTCTCCGGCCTATTACAAGTTAAAACATAAAATCTGCATTTACTTAGAATGATAATCCTGTCTGTAGCCAGTGCTCTTAATCCTGCTTGGACCACATGTGTGAAAGAAGGGGAGACATGTCAGGAGTCAAGTGACAGGCATTTAGAAGATGCTCTAACTCCATAGACCCAGGGGCTACGTAGGAAAGTGATTCGTTTATTGTTATTTTTAGAATGGTTAGCTTTTGCATTGTACTTTTAAAAACACACCTTAAACCAGTCTTTTTTGAATTTGGAAAGTGACAGAATGGACATCTACTAAGTCAGGCCTCTGCAGAAGTGAGCCTCGAGATCGAGTTTGAATTAAATGTCTGATTTGAAAACATCCTAAAATGTAGAGTTGTGAATAGAAGTATACATTAAC
This sequence comes from Homo sapiens, assembly GCF_000001405.40. Taxonomy (NCBI): domain Eukaryota; kingdom Metazoa; phylum Chordata; class Mammalia; order Primates; family Hominidae; genus Homo; species Homo sapiens. The sequence goes on from NC_000002.12 coordinate 86,469,933, forward strand.
TTTGAATTGTGAGTCTGGCTGTTTAATTTGGGGTTTTATGTTGCCAAATGGATTGAGCAAATAAGAATTGTTTTATAAAGAGAGTAAAACTTTCCCAGTTATTCTGATAGTTGTCTTCTGTTGAGCCATTTTTAGAAATTACAATTGAACCAGGAATTGAGAAGGGAGTTCTCTTTAAGGGAATATTGGGTTTTTGAATAGAATTCAGTCATATATGAATGTGATTTTTAAAAATTTGAGGTCCTGTCTCCTTAATCTTTTGTTTTCCTAGCCCCATCCAGGAAGTCGGTTTTGACAGACCCAGCTAAACTCAAAAAGCTGCAACAGAGTGGCGAGGCCTTCGTACAGGATGATTCTTGTGTGAACATCGTGGCACAGTTGCCTAAATGCCGAGAGTGTCGCTTGGACAGTCTCCGCAAGGATAAGGAGCAACAGAAGGACTCACCTGTGTTTTGCCGCTTCTTTCACTTCAGGAGGTGAGGCATTTTGGGAAAAGTTCAGATAATCTGGGCATACTTGTTATGCTAGATCATCTGGCATACTTTTGTTACTCTTTTATCAACAGTAAATCTAGAAGTAAAAAGGTGGTAGATGTTGCATTTATAATCTCTAGGTTGGAGAATCTAGATCTTATTGCATGTTACTTTTCATTCTTATTTTTGATTTTTTTTAAAGTAACAAAGCTTAAAAATATAAACTTCTATTTCAAAAAGTAACAGTCATTATAGAAAAATGTCGAAGGTTCTGAAAAACCACTACAAATAACTACTGTTAACTTTTCAGTGCACTGTATGATCATAAAATGTATACCTAGTTGGTATACCTAGTTGGTATATTGCACACCCTGTTTTGAATCTTACTTTCCCATTACATAGTAGGAACCTCTTGATCATAACCTTTTTCTTTAAATACTTTTGAATTTCTGTGTAAGAGCACATTATAGTAATGTTTGATAATTTATTTCACCAATTCCCTTGTTGGTATTAAGATTATTTTGTATTTTTTGTGACTGGAAGTAATGCAGAAATGATCTTCTTGTCCATGTCCCTGATTATTTGCTTTGGGAGGATTACTAGAAGTGGCATTTCTGGGTCAGAAGGTGTGTGTGTTTTAAGGCTTTGATACACCTGTTCTGCCAAGTTATCCTACAGGAAGGTCGCACCTGTGTCCTTGACAACTGCAGGGTTTGAGCATGCTCCCATGGTCTCTGTACCATTGCCAGCAGGGAGAGGCATACCTTTTTAAAAAATCTTTTCCAATTTTATAGGCAAAATTTTCATATATATATATGTGTGTGTGTGTATGTATATGTGAATATATGTGTGTATATATATGTGTATATATGTGTGTATATATGTATATATGTGTGTATGTGTATATATGTGTATATGTGTATGTGTGTATATATGTATATATGTGTGTGTGTATATGTGTATATATGTATATATATGTGTGTATATATATATATTTTCAAAATCATTTTCTTTAAATTCTTCTATCCTGAGTGAAGAAAAAAGCAGCCCTATCTTTTTTGTTCATATAGAAATGAACAGTGTTGGTATAGTTGAACTTGAGATATAATTCACTTTCTCAGAAATCTAGGTACTTTCAGGTTGGACTAACTCTAATCATAAACAGAAGAGTTGATTTCAATTCCTATTCTCCTCCTCCCTTTTCATTTTATCTAAGTTAAAAGATTGCTGATGAGCTGAATTAAATGCACAGGGAATTTAGATCATTATATCTGTGCTCGTAACTTTCAGATTCAGGCTTATTTAACGAAGTAAGAGTTTTTTAGGTACTAGTTTGCCCCATTCATCCCTTTGTAAATTGCAAAAGCACGTCATAAAGCATGTGGGTAGCATTTAGAGCTGTAATACTGTTAACGTATGTTAACATATGCATATATTAATATATTCTGAATAACGCCTGGCCCAGAATAAGCTGTTAGTAGAGGGTAACTCTGTTTCCCTTCCTCTCGAGAATTTTCTTCTTAAACAGTGTGTTACAATGCATATTCATTTGTATGTGTATGAATTTTGAAGACACTGAAATGGTTATGCTTTGTACAGGTCTTTGTGTTTCTATTCACTTGATTTCATGTTGTTATGGCTCCTCTGCTATGAAAAATATAACTAGATTGGATGAGAGAGTGGTTTAAGTTGCAAAGGCATTTTAGGGAAGGGATAATTTTTTTTTCTTTCTTTTGTTCTTTGTAATATGATTAGAGCTTTTTTTTTTAACCCACTACATTTTTGTAACAGTCTAGAAGTCATTGACTTTATGACTTAGCTGTTTTTTTCATTTTTGACTTCTTTAAAGGGGAAAGTACCTTTGCCTAATGCTGCGTAGTAGAAGCCAGTGTAGTAGAAACCAGAAGAAACTCATATCTTGGTAAAAGAATATCATAATTTAACTTTTTTCCTGATGTTTAGAGTGAAGATTGAGGCTGTCATTAGCCTCCTCATCAAGTTTGTATCTCATTAAACTCTTCTGCAAATAAAATAGGAGTAGGGGTAGGGTCTCAGTGGTAAGGCTCAGCTGCTAGGTCCTATTGCCATTACCTCCCACTTTGAAATGCTTTCAAATTTATTTTTTTGTGTTATGACTATCTCTAATTTGGGCCATCTTAAAAAATTAAAAACTTTCATCTCTCATTTTGACTGCTTGAAATAATTTGCGTGTGTTAGGTAACAGTGTCTTGTCCTTCCAGTTTATTCTACACTCTTTTGGACAAATGGTTTTTCTAAAACACAACTTTGCATGTGTCTCACATGATGACTTTTGATAGCTGCCCACTGCCTAGCAAAGTCAAGGTCCCCAATGAAATACTGAAGGCTTTCAGCAGTTGACCCCAACTTACCTCTGCAAGTTCTTCCTGATTCTTACCTATTTGAATAAACCCTTTAGTCTAATTAGTCTATTGCCACCCTGTTCACCTCTAGTTTTCTTGCTTTTATATGAAGTACTGTCTCTTGGACATACCTTCTTTACCTAATTGTCTACCTTTTCTTGCCAAAGCAAGCTCAATTACTCTCTTTATTATGAAGTCCTTGTCGTATTGGCCCACAAAACTCATAGTCAGCAGTCAGCACTTCCTCCTCTGCTCTTATAAGAATTAATGACTGTTAGGATATCTGTTACAGGCTACTTCATTGTGTTTTATATCTATTTCTTATGTCTCCTACTAGAAATATTTGTTTGTATGTATGTATGCATGTATGTATTTACTTATTTATGTTTAGAGACAGAATCTTGCTCTGCTGCCCAGGCTGGAGTGCATTGGCACGATCATAGCTCACTGTGTAACCTCAAACTCCTGTGCTCAAGTGATCCTCCCATCTCAGCTTCCCAGGTAGCTAGGACTACAGGCTTGTGCTACCATGCCTGGCTAATTAGAAAAATTTTTTTTTGTAGAGACAGGGTCTTGTTGTGTTCTCTGGGCTGGTCTCAAACTGAATCTGTCTCAGCCTCCCAAAGTGCTGTGATTACAGTGAGCCATTGTGCCTAGACAGAATACTGTACTTTTAGGCTGGGTATGGTGGTTCATGTTTGTAATCGAAGCACTTCAGGAGACCAAGGTGGGAGGATCGCTTGAGCCCAGGAGTTTGACAGCAGCTTGGGCAACAGGGCAAAACCCTGTCTCTACAAAAAATAGAAAAAGAAAATTAGCTGGGCGTGGTGGCACATGCCTGCCTTCCCAGCCACTTGAGAGGCTAAGGTGGGAGGATTGCTGAAGTCTGGGAGTGGGGGTTGCCATGAGCCGTAATCATACCACTGTACTCCAGCCTGGGCATTGGAGTGAGAGCCTGTCTCAAAAAGAAAAAGAAAAATTTTGTGTTTCAAAAATTTAAAACTAATACATAGCTTATGAAAAGAACATTCAAGTGTTATACAGTATTGAAGGCAGATAATGAACAAATGTTCTGCCCTTTGTTCCACTTCTTAGGTTCTGAGGCCCATTTTAATGCTTCCCTCTTTCCAGAAGCTTGGACGGTAACGTGCAGCTGGAATTTATATAGGCACCAAGTACCTCACAGACCAGTGTGGTCATTGCTTCAGTGACTATCTAGGGGTTACCCTTCTTTAGCTGAGCTTTTTTCTTGAAGCAGTAGTTGTATTTAAATCTGATCAGATTATTTATCACCTTCTGTTTGTTAACGACTTAACTTCTGTAGTAACTTGTGATTTTCCTTGCTCTTAAGTGTCAAGTCCAGCAAGTTGAACAACTATCCCTGGAGGCAGTATGATTATATTGGTTTGAGTGCAAAATATACCTCTCTCCCCTTCTCCTCCCTCCTCTTTCCCCTGTCTAGCTTGTCTTTTGGGGAAAAAGTGTTTTTAATCTTCCTACTGACATTGCCAAATAATCATTGGCTGTGATTAGCCATGGAGATTACAGAAAACTAGGAAGGACTTTGTTGATTTAAATAGTAATTACAAGTTGTGGATGGGCACGGTGGCTCATGCCTGTAGTCCCAGCACTTTGGGAGGCTGAGGCAGGCGTATCACCTGAGGTCAGGAGTTCAAGACCAGCCTGGCCAACATAGCGAAACCCCATTTCTACTAAAAATACAAAAATTAGGCGGGAGTGGTGGCAGGCGCCTGTAATCCCAGCTACGGGGGAAGCTGAGGCAGGGAGAGTTGCTTGAATTTGGGAGGCAGAGGTTGCAGTGAGCCGAGATGGCACCACTGCACTCCAGCCTGGGTGACAGAGCGAGACTCCATCCCAAAAAAAAAAAAAAAGTAATTACAAGTTGTAAATAAGTTGTGTGTGTGTGTGTGTGTGTGTGTGTGTGTGTGTGTGTGTACATTACATCTTTTTTTCCCCTGCTTCCCCTAGGTTACAATTCAACAAACATGGTGTGTTGCGGGTAGAAGGCTTCTTAACACCAAACAAGTATGACAATGAAGCAATTGGCTTGTGGTTACCTTTAACCAAAAACGTTGTGGGGATTGATTTGGACACAGCAAAGTACATCTTGGCCAACATTGGAGACCACTTCTGTCAAATGGTGATTTCTGAAAAGGAAGCTATGTCAACTATTGAGCCACACAGTAAGAGCATCTCTTAGGGGGTAGGATTTTCGAGCCCAATTTGATTTTTGTTCCTAAGTGACACCTAAGTCCTAATTGCTTGGGTTTTTTTTCACCCAGAAGTTTAGATAACTTTGGTATAATGAGGTTGCATTTTTCCTTTTGCAACAGGTTTGATCAGAGTTAGCCACCTATCTTTGGGGTTTATTTTGGGCCAATTAACAGAGGAGTGGAACTCCTTTTTTGTTAGGAAAGGTGAAGTGAGGGTGGAATTTGCACAGCCTCACCAGCAGTGCAGGCACACTAAAAGGGGATGAGGTCTCAGATTGGTTTATTTTAAAACAAAGGTTCTTAATCATGAATACATTTCGAGGAAAATAAGAATGGGAAGGCTGACTCTCAGACCTACCGAGTTAGAGTCTGCAGGGCTGGGTCCCAGACTTGAGAATGAGAACAGGTTCAGAATGGAAATGATTGTTAGAGTCAAGGTTTGAAGGGAATACTTGGAGGTTCTAGATGTGCATGTGCTTGTGTCTTCCCCTCTTTGGGAGCACTGTTACACTGATCTGGCAGCCATTAAGCCACAGGAATCAGGGTAGGTGGCACATTAGAGCCAGACCTCCTTCATGACATCTCAAGCTAGGATGTTTGGAGGACGGTGCAGCGTCTTCCTATCCATGTCCCTCTGTGGAAATGAGTTATCCAGCCAGAAGCACCATGGGGCATCTGTCTTGTAAGCCTCATATTTTCTTCCATCATTTTATCTTTACCAGTGGTTGAAGTTAAAAGTGAAGCCTTTCTATTCCTCTGGTGTGTCTCTTTTTAGACTTTGCTTAACCAAGTATGTTTGAATACAAGCATCCATGCCAGTCTTAAGAATTTTGATTTATTACCAGCAACTAACAACCTAGCTTAAGCACAAAAATAACTTATTGAATATATGTGGATACTGTCTCAGAGTCCAAGGAACAGGACTAGGTCATTCCCAGCTCTAGGAATCCAGAGCTGCCTGGGAGAAAGGGAATTGCGAGTGCCTGGGACAACCAGAGCTATTCTTTAGAATTACTTCATTCTGCTGGGGTAGTGGAGACTCTAAGTCAAGAGTCTTATTATACTTTTCCCCCTGTAGTCTGTTTAAGACAAGCAATATTAGTTTTCCATTTTCAATAGAGATACAAAGTTTCTTTATTAAATATATTTAAGTAAAAGTAGTAGATTGAAAGAAAAATTCCTAAGTAACTGGTCTGGCAGTGGTACATACATGACTGCAATGTGGAAACACTTTTTTGGAATGTATTAGTGGCTTTGCTCCTGAATCAGCAGAGCTGTTTTAAGCAAGTGATGGCTTTTTCTTTGATAAAGATGAGTCATCTAAAAAATGTTTTTTTCATATAGAAAAAGGCACAGTTATCTTTTACAGCATAATTAAGAAACTCTCCTTGAAGATTTAAATGGGATTAACCTCTCCTCCTTGCCTTTTTGATTATCCTGTTGCTCTTTCTTTTCTCTGTGACAAGCTGGTCAGACTGGAGAGAGAAACTCACTGTGAGTGATACTGAAATATGCCACCATACCCAGAAGAGTTTACCTCTGATCCTGAGATTAGGGAGCAGATCTCGACTATTACTACTTTTATTCTGTCCTTTCAGTGACAAATAATCATTAAACAGGTGGCTAAGAGATCTAAGAGTACTTTCTGATGAAACAGTCTAATCCAGGTGTCCAAGATGAAGTTCATAAAATCTCATTTGTAAGATGCCTAAAGCTATATGAATTGTGCCCTGTGCAATACATTATAATGTAATGGCAGAAGTTCATTCAGCAGTTGGATTGATTTTGTATAAACTAAAGCTTGGTCATTTGGGTTGTGTTCAGTCTGAAGAAGGAATGAGTTAACCCCAAACTGGATTAGGAAAAAGATGTTCTCCATAGAACAGGAGTGCAGCAGCTTTGATCCAGTGTTGTTCAGGAGAGAGAGAGACTGACTGCCAGGAGTCTCCTAGTCAGGAGACCTTGGGCTTTTCTGTGACCCACAGAAATGTCCTCCCTTTGCTCATACTTCTGAAAGCTTGCTGATAACCTGGTTTGGTTCCCTGATTTGGCACTCCTCCATCTAGGGGAAGGGTTCAATGGCCCATCCAGTTTTGGAAGGCCTCTCCCTCCAGTTATTAGGTCTTGGCCACTGGAACAGAAAATGCTGCTTTGTGGAATCCCCGGTCGTGCCTTAATCTGCTGGATGTTTGGTTAGTGTGAGTTAGTCCTGGGTGCCTGCATCATTCCTGGCACTGGCTAAATCGAATTTCTGACTGACTGGTGAAGAAACTGATCTTGGACCATTGTGCCTGCACAAAGTTAATGTGCAACTCCCTCCAGGCCCCCTGAGAACCTTGGAGTTTTTAATGGGCAGTCTGAGTGGATGTAGGGTATCTGAATAACCTGATACTCAGTGCAGATTACTGGGTTTGTGGATCTGAGTAAATTTTTCTTTTTTCCTTTGGAGAAAGCCTGGAACATGCTGCCTTTAAATTCTGAAAGGGACTCATGACTCAGAGGTTAAGAACCACTGTTGTGTGATAACCTGTGTCTGAGCTCCAACTTGTGTAACTACTGCTGCACAGTCTGAATAGGGATTCTGCTTGGAGTTCATTCTCCTAGAGGGAGGTGAGACTGTGCCTGAATACATAAAGTGAGAAGAGGCATGAATCTGAAGTACAAATTCAAGTTACTAGGAGTGCTGAGGGGATCCAGGAACACTTCATGGGGTGGAGGACAGCATTTGCAATGAAGCCTGAACAAAGTTAATTTGAAGTCTAGTCACAGGGAGGAATGACAATAACCCCTACCTTTCGTTTTTGGTTTCAGAAGCCCTCTCCTTCCAAAGACTAAGTGATTTACTGATTTTTGCAGGACAGGTTGCTTGGAAGCGAGCTGTCAAAGGTGTTCGAGAAATGTGTGATGTGTGCGACACCACCATCTTCAACCTGCACTGGGTGTGTCCTCGGTGTGGGTTTGGAGTATGTGTGGACTGCTACCGGATGAAGAGAAAGAATTGCCAACAGGGTGAGAACCGATTTGATTCTCCTCCAGCCCCTCTACACAGTTAAATCAAGTGTTTTTGTTGATTTGTGTTTGGCGGGTTTCTTGAAGCATGTGGAGACAGAGTCTGTAAAGAACAGTTACTACAAATCAGTTATTTGCAGGTGCTGCTTACAAGACTTTCTCTTGGCTAAAATGTGTGAAGAGTCAGATACATGAACCAGAGAACTTAATGCCCACACAGATCATTCCTGGAAAAGGTATTTCATGTGCTGCAGTGATTTTCTTTCCCCTTGTCTTGGTTAACTCATGGGAGCTGGTAGTTTTGTTTTCCTTTATTACTCGTTAAGTTTATTTTAGTGTGTATTGTAAGTTGTCCAGAAATATATTAGATAATTCCTCCAACACTTTTCGAGTCAAGTTTTGTGGGATAGTTTTGTAGTAGAAAAGAAAATGCATTTTGGGGAAGGCCTCTGGAGCAGGATGAAAAGGAGGGAGTGGGAAAAGTAATCCTGTGGGGAATGCCAGCTTCTGCTCTGTAATGTTGAGGTTGAAAGTTCCTAATATCCTTGTTCAGATGTTTGCCTCTGCCCTTTCTTTAGCACTCTATGATGTTGGAGACATTGTTCATTCTGTAAGAGCGAAATGGGGAATAAAGGCAAACTGCCCTTGTTCAAACAGGCAATTCAAACTCTTTTCAAAGCCAGCCTCAAAGGAAGACCTAAAACAGGTATTTACTGCTTATGTTAAATTCAACATCTCTTGTAATTGTCATTTGTCTGTTTTTCAAATAACCCAAGGATTTCTATCAGTGCATTTGAAAGGAACCTGGGGATAGCTATCAAGTGGAAAGAGAGAGAGAAAGAATTCATACAGTTCATGTGACAGTTCAGAGACCCGTTCTGACTTTTCACATTACTTTCGTAGACTCTACTGTGGCCTCTTGTAGTAGGTTTTACATTTTTGTTTCTTGAAGAAGCACAAAGTTCTAAAGTAGTCTACCTAATAAGTAGCTGTCGAATTTGTAAAGGGTTTAAAAAAATTTTTTGTGTATTTTGCAGAATTAAAATTATTAAGATAAGCTTTAACATTTTTAAAATTACTAAATATATTTTGCCTGTGTTTATGCAGAGTTGAAGGAAATGATGAAATGAACCTTTAGTTGCCCATCACACAATGTAAAAAATGTTAATTTTCTCAGTCCTCATATGTCTCTCCTTGGTGGCATCCCTCTCCTCCCCACCATCACATGTACGTCTTGCTGTCCCTTCTCCCCCTCGTTCCAGTAATCAGTATGCCGCATTGTGTTTAATAATCAGAAATTTACATTTCTATAAAGCTGTGGTGTCATAAGGCAGGATGGGAGAGCAGAAGACTTGTAATATTTGGAGTCAGAACTGAATTTGAGTTCTTTTCCTTCCACGTGCTAGTTGTGTTACTTTGGCTGAAGTGAGCTGGTTTCTATGTGCTTCAGCTTCCTCATCAGTAATATAGAAATAAGAAGCAATATTGATGATTGGGCATCACAGAATTACATCACATGTAAAGAGAGGGCCTGGACCACAACAGGGGTTTGAATATTTTTTTTCCTCCTTCTTATGTATGTATAAACTCACTCTTGCCAGTTTTTAAAATTATTTTCTTCTACAGCAGTCATCTTAGATTTAATTTATGGGTTCTTTTAAGAGCTCATCACATTTTTAAAGCTAAGTCAAAATAGCATTTTCTCTTTCTCTGCATCCCATTTCCTTCTGAAATCACCGCTTTACCTTTCCTGCCTGCGTCATTTATTCGTTTTTAACCATGTTTTCTGTGCCTATCCTGAATTCTGGGATGAGTTCATAGGGGAGACAGGCACAAACTGGTCATTTTAAACCAGCATGGTACATAGAGTAATAGGGATATGTACCAGCAGGGGCTGGTGAAAGGGTGCGGGGGGTAATACCTTGCTGTGTTTAAGTTGCTGACATCTCTCCTACCTTTTAGTTATTCTCTACTAGTGCGGGATTACTGCAGCTGTGGGGATACCCAGGGCTAACTATTAGGTGGTTTTGTTCTGGATATTTATCTTACTTGTTGGTCGGCTATTAGGAGAGAAGAAAAGAAAAGGAAGCTGTCATTCTTCAGCTTATGTAAAATCGTCCTTTAATGCTTAACACAGACTTCTTTAGCTGGAGAAAAACCGACTCTTGGTGCAGTGCTCCAGCAGAATCCCTCAGTGTTGGAGCCAGCAGCTGTGGGTGGGGAAGCAGCCTCCAAGCCAGCCGGCAGCATGAAGCCTGCCTGTCCAGCCAGCACATCTCCTCTAAACTGGCTGGCCGACCTAACCAGCGGGAATGTCAACAAGGAAAACAAGGGTGAGTGTTTCCTGCTTTTGTGTTTGTTCTTGAGTATTTTAGTCCATTCGTGGAAGGACTTGAGAGAACAGTGGTTAGAAGTCGTGTGGAATGGAAAGTGCTTCTCTGGAGTCATCCTGGAACCTGCCACAAATGAAAGTGTTTTTGAAATGCAGCACCAAAGAGGAGAAATTTTGCTGCATTAAAATTTAGGGACTTCCACCTTCTGGCTGTGTTACAGAAGAGAAGAATTGCAGGCCACTTCTTTCATGCAAAGATCTGGAGCAAAATTTTAATGAATCAAATTTGACACTGTAAATGAAGGAATATTTGAATGTTAGACTACATCTGAATTTCTGGAAAAACCTTTATATAGCTTTAAAAATGTGATAAGGAGCTCTTAAAAGAACTCATAAATTAAGTCTAAGATGACTGTTGTAGAAAAAAATAATTTGAAAAGCTGGCAAGAGCACAGCTGGTGAGTTTATACATACCTTAGAAAGAGGAAAAGGAATATTCAAACTCCTGTTGTGGTCCAGGCCCTCTCTTTACATGTGATGTAATTCTGTGATGCCCAATCATCAATACTGCTCATTATTTCTGTATTACTGATGAGGAAGCTGAAGCATATAGAAACCAGCTCATTTGAGCCGAAGTAAGACAATTAGCAAGTGGCCGGAAAAGAATTCAAGTTTTTCAAGGTTTTTCCAGAAATGAAGATACAGTCTGACATTCAAAAATGTAGAAGAATCATGGGACAAGATGCAGGAAAACATTAAGTAAAATTCAGTACCTGTTAATGATTTACAAAAAACTTCTTAAATTAAGAACATTCTTAATCAAGAGTTTAAACCAAAAAACAAGACTGGAGACATCATAAATAGTCGTTGAATTTTTTTAAAAATTTGTTTTGAGTTTTTTTGAGACGGAATCTTGCTCTGTCCAGCCAGGCTGGAGTGCAGTGGCATGATCTTGGCTCACTGCAACACTGCACTCTGCCTCCCAGGTTCAAGCCATTGTCCTGCCTCAGCCTCCTAAATAGCTAGGATTATAGACGCCTGCCACCACGCCCTGCTAACATTTGTATTTTTAGTAGAAGTGGGGTTTTGCCATGTTGGCCAAGCTGGTCTTTGAGGTTTTTGTTTGTTTGGTTTTGTTTTTTTTTTTTTAAACAGTTTCTGTGTTCAAGAACAAGACAAAGGATATCTGTTTTCACTCTTTATTAAGCATTGTACTGGAAGTCCTGGTCAGTGCATTCAGGGAAAAAAAATGTGTAAAGAGAATGCTGCCAATATTTGTAGACAGTACATGCAAAAAATCCAAAAGAATCTACATTTACTAAACATTTGTCAGGGTTGCTAGATACAAAGGTCAATTTACAAAATTCCATTGTACTGGATAGTTATTGTTTTTAACATCAGTGAGGAATCGTCTAAGTAAATCATATCATTCATACTTACTCCCTAAAGTATTTTTTTTGTTTCAGTAAATAGAAAGCAAGTTCTAAAGTAATTCTGCTAGTAGAATACTAATAAGGGATTTGCCTTTCAGAATGTTTTTTCATCTGGATGTTTTGGTTTTATTTTAGAAAAACAACCAACAATGCCAATTTTAAAGAATGAAATCAAATGCCTTCCACCCCTCCCACCTTTAAGCAAATCCAGCACAGTCCTCCATACGTTTAACAGCACAATTTTGACACCCGTAAGCAACAACAATTCTGGTTTCCTCCGGAATCTCTTGAATTCTTCTACAGGAAAGGTATGTGTTTGTTTGTTGGTATTCCATGTTTTAAAGTTGAAGACAGAACAGGAAGAGAGTAGAGAAGTTGGAACTGAAAGTAGAAAGGAGACTGAATCACATACTTACCTTTGTGGGTTCAGAAGGCTGAGTCACTGGAGGATGGGTTTTATGGGACTATAGTTCTGAGCTGGGCCACTTTCTCCTGTTACCTCACTTCTATGAGTTGTCAAGTGGGGACAGGGGACGTACCTTTTTGCCTGGGGGTCCTGGCTTGGAATCTTCTGGATATGTAATCTATACTCATTATGGGAATGGAGTTTCTTGATGGTAAGGGAATGACATATTTGAGACTTTTGTTCTTTCTCCAATTCAGACAGAAAATGGACTCAAGAATACACCAAAAATCCTTGATGACATCTTTGCCTCTTTGGTGCAAAATAAGACGACTTCTGATTTATCTAAGAGGCCTCAAGGACTAACCATCAAGCCCAGCATTCTGGGCTTTGACACTCCTCACTATTGGCTTTGTGATAATCGCTTGCTGTGCTTGCAAGACCCCAACAATAAGAGCAACTGGAATGTGTTTAGGGAGTGCTGGAAACAAGGGCAGGTAATGTAGGCCTCCCATCCTCCTGCCCTATTCAGAACCCCCTTCTCAGTTCCTTTAGCAGACTTCTGACAACCCCACCCCAGGCTTTCCCCCTCCTTCACCTCCTGTTTTATTCTTTATTGTTTCAGGTGAATATAATCAGGTCAGGATGTGGCCATGGGTCTTACTTTTTAAAGCAGATGGTCCTAAGCTGGACTTTTCCAGTCAGGTTTTTGTTGCTTCCTACCAGTCCCTGTTGGGTTTTTGACGAGGGCATCCAGGCTTGGTGATTCCTATGGTAAACTTCAGCAGAGGAAGTGAGGGTGTGACTACAGGCTGATGGGATTTGGGAGATCAGACAAAATGTGCTACAAAATCATGCACCCCTCTTACCTGAATGAAAAGCCTGTGCTGAAGGCAGTTCTAGGTGGGCTAGGGCCGCGTGGTGTCACATAGTCCCCAGGTGCCTGCTTCAAAGGGCAGTGTTGTTGGATCTTAAGTGCCGGTTAATATCTTTAGGAGAATTTCTAGGCCTGCTTCTGTGCTTTCTTGTTTTGGTTCTGTTTTCTGGATCTCTGGCTTCTCTGTTTGGCCAGATAGGGTCTTTGCTAAAGGAACACTCTGCTCTTGGACAAGAATTTGGGAGAATTGCCAAACAGAAAGATGTGAGTGTTTAACCAAAAATAAATTTCCAAAATGTTTTTCTCCATCCAGTGTACTAATAGGATTTGCTCATTTAATCATATATAGACAAGAAACAAAATGATGGGCTGAATACAGTTTATCGGCAGGCTTTCTTTCTTGCTTGTCAATATTTTAATGTTAGACTATTTCACATAAAGGTTAGAGCTTCTGGGTTGTCTTAGACGGCCAAAAGATTTGGCACCCTCACACAGCCAGTAGTAGTGAGGGGTGTCACAGGCCATATTCCTGCTTGGCAATAACAGGCTCAAGTACGGTGGGGTCAGTCACCCTGTTTCACTGGTGACTGGTGTCACTGGACACTCCTTCCAGCGCTTGTCTTCTTCACAGTCCGTCTTGCTGTAAGTAATGAGATCTTACTAGGAGAGGTGATCCTTTCTCCTAGATGCTTACCCATGTAGTTTGAGAGCAAGGGTGTGTAGCAGATGAATGGTGAAGGTTGGAGGTGCTTTGGGAGCTCAGAGAACTAAGCCGAAACTGTCACATCACCATCTGAGACGGAGCACCAGCTCCATGGAAATATACCAATAGCAGTGTGAAGAGGGACTGCCTTCGGGAGTGGGGACAGAGCTGGCAGAGTTCAGACTAAAGTTTTCCTTCTCTTCATTTAGCCAGTGATGGTGTCTGGAGTGCATCATAAATTGAACTCTGAACTTTGGAAACCTGAATCCTTCAGGAAAGAGTTTGGTGAGCAGGAAGTAGACCTAGTTAATTGTAGGACCAATGAAATCATCACAGGAGCCACAGTAGGAGACTTCTGGGATGGATTTGAAGATGTTCCAAGTATGTATGAAAGATCTTTTAAGGGGGTTGGGGATGTGAAAGGAGGGGACACAGGAATGGCAGGAGTCTGAGACCCATCAGTGGCAGCCGCAGCATTTTCCAGGATTTTGGAGTTTAAAATTAACGTCTCTCCTCCCCTTCCTTGTTACAATGTTTATGCTTTTAAACACTGAGGCATTATTACCTGTTCTGTTGGTCTTTGTTGTCCCTGGACAGAACATCAGATAGGGTCAGTCTCTCTCTCTGAGCAGAATAAGTAATTTCTGTTGCATGCTGGCCTCAGAAAAATGGGTTTACTAAACACCTGTGACCCTTGATGGTTGACGTGCATTGCTGTTGGTTAGTTGGGATGCTGCTCACTTCTTCTGGAACACTGTAGAGGAGGAGCAGATTGGATCGATGACAGCTGTTGAAATACCACCTACATGCAGTGGGCAAAAGGGAGCGGCTGAATCTCCCAAGAATGAGTAGCAGCTTAATAAGCTTCTAGGAAAGACAAGGCCCTGACACAGATCCATTAGTTGGTGATCTTTATTTTGCTGCACCTTGCTGCCTCCTGGGTACAAATGGATTTTTTTACACTGCAGAAATAAAATGGTGGATAGTTGGTAGGAGGGGAAAATTAAGGAAAAGTAATATTTGTATACTAAATTTATCAGGTTATGAAAATTTTGCAGAGACATATTTTATTTGTATTGTTGAGGCATAAAATGCTAATTTGTCATTTATTTTGGTCTGTTTCTGAATTATAAATAGTAATAGTTCATTCTGTTTACCTTTCAGATCGTTTGAAAAATGAAAAAGAACCAATGGTGTTGAAACTTAAGGACTGGCCACCAGGAGAAGATTTTAGAGATATGATGCCTTCCAGGTATGATTATGAAGGTGGGGAGAGATGATTCTGTCCTTCACTTGGTAGGATAAATTCTTTTTTGAGGTAGTGAGAAAACAGTTTTCAAGAAAATAACAAAAGTTCTGTAATTATACTGCCACTGATTTTTCATTTCTAGTCTGTAGTCATTGGAGGCATGTTTATTTTTAGATGAGATGAAGAAGTGATTGGCTTTTAGGCCTGGCTGACTAATGGAACACCACAGATTTTCCATGGTAGGCCCTGCTAGAGAAGAGGCTCACTTTTTCTTACAAGGCTGATTTGGAGGCAGTTGTGGAATCTGACCTGTCAGGGTCAGGACAATGTAGTCACAGCACTGAGTTAGACAAGAAGACATCTACTGGGTAGATCTATTTTCCTGACTGAGCTTGAAACTTTGAAAAGGGTGTCACAACTAATCAATGATATATCTCTAAGAATAACTTTTTGTCTAGAATTTATTGCTGAGATCTTTTGTCTGAACGGTTACAGCTGATTTTGACACATTGGTGTGTTGTAGGAGAGAGAGAAGACATCTTTGTAACTGCTGTACTTCTCATCTTAAATATTTGATGGCTGTCAGTCTGCATGATCACAGATGGATTTGTTCCTTTTGGTGTAGAAGGAACAAAACAGGTTACACAATAATGAATTAGAAAAGCAATCTAACTTTGCAAATTCCTGGTTCTGTTGTTCTAGGTTTGATGATCTGATGGCCAACATTCCACTGCCCGAGTACACAAGGCGAGATGGCAAACTGAATTTGGCCTCTAGGCTGCCAAACTACTTTGTTCGGCCAGATCTGGGCCCCAAGATGTATAATGCTTATGGTAAGGAGGAGATGGCTAACTTTAAAATGGAAATAAAACAATTCAAAATGTTTGGAAAATTGATTTTGTGGGAGGGAGAGGTGGAAAACACCCATAATCCTAATGCGTAATACAGCCACAGCTTTCATTTTTACATATTTCCTTTCGTTCCCTGGCCACATGTTTGTGTGTTTCTTTTCATAGTTGCAGTTGTAGGGCATATGCAATTTTGTGTTTTTCCCTTTACTGTACCTAATTTTACATTGTAAAATCTTTACATGTTACTTAATAGTCTTTAGATGACTTTTAATGGTGTGTGATACATCATTGAGAGAATGTACTTTTATTAGTGATTTCAGTGTTCGGACATTTAGGTCAATCTGCTGGCATTCTAGCTGTCTTAACATCTGCTACAATTAAATGCAGTGTTCTGTGTTGTTGAGTAGAAGTTAGTTACTTAGGATTCAAAGTACCCTTTGAGTTGGACTTTTATTCTTTTGACATGACTCAATACTCACTGTCTAACAAGGAGGATGCCTGGGATAAAGATTGGTTTCTCCATTTACCAGAGCTTTCTTTCATCATCATTATAACTGAGATCTTCGTCAGTTTTACACATGGCCTTTAATTAGGGCTGGATTCGAGTTGGCCATTTTGAAGGAAGTATGTATTGTTGAATGCAGTTCTAGTTGTTTGAATATTTCAGTGAATTTTATTTACTCATTTTTACTATTTGGCCCCTACTTTTCCAGTCCTCCTGGAAATTACTTATTTCTTCCTGCCATAATTACTTCCATGTCATTTTCCATTTCTAGCCTTAGACCTGTGGGTGTCTTTCTCAAAAAGGACAAGGTCTGTTGTTGTCTTCGCTATGTTCTCCAAAGACTGTTGGGGGAGGGAAGGGAAGGAGGGGCAAGGACTCCAGCCCCACAATTCTGTTACGGTTGAGTCAGCTCAGGGAACCACTAGGAGTGTAGTTGGGGACTGTTGTGACAGGGGAGTGTTTTTGTGTGCAAGCTCCCAGCAGTCTCCATGCCCAAGATAGTTCTGCCAGGGTAGGGGTACCAGAGAAATTGTGTGTGGGTGAGAAGACCCGGTGGGCACAAGGCCTCTTGCCTGTTCCTCACTTCTCAGGTCTCTGTTGGTGAGTCCTCCATGTGCTGTGGGTCTGCAGTGTGCTCTCTCGAGGTCCTGTCCCTCGAGCCCCTCAGAGACTGATTAAAGCAGCTGCATGGTTGGGATCTTGGGCAAACTTAAGTATATAAGAGCATTTTTCCAATAAATTGTATAGTTTATCCATGCTTTATAGAAATCCTGAAGCTTTAAAGGTGGGTATCTGAGAAATTTTCAAAAGAATTGCTTGCGTGGTTTAACTAGCTTGGCAGCGGGTCTTTCCCCCTAGACACTAATAGATGGCAGTGTTACTCTATAAAAGCTTTTCCTATGACAAAATGGTTCCCATCCAGAAGCAAGCATTCAGAAGGATGAAAATAATGATGTGTTCATTTTCAAACACCTTATATCTTATTGTAAACATCATTAAAGAGTGGTCTTTTCAAAGGTTGTGTGATTGAGCTGTGACTCTTCCATGAGAGTAAGTGCAAAGGCTCTTTGGAGAGATCATATAATCCAGCCTCTCTTCAGTTCCTGCAACACCCCCCATTTTGCAAATGAGGACCAGGACTTGCGGACAGTAGAAGGGGCATTGACTTGTTCAGGATCTCCAAGGGGCAGCTAGTGGCAGGTCTGAAACTAGTACTTAGATCTCCTGATTTCCAAGCTAGAGCCCATTTCCCTACTCTTCCCCCACTCTTAACTCCCCATCACCCAACAGCCCCTACTGTTTCAGCTTTTTTTCCCCCTTAAAAGTCCATGGTGTTTTGTTTCAGGATGTTTTGTTGTCTAGCACTCCTTTCCCTTTGACCATTATGTTTTTACAATTTTGGTTTCATCTCAGTTTACCATGGTTTAGAGTCTGGTTTTATCAATGTACAGTTACCCATGACTGGGATCCAGTGGACTTTGGGCCAGTGGCTGGGCAGCAGTTATTTCCTTGCTCGTTTTGCACTGTGGCACTGGCTGGATCAGCAGGCAGCCAGTCCTGCTGAGGCTTTGCCTCCTAGTCTCCTTTCCTTACTTTTCTTGCCAGCTCCATCCTCTTCCTATTGCCCTTAGTCTAACCACCATCTTCAAGTTTGTGTTTATCGTTTGCTTATATTTACAATTTTAACATATATATTTGTATTCCTGCACAATATTCTTTCAGTTTTTAGCCTGCTTTTGAACTTCATATAAATAGAATCAGATTTTTTATATTCATCCATGCTGTCATATATCATCCATGTGTTCATTTCATTCATTTTATTTCTATTACATTAATTGCTTTTTTCTGAAATTTTGCTTTTTACTATGGAACTATTTTTCAAATACAGTGAAAACTTGAGAGTCTGGTAGTGACTCCATATAACTCATCACCCAGTTATATAACAGCTTTTAACTTTTTGCCATAATCGTTTCATTGTCTTCTCTCTTTATGTTTTTTCATCATCCTCTCAACTATCCTATGATTTCACCCTAATACCAAACGCTTTACCTACTCCCAGGACTGATATTTCAGCAAGCTGGAAAGAAAGGAAAGTACAACAGGGCTCTGGGGGCCCTGGTCCCAAGCTGGAGTGAAGAAATGTGCCCTCTCAAAAGTATAGCCCCTCTAAAACCAAAGCCCCAGGCAAGCCAGAGATAAAGCCTTCCTCCAAAACAGTATTATGGGGCGTTTTCAGAGGCTGGCAGGTTAGAAAACAGCCGCTGCTTGCTCACTACAAGCTGTGCTTCTCCCTACTGCCCAGTCTAAGAAGCAGAGTCCTGGTGTTACAATGGGTTGCCCAAAGTGACTGCAGGGTAAGCTTCAGGATGATTGTTGAGCAAGGTGAGCTTTCTCCTGTGAGCAAGGAATTAGCCACAGACTGAACACTGTGGGGGACCTGTCTTTCTGGCTCACTCCTCACCCCTCCTCTTTTACAGTTGAGAGAACCAAGGAATGCGTTGGGCAGTATTCCTTCTTATACTCATGATAGCCATTTGACGTTCCAGGTTTATGTGTGTGTGTGGGTGGGTGCTTTCCCTTGGACTCCCCATCTCGAGTGGTCCTTGGGCTTTGTCTCTTGCCCCAGAACTCCTAGGCTGTGGCAACAATCAAAGCCTGAGCTCACTTGATCTAGCAGATGTCCTTTTGGCAAATCCCAGCTTCGGAAGCCTGCTTTAACCACTTCCATTTCCTGCTGTTTTTGGCTTCTGAGTATTCCTTCTTTTCTTGCTAGCACATCGATTGGTTAAAGAATTTTTTTGCAATAATTTGATCCAGAATTTTTATTCTCAGCAGAAGAGTCAATCAGGGACCTACCATCCCCCAGGTAGGTAGTGGAAAGACTGTGGCAGCCTTTGTTGTCTTTTGTAAAACTTAAGGCACTTTGTTTTTGCAGGATTAATCACTCCTGAAGATCGGAAATATGGAACAACAAATCTTCACTTAGATGTATCTGATGCAGCTAATGTCATGGTCTATGTGGGAATTCCCAAAGGACAGTGTGAGCAAGAAGAAGGTAGGGTGCTGAGCATAAAAGGAGGGCTTACTCTTTGAGCCAGGGCTTGTGGTCTGATATCTGCTTTCTCTTCTTGCTCTAGAAGTCCTTAAGACCATCCAAGATGGAGATTCTGACGAACTCACAATAAAGCGATTTATTGAAGGAAAAGAGAAGCCAGGAGCACTGTGGCACATATATGCTGCAAAGGACACGGAGAAGATAAGGGAATTTCTTAAAAAGGTGTGCTGCTTATGGCATGTGTGAACAGAGGCATAAGGAATAGCAATATTATGTTACTACATGTGGTGAACTGACTGGCTTGGCTAGGGGAATTGTCACAACCTGAAAAGTTAAATCTGTACCTGTCAGATTGAATAGGCTGAAGGTGGTTGCTAAGGAACAAGGATTCTAAATGATTAGGGTTACACTTCTAAAAAAAGCAGGCCTTGTCTTTTATGTCTGTGTTTTGTGTTAGAGTGCATTTAGAGATTTTTGTTCTCTGCTTTCAAGTTAGAAGTTAGTTCATCTGATCATCTCCCAGCATATATCTGTTTTTATTGCCTTGAGAATCTGAGCACTTCAGACGTTCATGTATCCTTGGCCCTGAGTGACCATGTTCTGAGTGAGTTGCTAAGTTTGGTTTTGTCCACTGTCATGTAGCAAGTGGTCCTACTTGTTACTAGCAAGGGTTGCAGGGATTTGGAAGATTCTAGGTTTCCCCTGTAGTTGGCAGGTTTTTTTTTCAGCAAGGGCTATGTGTGGAAATTCTAGGCAACTAGAAAGATGAGTCGTGTTCAGTTTTAAAATTGTTTGGCACTGAGGCTGCCGGTTGCAACTCAGGTGTCTTTGGCTGATATTCTTCAGTCATTCATGAGTCTTGGATATGAACATTCGTAACCTGTTAGCTGGCCCCAAGTATGTCTTTAACAAGCATTTGTTTGAATCAAAGTGTTTCTGGCTAAGGATCATTTGGCTCTTCCAGAAAACCGGCTTGGTCACCATATTGTTCTTTTGATATTGTCACTCTGAGTCTCTGCTTTACCAGTTACTGGATCAAGGATAAACAAGTCTAATCTGCAGCTGTCTTTGGGACTGTTTCGTAAGTCAGATTAAGTAAAGGCAGGTTTCTAATAACTTTAAAACAAGTTCATTTATAAGGATACTGAGCCTACTTATGTTTAAAAATCTAGACTAAAATATTGTTTAAATACAGTATTTACAAACTTATGCAGAGCCTGTCAGTCATGGTTTATGGGAACTGACATCACATTTTCTTCGTCATTCTTCTGTTGGTTCATTCAGCTGAAGTCTTTGATACTACTAGTCGTCTTCTGCCAATGGGGGCACTTAAGTTGAAGAAGGCCTGACATTTATGAACTGCCAACACTGTTTAGAGGAAAAAAATGGCTTATTGGGCCTTAGCATGTTACTGAGTTGCATAATATTTTGAATGTATTCTAGGTATCAGAAGAGCAAGGTCAAGAAAACCCAGCAGACCACGATCCTATTCATGATCAAAGCTGGTATTTAGACCGATCATTAAGAAAACGTCTTCATCAAGAGTATGGAGTTCAAGGCTGGGCTATTGTACAGTTTCTTGGGGATGTGGTGTTTATCCCGGCAGGAGCTCCACATCAGGCAAGAATCATTACTTTTTCTTTAATCTCTTTATGTCATGAACTTTTGGGTTTGTTACTGATATATTACTTGGTGTTTTTCAGGTTCATAACTTATATAGCTGCATCAAAGTGGCTGAAGATTTTGTTTCTCCAGAGCATGTTAAACACTGCTTCTGGCTTACTCAGGAATTCCGATATCTGTCACAGACTCATACCAATCACGAAGATAAATTACAGGTAAAAATAGCACCAATTCCTAGCATTCTTTGGCTATGGCTATGGCTTCATGGCCCATTCTTCACCTTATAAAGAGAGTCAGTGAACTTGGCCATATCGTACTTAGTACACAGTGAGTCGAGGAACTTGCTTTATATCTAGTACTACTATCTACTTAAGTGAGGGAGGAACAAGAGGAAATCTCACCTTGGTTTGATTTGATATTGTTTAGAATCTATAAGGGACTGTCCCCACAGAGAAAGGCCTTAGTACTGAAAATGAATAGATGTGACTTCTGATCTTGGCCCAGCTGCCTGTCGGGGTCTTGAACACAGTGCTTAACCTTCAGTGCTGCAGTGTTCTCATCACTCTTAGGTAGAGCAGAACTGAATCTCTGAGACTCAAAGAGGTCTGAGGGGGTGGTATTTTCAAAAGGATTTCAGTAATGAATTATGTAACATAATTTCATGTTTGGAAAATAAGGGAAAAATGATAAAAGCTGTACCTTGGAACTTGCCTCTCCCTGTACTCACTGTGAGTAGGTCTACGTGGTATCAAAACCTCTAAAAGGGGGAAAATGAGTTCTTGAAATCATGGGTTTAAAATGTATGTGAAATACTGGTCTGAAGGAGCCCAGGGACCTTTTGCAATGTTGACATTTCATACGAATATTGAATTTTAAATTCTGAGAGAAGGTAATAAAATTAGTAGGAGGAAGCTTATTCTTAGTGACAGGTTTTAGATTTAAATGTAAAATGCCCATATTTTCTCCTACTATTTTTAGGTGAAGAATGTTATCTACCATGCAGTGAAAGATGCAGTTGCTATGCTGAAAGCCAGTGAATCCAGTTTTGGCAAACCTTAATCTCCCTGCACATTGGAAATGAATTACAGGCAGCTGTTCAAACTCTTCAGGCAGGATTCCTGTGGACTTTGAGATTCATGTTACCTCATCTTCTTTTTTAAACTGTACCCAACTTGTGAGGGTACTCTGTCTAATGTATATTTCTAGTGTTTACAGACAGTAAATGTGTATATGTAGTAACTATTTACAGAACATGCATCCTTAAACTGTGACTTCTCACCTAGTGCAGAACTTTTACCAGGCTGTAAAAGCAAAACCTCGTATCAGCTCTGGAACAATACCTGCAGTTATTCTTCAGCTGTTTGGACAACTTAGATTGGGTTTATAACTATTAGGAATCACTGCACAGTTTATTTGGGTTGTGTTTTGTGTCTGAGTCCCCTCCCTCATCCCTTAGGGTCCAGAAGAGCAATGGAGGAAGTGACAGCTAATGTTGCAGTTCTTATTGTATGGCATAGGACTGGCATTATATAGCAGAAATCAACTACTGTACAATTTCTTGGGGTTAACCATCTTTAGTTAAATGGAATTTTAATTTAAATGACGCTTTGCTAATTTTAAGTGTTAAGCATTTTGCATTAAAATATTCATATAATATTTTGGCTCAGTTTATTGGCATTATCCTCTCATTGTGGTTTCAACACAACTTTCTTCAAATGCAGGTGTAATGGATTGCTCCAAGAACTCTTCTTAAAAGCAAAGAAATCAGATGCTATAGTGATTTTCTTAGTGATTATTACAAAGCTAACATGGAAATTTCTGCTCAGCCAGGTAGAAACCCTGTCACACTTTGTCAAGGAAACACCACCAATTAATTAAATTTAGAAACAGGAATTAACCAAGAAACCAAATAGTGCCAGGCTAAATGGTTCTAAAAAGGTAAGTAATGAAACACTTTGTTTTATGGCCCTTCATAATGTTAAGTTTATGAAGGAAAATGAAATTATAAGTTCTAGGACAGTACTACCTAAAATATTCATCTCTGTGAAGGAAAAAAATTCACAAAGAAGCGCCTTTCTTTAGCCCACTGATTCTCCTAGGCCACTCTTTCATTTAATTTCTTTAAAAAAAGGAATTAAACATAGAAATCAGATAGTACATAGACAAAGCCTAGAACCTGAGTTTTAATTTGTGAGCTGAGTAGGAGGCCAGAGGATCCGTATTAAATTTCAGAACCCATTGTCAAATCTAAGGTCAAAGATTTGCTCTAATGTTTTCTTCTAGGAGTTTTAAAATTTTAGCCCTTAAATTAAGTCTTTGACCTATTTTGAGTTAATTATTAAATATGGTGTAAAGATTCAACTTCATTTTTTTGAATATGGATATCCAGTTTTCCCAGCAACATTTGTCGTCAAACACTGTTCTTTCCCCCATTGAATGGTCTTGGCACTCTAGTTAAAAATCAATTGATCGTAGATGGGAAAGCATATTACTAGGCTCTCATATTCCACTGGTCTGTGTATCTGTCTTTATGCCAGTACTGCACTGTTTTGATTTCTGCTACTTTGTAGTAAGTTTTAAAATCAACAACTGTGAGTTCTCCAACTCTGGTCTTCTTTTTCATGATTGTTTTAATCAGGGTCACTGGAAATTCCGTACGAATTTTGGGATAGGTTTTTTTATTTCTGCAAAAAACACCATCTGGGTATTAATAGAGATTGCATTGAACCTGTATGTTCCTTTGGGTGTCATCTTAACAATCTAATTCTTGCAATCCATGAGCATGGGATGTTGTGTTTCCATTTATTGGTGTCTTCTTTAATGTCTTTCAGCAATGTTTTGTAGTTTTCAGTTGCATGAGTTTTGTACCTTCATGGTTAAATTTATTCCTAGGTATTTTATTCTTTTTTTGCTATGATAAATGAAATTATTTTTCTTTTTGTATTGCTAGCATTTATAAGTGCAACTGATTTTTGGTGTTGGTTTGTATTTTGCAACTGTACATATAAAATCATGCCATCCGTGAACAGGGATAATTTTACTTACTCCTGTATATAATCTGGATACCTTTCTTTTTCTTGCCTAATTGCTCTGGTTAGAATTTTCAGTTCCATGTTCAATAAAAGTAGTGAAAGTGGGCATCCTTGTCTTGTTCCTCATCTTTAGGGGAAAGCTTTCAGAGTGATTTAGCTGTGTATTTTTCATCTATGGCCTTTATGCTGTTAAGGAAGTTCTCTTCTATTTCTTAAGTTTTTATTGTTTTCTTTTTTTATCCTGAAAGGGTGTTGGATTTTGTCATATGCTTTTTTCTGCAACAGTAGAAACCACGTGGTTTTTCCTCCATTCTTCATTCTATTAATGTGGCATATACATTGAATAATTTTCATATGATGAACCACCTGTGTATTCTTAAGATAAATCTCACTTGGTTGTGGTGTATAGTCCATTTAATAGGTTACTGGACTTGGTTTTCTAGTATTTGGAAGATGTCTGCATCTGTAACCATAAGGGTTTGTTGTAGTTTTTCTTGTGGTATCTTTGTCTGAAATTGGTATCAGGATATTGCTGATATATTGAGATACAATTGTTTATAGCATTCTCTTAAAATCCTTTTTATTTGTGTAAAGTGGGTGGTGGTTTCTCCCATTTCGTATCTGATTTCAGTAACTTCTGCCCTCATCCTCATTCTCCTATAGTCAGTCTAGCTCTAGGCTTGTTAATTTTGTTGGTATTTTTATAGAACTGTCTTTTGATTTTGTTGATTTTCTGTACTATTTTTCTGTTTCCAATTTCATTTATTTCTGCTCTAATCTTTGTCTGTCCTTCGGCTAGCCCTCGGTTTAGTTTGTTCCTCTTTTTTTCTGGTTCCTTAAGGTGTACAGTTAGGTTATTGCTATGGTCTGAATGTTGTTGACTCTCAAAATTCATATATTGGAATCTAATATCCAATGTAAGAGTATTAAGAGGTGGAGCCTTTGGAAAGTAAGTTACGAGGGCTTCACCTTCATGAGTGGGATTAGGGCCCTTATCAAAGAGGCTCAAGCAAGTTCCCCTAACCTTTCGGGAATGTGAAAACACAGCTAGAAGGCACCATCCATGAAGCAGAGAGCAAGCCCTTACCAGACCATTATTTTTGCTGCCTCCCCTATGTTTCGGCACGTTTTGTTTTCATTTTCATTTATCTCAGGTTTTTTTTTTTTTTTTTTTTGAGACAGAGTCTTGTTCTGTCACCAGGCTGGAGTGGAGTGGTGCGATCTCAGCTCACTGCAACCTCTGCCTCCTGGGTTCAAACGATTCTCCTGCCTCAGCCTCCCAAGTAGCTGGCACTGCAGGTACGTGCCACCATGCCCAGCTAATTTTTGTATTTTTGGTAGAGACGGGTTTTCACCATGTTGGCCAGGGTGGTCTCAATCTCTTGACCTCATGATACGCCCACCTCGGCCTCCCAAAGTGCTGGGATTACAGGCGTGAGCCATATCTCAGGTATTTTCTAATTTCCCTTGTGATTTCTTCCTTGACCCTTTGATTGTTTTAAGATTGTGTTAATTTCCACATATTTGTGAATTTTTTAGTTTTCCTCTGTTACTGATTTCTAATTTTATTCCATCCTGGTTGGCAAAGATATTTTGTATAATTTCAGTCTTTTTAAATTTCTTGAGACTTGTTTTGTGCCCATATGGTTTATGCTGGAGAATGTCCCATTTGCATTTGAGAACAATGTATATTTTGCTGTTGTTGGGTGGGTCATTCTGTATGTCTGTTGGGTCTATTTGGTATATAGTGTCATCCAAGTCCTCTGTTTCTTTATTGATGTTCTGCCTGGTTGTCATGTTGGTTATTGAAAGTGGGATATTGAAGTCGCCAGCTATTACTGTAGAACTATTTCTGTCTTCAATTCTGGCAATTTTTGCTTCATGTCTTTTGGAATTTCTGTTGTTAGGTGCATATATGTTTATAATTATCATATCTTCTTAATGGATTGGTCCTTTCATCAACATATAATGTCCTTCTTTGGTGTCCTGAAATCTTAAACTGAAATCTGTTTTGTCTGACAATTATATAGATAACCCCAGCTTTCTCGTGGTTACCATTTCTATGGGCTCTTTTCCATCCTTTTACTTTTTTAACCTTTTTTTCTTTGTATCTAAATTGTCAGCATATATAGGTAGATCATGTTTTTTTATCCCTTCCATCTGCCTTTTAATTGGAGTTTAATACATTTAGAGTAATTAGATGACTGACTTCTGCTTTTTATCTGGTATGTTTTATCTGGTTTTTGTTACTTAAAATCCCACCATTACTGCTTTATTTCATATTTAGTTGAAACTTTGTACTGTACCATTGTTTCCCCTTTTCTTTCCTTTTGTATATATTTTTAAGTTATTTTCTTGGTTATTCTCTCAGGAACTGCAGTTAACATCTTAAGCTTTACAAACTTTGGGAGTTTTTCTTGTTTCATTTTTGAGACAGGGCCTCACTGTGTCACCCAGGCTGGAGTGCAGTGGCACAGTCTTGGCTCACTACATCTGCCACCTGGGCTCAAGTGATCTTCCCACCTGTTTCCTGAGTAGCTGGGACTACAGGCATGCGCCACCACACTCAGCTAATTTTTTTATTTTTTATTTTTTTGTAGAGACGAGGTCTCACTGTTGCCCAGACTGGTCTCAAACTCCTGGGCTCAAGCAGTCCACCCACCTCAGCCTCCTGAAGTGCTAAGATCACAGGCGTGAGCCATTGCACCTGGCTTATAAACTGCAATAGTATACAAAAACTTTGCTGCTATACATCTTCATCCCTCCTTATTTATAGTGTTATTGTCACAGATTACATCTCTATACATTGTGCCCATTAACATAGTTTTTATTTATGCATATTTGCCTTAAGGCAAAAAATAGGAAAAAATGAATTACAAACCAGAAGTATAACTGGCTTTTATATTTACTTGGAATTATCTTTACTAGTGCTCTTATTATTTTTTTGTATGACTTTAAGTTAGTCTAGTGTTCTTTCATTTCAGCCTTAAGGTCTCGCTTTAGCATTTACTATATGGCAGATCTGCTAGAAACAAACTCCCTTCATTTTTGCTTTTCAGGGAATGTCTTAGTTTCTCCTTCATTCTTGAAGGATAATTTCCCTGGAATATAATTCTTCATTGACAGCTTTTTTCTCCCCAGCATCTTGAATATGTTATCCTTACAGCCGTCTGGCCCCCGTGGATTCTGATAAGAAATTACATTGAGGATCACTTTTACATAGTGAGTCACTTCTCTCTTGCTGCTTTAAATATTTTTTTTTTTTTAAGTTTGTCTGTCGTGTCTCATTGTGGATCCCTTTGGGTTTATCCTGTTTGGAATTCAGTTTCTTGGATTCTTATCTTTCAGATTTTAGAGGTTTTCAACCATTATATCATCTTCAAATATTGTCTTTTTGTCTCCCTCTGATACTGCCATAATGTGTATGTTGGTGAGCTTGATGGGCTTCCACAAGTCCTTTGGCTTTTCTTCATTCTTTTCTCTTTCTGTTCCTTAGACTGATTTTTTGAGACAGGGTCTCACTCTGTCACCCAGGCTGGAGTGCAGTGGCATGATCACAGCTCATTGCAGCCTCAACCTCCCAGGCTGAGGTGATCCTCCTCCCAGTTCAGCCTCCAAGTTGCTGGGAACTACAGGTGTGTGCCACTATGCCTGGCTAATTTTTTTTTTTTTTTTGTAGAGATGGGGTCTTGCCATGTTGCCCAGGCTAGTTTCAAACTCCTGTGCTCAAGCAATTCTCCCGCCTTGGCCTCCCAAAGTGCTGGGATTACAGGCATGAGCCACCAAGCCCAGCCTCAGACTGTATTTTTTTCAATTATTCTGTTTTCAAGTTTGCTGGTTCCTCTTTGTACCTACTCAAACCTGCTGTTGAACCCCTCTAGTGTATTTTCAAAAATTTCAAGTTAGTATACATTTGAGCTCCAGCGTTTCTGTGTGGTTCTATTTTATACTTTGTTTCTTTATTGAGATTTCATTCATAGTGTTTTCCTGGTTTCCTTTTTAGTTCATTTGTCCATGGTTTCTTTTACCTCCCCAGCTTTTCTTCCCAGGTTTTAGGCAGTCCATTGTATATTTATTTCAACTATAATCTTTTACCTCAGATAAAAGGCGCACTTTTTTCCTGATTGCCTTACAGTGTTTTCAAGCAATGCCTTCAGCTTTTCTGCCAAGGAGGTTCTCAGGCAAACCGGAGATGAGCACCTTGTGTTAGTCTCCCAGACAGGTTTATGGCAGACACATATAACTTGTGAATAAGGCCTGCTTTGTTCCCTCTGGAACCAAGGACCAGGGTCTGTGGGCTGCTGTATTCAAGACCACTGCCATGCTGGGAGGGGCAAGTAAAAATGACACAAAGCTTTCTTACCAGTATTAAGTTTCCTTTTTCTTAATCCAGATTTACTTGGTTGCTTTACAGTAACCTTTGTTTTCCAGAGCTCTGACAAAGTGGGTTCAGGGGTGTTCCCCTCTCTGGAAGGATGGGTGTTTGAACCTGTCTACTCCAACATCTTGCTGATATTCTATAAATCTATTTTTGAAACTATAATTACGTACAGGAAAGAACTTCCTTACCCTAAAACAAGGTATTTCCCCACTATGGCTTAGATCTGCATTTCTGAGATGGTTCAGTGGCTGGGGGATGTTAATTCTGATGCCTCAAAAGAAAACTGTATTGGTCAAATAAATTTGGAAAAAGCATATGAAAGCCTTAGAAACGTTCTAAAGAAAACCTGTTTTATGTTTATTTTAACCAAACATTTCCAAGTCCTAAGATCCTTTTCTTACTGATAATCAAGATTACCATTTGAAGAGCACCTGTCACTACAGTAGGACAAGAAAAATGGTCCCAGTTAATTGAAAGCTTTGAAAGCTGTATGATTTGTCAGTTGTGGGATTGGAAAAAGGCCCAAAGCAGACATGACTAGTACTATTTGGAAACAAATGAGTCAGAACCCCATCTCTCCAGGAGTTCCAAGACAAACAAACACACACCTGGAAATACATAATCAAGGTGCCTAAAGCCATGTGAGCTGTATAATTGCTAAGTGTTCTGGAAGACAGACATCTTTGATAGGAGATTAGACGGATGGTCAGGTTACAGCCTGCCTGGAGTGAACTACTAGGTGACCACCTCAAGCTGAAAAGTGATTTTTAAAAAGCTATGTTTCAAAACAAACAAAAATGAGATGGTGGTATGAAATGATAGTTTGAGTGCCCTTGGAAATGAATAAATGGTTTTATTAGGGCACCAAGTAGATCCTATATGTGTTTGTTTGGGGTGAGATGTGGGATGGGGTGGGTGGGAGCTGATGCTGCTATTGCTGGATCCAAGTTGAGTACCTGAAAATGGAGAAACTTTTATTGCACGCCTGTACAACCATTATTTGCCTTCCACATCATAACGCCTTCTAGGGCTAAGTGTCTGACTCATTTTGTCTCCAGTGATGCGTGTGTTAGTCCATTCTCACGCTGCTATAAAGAACTACCTGAGACTGGATAATTTATGAAGAAAAGAGGTTTAATTAACTCACAGTTCTGCAGGCTGTACAGGAAGCATGGCTGCGAGGCCTCAAGAAACTTACAGTCATGGCAGAAGGGCGAAGGGAAAGCAAGCACCTTCTTCACATGGCAGAGGGAGAGAGCAAGCAAAGGGGGAAGTGCTACACACTTAACCAGATCTCATGAGAACTCACTGTCATGAGAACAGCAAGGGGGAAATCTGCCCCCATGATCCAATCACCTCCCACCAGGCTCTACCTCCAAGACTCAGGATCACAATTCAACATGAGATTTGGGTGGGGGGACACAGCCAAACCATATCATTCCACCCCGGCCCCTCCCAAATCTCATGTCCTCACATTTCAAAACACAATCATGCCTTCCCAATAGCCCCCTAAAGTCTTAACTCATTCCAGCATTAACTCAAATGTCCAAGTCAAGTCTCATCTGAGACCAGCCAAGTCCCTTCCTCCTGTGAGCCTGTAAAATCAAAAACAAGTCAGTTATTTCCAAGATACAATGGGGATACAGGCATTGGGTAAATGCTCCCATTCCAAATAGGAGAAATCAGCCAAAACAAAGGGGCTATGGGCCCCATGCAAGTCCAAAATCCAGGAGGGCAGTCATTAAATCTCAAACCTCCAAAATGATCTTTGACTCCACGTCTCACATCCAGGCCACACTGACACAAGGAGTGGGCTCCCAAGGCTCTGGGCAGCTCTGCCTCTGTGGCTCTGCATATAGTCCCCACAGCTGCTTTCACAGGCTAGCATTAACTGCCTGCAACTTTTACAGGTGCATAGTGCAAGCTGTCAGTGGATCTACAATTCTGGGGTCTGGTGGATGGTGGCCCTCTTCTCATAGCTCCACTAGGCAGTGCCCCAGTGGGGACTCTGTGTGGGCTCCAACCCCACATTTCCCCTCCACACTGCCCTCGCAGAGGTTATCTATGAGGGCTCTGCCTCTGCAGCAAACTTCTGCCTGGACATCCGGGCATTTCCATACATCCTCTGAAATCTAGGTAGAGGTTCCTAAACCTCAACTCTTCTGCACACCTGCCTAACACCACATGGAAGCCACCAAGGCTTGGGGCTTGCACCCTCTGAAGCAGCAGCCCAAGCTGTACCTTGGCCCCTTTTAGTCACAGCTGGAGCTGGAGTGGCTGGGATGCAGGGCACCATGTCCCAAGGCTGCACAGAACAGTGGGGCCCTGGGCTGGCCCACAAAAGCATTTCTTCCTCCTGGGCTTCCATGCCTGTGATGGGAGGAGCTGCTGTGAAGGTCTCTGAAATGCTCTAGAGGCATTTTCCTCACTCTCTTGGCTGTTAACATGAGGCTCTTCTTATGCAAATTTCTGCAGCCTTGAATTCCTCCCCAGAAAATGGATTTTTCTTTTTCACCACATGGTTGGGCTGCAAATTCTCCAAACTTTTATAAAAGCTCAGCTTCTGTTTTAAATATAAGTTCCACTTTGTTCATGCAAATGAGCATAGGCTTTTAGAAGCAATCAGGCCACATCTTGAACACTTTGCTGCTTAGAAATTTTTTCTGCCAGATACCCTCTCGAGTTCAGAGTTCACAGATCTCTAGAGCAGGGGCACAATGCCACCACTCTCTTTGCTAAAGCACAGCCAAGAGTGACCTTCACTCCAGTTCGGAATAAGATTCTCATCTCCCATCTGAGACCAACTCAGCCTGGACTTCACTGTCCATATCACTATCAGCACTTTGGTCACAACCATTCAACAAGTCTCTAGGAAGCTGCAAACTTTCCCTCATCTTCCTGTCTTCTTCTGAGCCCTCCAAACTGTTCCAACCTCTGCCCATTACCCAGTTCCAAAGTCACTTCCACATTTTCAGGTATTTTATAGCAATATCCCACTTCTCTGGTACCAATTTTCTGTATTAGTCCGTTCTCACACTGCCATAAAAAACCACCTGAGAGTGGGTAATTAATGAAGAAAAGAGGTTTAACTGACAGTTCCGCAGGCTGTACAGGAGGCATGGCTGGGGAGGCCTCAGGAAACACAGTCGTGGCGGAAGGGCAAAGGCACCTTCTTCACATGGTGGAGTGGGAGAGAGTGAAGCAGGAAGTGCTATACACTTTTAAACAACCAGATCTCATGAGAACTCACTATCATGAGAACAGCAAGGGGAAAATCCGCCCCCATGATCCAGTCGTCTCCCGCGAGGCCCCACCTCCAACACTCAGGATCACAATTCAACATGAGATTTGGGTGGGAACACAGAGCCAAACCATATCAGTGCCCAACAAAGTGTATGAGGGAAAAAGGAATGCGTGAACCAACAGTGCTCTTTCCTTACCTGAGAGCAAGCAAGAATGGAAAAAACGTGACCTCTCAACAATTAAACCAACCCTACGTTTATATCATTTTCTTTGAGTGGCTGGAAGAGAGGTTATTACTATTCTGGCTATCCAACCATCCACCCAGAACAAGTTTAATTATCCACATAAAAAATATTCAGGGATTATGAGCATCCCATATTTTCAACATCATCCTGTGAAGAAACTAGCTGGATTAAGGCTATCACAAAACAATAAACTGGCATTGCTGTATGTCAGTTTTTGCCAACTTGACCTGTGGATTCAATGCAATCCCAATCAAAACCCAGCAAAGTATTTTGTGGATCCTGACAAACTGGTTCTAAAGTTTACATGGAAAGGCAAAAGACCCAGAATAGCTGGCACAATATTGAAAGAGAAAAAGGTCAGAAGACTGATATTACCCAACTTTAAGACTCACTATAAAGCTACAGTAATTAAGATAGGGTGGTAATGGTGAAAAAATAGACATAATCACTGGAAACAAATAGGGAGCCCAGAAATAGCCCCACACAAATATAGTCAACTGATCTTTGACAAGGAAGCAAACGCAATACAATGGAGAAAAGACAGTCTTGGCTGGGGCAGTGGCTCATGCCTGTAATCCCAGCACTTTGGGAGGCCAAAGAGGAAGGATCACTTAAGTCCAGGAGTTCGAGACCAGCCTGGGCAATATAGTGAAACCTCATCTCTACAAAAACACCTTTAAAATTTAGCTGAGCATGATGGCATGCACCAGGGGAAGGATCACTTGAGCCCAGGAAGCAGAGGTTGCAGTAAGCCAAAATGGCATCACTCCACTCCAGCATGGGTCGACAGAGTGAGACCCTGTCTCAAAAGAAGTATTTTCAACATCAACAAATGGTGAACAACTGGACATGCACATGCAAAAAAAAAAAAAGAAATCAATCTAGACACAGACTTTAACACCCTCACAAAAATTAACTCAAAGTAGATCACAGACCTAAATGTAAAACACAAAATTCCTGGAAGATAACAGGAGAAAATCTAGATGGCTGTGGGTTTGGTGATGATTTTTTAAAATACAACACTAAAGGCACAATCCATGAAAAACACAGATAAGCTGGATTTCAATAAAAATAAAAACTTCTGCTTTGTGAAAGCCACTGTCAAGATAATGAGAAGACAAACCACAGACTGGGATAAAATATTTGCAAAAGGCACATCTGATAAAGGACTGTTAGCCAAAATAGACAACACTTAAAATTCAATAATCAGAAATACCCAATTAAACAACAGGCAAAAGACCTGAAAAGACAACTTACCAAGAAGCAAGCATATGAAAAGATGTTCAACATATGTCATGAGGGGACTGCAAATGTCAATCAATCAGGTACCACCACATAACCATTAGCATAGCCAAAACCCAGAACGCTTACACCACCAAATGCTGGTGAGGGTGTGGAGCAACAGGAACTCATTAATTGCTGGTGGGAATGCAAACGGTACACTTTGACAGTCAAACGAGACAAACCATATGATCCAGCACTGAAGCTCTTGGTATTTATTCAAATGAATTAAAAACATGCCCATAGAAAAACCTGCACAAAGATGTTTACAACAGCTTTATTCATAATTGCCAAAACTTGGAAACCACCAAGAAGTCTTTCAATAGGTGAATGGATAAACTATTCATCTAGACAATGGAGTATTATTCAGTGCTAAAAATAAATGCACTATTAAGCCATGAAATGACATGGAGGAACCTTAATTGCATATTATTAAGTGAAAGAAGCCAGTCTGAAAAGGCTACATACTATATGATTCCAATATGACATTCTAGAAAAGGAAGAACTATGGCGACAGTAAAAAGTGGTTGCCAAAGAAAGATCATGTCCTTTGCAGGAACATGGATGGGGCTGGAGGCCATTATCCTTAACAAACTAACATAGGAACAGGAAACCAAATATTCCATGTTCTCACAAGTGGGAGTGAAATAACATGGACACAAAGGAATAACATACTGGGGCCTACCTGAGGGTGGAGGGTGGGAAAAGGGACAGGACCAGAAAAGTAACTATTGGGTACTAGGCTTAGTACCTGGGTCACTAAATAATCTGTATAACAAACCCCCTTGTCACGAGTTTACCTGCACATGTACCCCCTGAACCTAATTTTTTTTTTAAAGTGGTTGCCAGGGGATTAGGGAAGAAAGGGATGAACAGGTGAAGCATAGAGAAGTTTTAGGGCAGTGAAACTATTCTGTATGATTCTATAATTGTAGATATCATCATACATTTGTCTAAGCCCATACAATGTACAACACCAGAGTGAATCTTCATGTAAACTATGGACTTTGGGTGATAATGATGTGTCAATGGAGGTTTATTGATTGTAACAAATGTACCACTCTGGTGTGGGATACTGATAGTGGTGGGAGGCTATGCATGTGTGAGGGCAGGGGATATATGAGAAATTTCTTTTTGTCCACTTTTGCTGTGAACCTACAACTGATTTAAAAAAATAATTATTTAAAATAATTTTTTAACTACACTCTGAAGATGAAATCAAGAGTAATAGGAGGGTCCTCTGGACTCAAAAATGAAATTTTTTTTTTTTTTTTTTTTTTTTTTTGGAGAGACAGGATCTTGCTATGTTGCCCAGGCTGGTCTTGAACTCCTATTCTCAAGAGAGCCTCCTGCCTCAGCCTTGTAAAGCACTGGGATTATAGGCATGAACCACCGCACCCAGCCAAGATTGCCATTTTGTATGATGAGACTGGAAGGACCCCATTGTTTCAGGATTTTGCTACAATATACAAAAAACAATCTGTGAGACAGTGGCTGGGCTTTTTTCCTGCCTGATTAGTTCAGTGCACATACAACTTGGACCAGAGGATCTGGGTTTGAATCCCATCTCTGATACTTCCCAAACTGAGCTGTTTTCCTTATTTGTAAAGACTAAGATCGCGTATGTCAAAGAGCTCTGTAAACTCTCAACACATACAAAGTACTACTGCTGAAATGATTTATAAATGTATCTTAAGAATGTCCCAGATGAGTGAATGTTGGTTATGATGCATGACCACACCTTAGTGTGCTCCTGGTCAGCTCCTGACTTTGAGAAAACACAGATAGGAAGGCCCATGTCCCACGCACAAGACAACCAGCTCGAAGCAGGGACAGGCAATGAGAGGTGAAAGAGACCTAGTACTACAGCTGTCTCATCTGGGTGCAACTTGCAATGGGAAGGAAGGGACAGAAGCTCTAAATAGACCCACATGCACACCCCAGGACATAATGCAGCCACCAGCCAACAGGACAAGCAGCACAATTCCCCAGCATCCTCTTGGTTAAATAGATAAAAGAATGGCTGCCATACCATGTCTGTGAAAGCCGGGGAGCAGCAACCACAGAGCAGAAGTCACTTCTGCTGAGCTTCCAAATCCCATATGCCTGGCCATAGCAACTCTTTCCACACCCAGCAAATGAAGCAATCTGGGGCAGCCGACACCTTGAAAGTTTACTGCACAGGGCAATCTACAATGGGGCCAAGTGCTAAAGCAAAAATTTATTAAAATTCATTTATATAGTGTTTTATAGACAAAAGTAGAGTCTTCGACATTCAGGCAATCACCTATATTTTCAGAAGTGCTTCATGAGCAGATGGATTTCTTTCCCCTCCCCACAATAAGATATATCTGTCTATACTCCTAAAAATGATGCATTTATTTATGCCACTTTTATAAGAACAATCCCTTTGCGATCCCAAAACCTGGGCAGAGAATGAAAAGAGACAAACAGAACCTTCTCCAAAATGGTAGTCCTCACAACAGAGGTGTAGTGCAAGAGACACATAAAATGGCAGCTCTTGAGAGGAGTGTGTGCACACCCAGCGGGGTAGGCAGCCCCTAGCTGCGGAGTGTGGCCAGCCGGGACTGCATGGCCTCCAGAGCCTCTTCCTCCTCCTCCTCATCCTCTGAGGCAGCCATCGCTCCTGGAGGTTCTGGCTCTGGAAGGGCATCAGTCACTTTACTGGGTGCTTTGCCCAAGGCCCCTGAAAAGAAAGAGCAAAGATGAACACCACATTGGCTTAAGGAAGCAGCCCCTCAATCTTCCCTGCCTTTCATTCCTGGACCAATCTGACCAGATACAAAAATGAGACAGTACAGCAAGCTGTTTTTGGGGGGGTTTACTCACTCTGGGAAATGTGCAAATAGCTACCTGTAATGATACCAAAGTCATAATAATTGTAAGGATTTTAAGAATCTCGGTTCTGAAGCTCCTAATCTAAATTCCTAAATGCTACTGAAAACTTTAAATCTTCTTTCTGAATAAAACTAAATTGTTTCTAAATCTTCACAAAATATTTTCTTGGAGTAACTGTCTTCCTTTCCCCAACAACTTAAACCCAACAAATGAACTAATAAAAATTAAACCCCACCATTTTTTTAATTAAACATAAAACTCAGAAAATCTAGAAGTAAAAATAAAGTTTAAAAACTCATTAACCATCACTTGGAGATTACTATTTTTATCATCTCCCTTCCAGACTTCTATAGACATGTTTTTACACAAAAGTATGTATTTCAGTAAAAAGGCTTTATTCACATGTTGTAAACATCATTCCATGTTAACGAGTATATTTCTATACCATCTATCACAATATATAGTATTCCATTAAAATAAATATAACACAAATGATTTTATTAGGCATTTAGTTTGTTTCGAACCTTTTTTTTTTTTTTTTTTTGAGACAGGCTGGACTGCAGTAGTGCGATCATGGCCAACTGCAGCCTGGACCTCCTGGGCTCAAGCAATCCTCCCACCTCAGTCTCCCAAGCAGCTGGGACTAAGGTGTGTGCCACCACACCCACCTACCTAATTTTTATATTTTTTGTAGAGACAGGGTTTCACCATGTTGCCCAGGCTGGGCTCCTGAGTTCAACCAATCCACTTGCCTCAGCCTCCCTCACAAGGTGTTGGGATTACAGGCATAAGCCACTGCACCTGGCCCTCAAACGTTTCATTTTTATAAATAATGCTACTACAGACATCCTTGAATTAAATATTTCAGCACATTCTTAATTATTTCATTAAACTCCCAGAAGTCAATCTATTAGGTCAAATTTTTTTTTTTAATATATATTTTTTTGAGATGCGGTCTTGCTATGGTTGCCCAGGCTGGTCTCAAACTCCTGGGCTCAAGCGATCCCCCACCTGAGCCTCCCAAAGTGCTGGGATAACAGGCGTGAGCCATCGCACTTGGCGAAGGCAAGGGCTTTTGAATGGCTATGGCCAAATTGCTTTCAAGAAAGTCTACACCAGTTTAAAATCCCAACAGCAGTATATGAGAGCAGTATCTTCCTTTAAAATCATGCAAACTCTAAAAATTTTAAGAATTGTGTTTTTTAAAAGATGGTTATAGATATTGTGCTTACTTTTCAAGAAATAAGCTGCACAGTGTAAAACGTTAAAAATGTAGAAGGGAGTTAATGCCTAAAGAAAAAGCTACTAGCTAATTTAGTGAATGAAGGAAGAATGGCCATAAAAAGAGAGGAGAAAGGATGGATCTCACGGTCATACCTGCTGTAATTTCAAAGAGAATTCTGTCAATTTCCATTTCTGCTTCTTCCTCCATTTCTTCCTGATCGTCCATGCTTTCAAAAGTGTCCTCTAACATCTCCTCTATGATCCCAGCCTAAACAGAATAAATATGTCACTTCGGTCAACTGTTAAATCTGTTCCCATCAGACACCCTACACATCACCTAGACCGAGCTCTAGCCTAAGTCCAGTCTATCCTTTCAAGAGCTGACACACGAGACAGCTGGCCAAAGGAAACACTGGATGTTGTCCTCTCTGCAGAAATGCAAAAGCCCCAAAGGGAAACGGCTCTCTAAATTTAACACCCTAGGGGTGGGGAGTGCTACTACTGGCTGTCAGCAGAGCTTCCTAAAGTAACCCAGACTTAATATAATGGCAGCACCTGAGAAACAGCTCACTGACAGATGAGTGTATTTCCAGCGCTGTTTTGGGAAGCATCTGTCCTAACACTGCAAATATAATCCGTGAACGCAGGGGTTGGAATATGGTATGAAAAGTGGTTGGAGCCGTAGTAGATGCCGTGATAAAAAAATGCCAACAGCAGGGTAAAAGCCAAAAAAGGCCTGAAGAGGACTCCAGCTTGTCCAGGTTACATCTGCCAGAATGGGGTAATCTGGTAGGTCTGCAAGGATCAATTAACCAAAATCTGATCACCCACTCCTGGGAGAACTAAGACAATACTTCTGGACTCAACAAGGTAAAGGCCAGACACTTTTCTGGAAGTCCTGTGCCTGGCAGCCTGCAGGAGCCAGCCAGTCAGCCTCCTCTGTTCTCAAGGCAGCATGGCACCACTGCAGGACACAAGCAAATGGCTTTAACACTGGCCCAACCCAACCTAGCCCTGCAGTCTTTGTGCTCAGCAGTTCCTCAACTCCCAGATAGGGCCCTACTGAATGTTCTTTGTTACTGAAGCAAAGGGTCGGAACAGCAACCTCCAAAGTCAACAAGAGGGCTGCTGACATCCCTGGGCAGAACAGGTACTGGGGGTGCTGAGTGGCTGTGGTGGAGGGCATGGGTTCAGGTTTCTGAGAAGTTGCTAGAAAAAGAAAATCCTGGTTGTCTTGCCACCTGAAAAAACTAAGTCCCTTGCTTTGTACCTTGATGTTTTGGTGATTCAAGGAGCAGAAGGTCACATGTAGCAGCTCCGGCCCTGGCTCCCTTGTACTCAGCCAGGGTACAATTCTCAGTGACTATGCTGAAGGGTTCAGATTTAAAGCAACCCTCTATCCTGCCTGCCTGAATCTAACTAGCACCCTATTCTGCCCATCCTCAGATCCGTTCTTCCCAACCAAAATGAACAAATAAATTCATATTCATGTTCACCCAGGTGAAACCCTAGGGCCTTCCTGAATGGGATCATCTTAGTACTGGGGGCTACCATAAAAGAAGTGCAATAAATGCTTGCTAATTGGTTAAAAAGAGTCCACCAGAATCCTAATTGTAATAGCCCTTCACACTCTGGAGGTAGAAGTTGTCATTTATTTATTCATTCAATCAGCAACGATTCATCAAAGTCCTGCTCTGTGCCACACAATAGGCCTGGGATAAACAGAATGACTAAGATGTGTTCTTGCCCTTGAGGAGCTGAGCCCCTACTGGGGCCTTCAGAATGTACTACACGCAAGCCTTCCTCCAAATCTGTATTACTCCCAGTATTCAGAAACCATTATGAAAAAGATCCCAGATTCTGAAAAAGGCTTCCCTCTCAGATCCTGGTGGCTGAGTTAAAATGAGCAAGCCTGAAGGCACTCCAAGAATGATCTTCTTATCTGGTTCTAGATGAACAGTGATCACCAACTTGGGGGCAAGACACCTACATGCTATTTGTAAAGGACATACCCTCCTGACCCAGTTCCTTCCTTACTGCTACTGCCCAAGGAGTTCTCATTCAAACAACCTGGGCCCTGGGCTTTCTATGTCATTTTTCTGCAATTTTCTTTTCCAGCCCCTCTCTCCCATGCCCTAAACCCTGTACATAATTCAAGTTCATAAATGAAATTCCCTGAGAGGAAGGGAGGTGATTTCTATGCACAGCCTCTATACAAGAATTTGAGGTGTACACTCTTGGTTGTCAGCCACAGGTCTGAAGCATGAAACAGCATCTGTGTGAGGGACCTCCCATCCTCATTTCCTCTGTGACAACTCACGTGATAAGGTCAGACTGCAGTGCCCCAACTCTATATCTTCACTTACAACCAAGGTGACCTTAGGGAAACTACCTGATGACCCAAAAGCTCAGTTTCTGTCTATGTAAAACGAGGACAAAAATCCCTACTTCTCACGATGGCTAGAAGAACAGACTAGGAGATAGGACAGTATGTGGCTGCCGGGGCTCGGCAGCAATGCCTTCTTTATCCCTGTCCTTGTCTGAGGGCCACGAGTACAGGTCCTTGCCAGACCCTGATCCTGGGGGTGGCAGGTATTTACGCACTTTCTATTTGATTCTCAGTCTCTCCTTTTTTAGTTTAAAACAGGGATCAGCAAACTACAGCTGCTGCAGGCCAAATACGGTCTCTGCCTGTTTTTGTAAATCAAGTTTCTTTCCATCTCCTTGCCTATGTTGGACCCTGCAAACTTTATTTCCTTGATCCCTAAATGGTTGCTCCTTGGATCCCCCACCTCCTCTAGAGCTCTGGGTAGACTTTTGCTTCTTCTACAGAACACTCTGGCAATCTGACCCAGCCTCTGCTATGCTGAGCTCAAATGGTTTCAATCAATGTTAACAGCTACTCCTTAAAATTAATTCTGTCTAGCAGGTGTAGTCTGTTCATCCCCACCCACCCTCATCCCTAGCCCCCTGTTACTTGTTTAGAGTGACTCTGGGGTTTGGAAAGGAAAGCAGGGCTAGCCCCAAGTCACCTTCATCATTTCTTTGGACAACTCCCTCATGGTGGCCTGAATCTCTGGAATCTTCACAAGACTTTGCATGGCCTTCATCACTTCTGTGCTCTTCTGCAGGGAACCAGCCACTCGCAAGACCGCTGAAAGAGAATGTGTACAGTCAGGATTGTTCAACAGGATGGAATAGAGAGAGACAGCCAAATTATGAGCCATTCCAATAAATGACAGCAGTAGCAGATGGACTCCCGAAGTTATTTGTGTGCCTTTAAATTAATTACTGTGCTAGTTGACCAAGAGATTGACTTTCCTAAATTGTATGCTATCTGGGTTACTACTGATGTGAATTCAATGAGCATGCACACCACATGACCAATCTGGAGAGTGGCCTGAAGCCACTCTTGACTTTTAGGAAAGGAAGCCAGCTTGGAGTAACTGTGACACCCAGGAAAATCACAAATGGGAGAAAGAGCTCCAGACCTTGTAAAGGCCACACTAGGAAAGAGAAGGCTTCAGGACCCGAGCAGAGCTCCCCACACACCAGCCTATGGACAGTATCTGTTCAGTATGGAGCCAGCTTATCATTGGTCCTCAGAAAAATGAGAGAAACTAGGACAGATACAGTGAATATGTGTATGTGTGTCAATGTGAGGTGGTTCCTTACTAGAGAAAAACCTTCTGTAGTCTGAGATTGTATGCCTACTACAATCTTCTTTATAAGAAATCACGGTAGTATCAAAAGATCATTGCCCCACCCTCAATGTCTTTAACATGTCAAAGAGTTGGCAACCATCTAAACCTGTTTTGGAATTTCATGAGACTTGAAGTTCTGAGAGCTGTCATATACAAGCTGTTCCCTAAAACCGGCACACAGACTTCCTTCCTCCTGGCTAAACCAGGAGTCACTACAGGTTTACTTCTGGTGGAATCCAGACCCTAGGAAGCTTTCACATCTAAGGGAAAACAAGAGTGACCAGAGAAATGCCTGTCTGACATTCATAGCACTGTGATTTTTCTAAAGGAGTAAGGGAGTTTGCTAGTTGCAGAGAACACTTCATTTCTCTTAACACTGAAATGGGAAAATAAAATATTTATTAATATTAGTAGAATGACAGAGGAAGTGCCAAGAATCTGTGAGGCTGAAATAAGCAATAAATTACATATGCCATTAAAATGATAAAAAAGTTATAATTACTTTTATAAATTTACTTTTATAAATTTATAAAATTTTATAATTTTATAAAAAGTTAAAAATTACTATTGATTATATAAAGGTGGGAAGAAAAGGGTAAAAATAAAGCAAATTCCATCCAGTTTTGTTTATAAAGCCTGATGTCTACATGAGCCTGTAGTTGTATTATTATTTTATAATTTGCATCCTGATACATCCTTATACATATTATAAGTTGTATTATTATTTGCATCCTGAGTCTGTAACCCAGAGAGAGTACCTGAACATGGTATGTGTTCAGTAAACATTTTTGGGCTGAATTAGTGAAAATAAGTAAACAGATGGGAGACATGGAAAAAACTGTGACTAGAGAAGTATTTAAACACTGAATCATTTGTATTCTGAAAAAGGTATAAATTTCTGATTATTAGAAGGTACAAGAAGGGAAGAGTCAATGTTGTAGGAAAAAGGGGACACAAAAATAAACTTAGAAATAAAACTTATTACAAAAACACTCAAGTTGATAACCAACCAAAATGGATTAGGTAAGTGGATTTTTAAAAGGCCAGACTAATTGTATGTTGTACACTTGAAACTCAAGACAAAGGTGGTTGCTATGGTTTGAATACGTCCTCTCCAAAATTCAGGTGTTGCCACTGTGATAAGTATTAAGAGGTGGAGTTTTTAAGAGGTGATTAGGCCATGAGGTTCCACCCTCCTGAATGGATTAGGTGCCCTTAGAAAAGGGCCTACAGGAGGCAGTTCGTTCTCCGTTGCCCTTCCTCCTGCCACGTGAGAACACAGCATGCCTACCCTCCAGAAAATGCAGCCCTCACCAGACAACCAACCCTGCCAGCACCTTAATCTTGAACTTCCCAGACTCCAGAACTGCATGAAATAAAATTCTACTCTGAATAAATTACTCAGTCTCAGGTATTCTGCTATAGCAGCACAAAAGAAACTAAGACAGGTATTTAAAAAATGTATTTCCTATGTTCCAAAAGGAAAAACGAAAAAAGGTGTGGCAGGTAAAAATTATTTCATAATAAAAATAGCCACACCTTCAAAAGAATGAAAAGGCAAGCCCCAAGCTGCAGGAAAATATTTGCAAAAGACATATCTGATAAAGGACTGCTATCCACAACATACAAAAAACTCGTAAAACTCAATAATGAGAAAATAACTGAACTTAAAAATGGGCAAAAGACCTGAACAGATAACTCACCAACATGATATATTAATATAAATGGCAAGTAAGCATATGAAAAGATGTTCAACATCTTATGTCATTTGGGGACTGTAAATTAAAACAATGAGATACCACTAAAAACCCCTTAGAATGGCCCAATCCAGACCACTGACAATACCAAATGCTGGCGAGAATGTGCAGCAACAGGAACTCTCATTCATTACTGATGGGAATGCAAAATGGTACAGCCACTTTGGAAGACAAAGCCAGACACACACCTACCATATGATCCAGCAAGTGTGCTCCTTGGTAGTTATCATAATGAATTAAAAATATGTCCACAGAAAAACCTGCACACAGATGTCTTATAGCAGCTTTATTCATAACTGCCAAAACTTGTCAGAAACCAAGATGTCTTTCAGCAGGTGTACGGATAAACAAACTGGTACGTCCAGACAATGGAATATTATCCAGTACTAAAAATAAATGAGCTTTCAAGCCATGAAAAGACAAGGAAGAAACTTAAATGCATATTACTAAGTGAAAGAAGCCAGTCTGAAAAGGCTACATATTGTATGATTCCAACTATATGACATTCTAGAAAAGGCAAAACTATGGAGACAGTAATAAAATCAGTGGTT
Source organism: Homo sapiens (assembly GCF_000001405.40). Lineage (NCBI taxonomy): Eukaryota > Metazoa > Chordata > Mammalia > Primates > Hominidae > Homo > Homo sapiens. Next base: position 86,513,338 of record NC_000002.12, read on the forward strand.
GCCAAGAGTTAGTAGGGAAAAAAGATGAATAAACAGCACAGAGAATTTTTAGGGCAGTGAAACTATTTTGTATGATACTATAATTGTGGATATCATTATATATGTGTCCAAACCCATCGAATGTACAACACCAAGAGTGAATCCTAATGTAAACTATGGACTTTGGGTGATAATGACATGTAAATAGAGGCTTACTGATTGTAACAAATGTACCACTCTTGTGTGGGATGTTGACAGTGAATGAGGCTATGCAAGTGTGAGGGCAGGGGTATGTGGATTTTCTGTACTTTCTATTCAATTTTGCTGTGAACCTAAAACTGCTCAAAAAATAAGTTTACTAAAAAATAAAAACAACTATACCCTGAAGGTGAAATCAAGAGTAATAGAAGGGTCGTCTGCATTCAAGATTGCCATTTGTATCATGAGACTGAAAGGACTCCACTGCAGCAACACCTGGCATCAGGCATTCCATCCAGAATCTACAAAACCAACCTGCCAGAGAGCCGTTGGGCTTTTTTCCTGCCTGATTGTTTTAGTGCACATATGACTTAGACTAGAGATAATTGGGTTTGAACCCCAGCTCCGCCATTTCCTCACTGCCATCTTAAGCAAGCTGAATTATTTTCCTTATTCGTGAAGATTGAATGAGATCACATATGTCAAAGAGCTTTGTAAACTCTCACACACATACAAATATAAAGTGCTACTGCTGAAGCAGTTTATAAATATATCTTAAGAATGTCCCAGATGAGTGAGAGTTGGTTAGGATGCATGACCACACCTTGGTGTGCTGCTGGTCAGCTCCTGACTCTGAGAAAGCACTGATGGAAAGGCCCATGTCCCATGTACAAGATAACCAGCTCGAAGCAGGGACAGGCAATGAGAGGTGAAAGAGGCCTAGTTCCACAATTCTGTTCTAATATAAGCCACAGTGGTCAAGTTTTCCGTTATTTGCTGCTGAACATATTCCTTAGTTAATATAACAAAAGAAAGCAAAAATATCATCCATTATATTTTATGAAGTATATGTAACACTAATTCTAAAGTCTGAACAAAACTCTAATCATAGTTTTGCCAGATAGCATTCTAATGAGCTCACGTGCTATTTAAAGTATAAAACTATCCTCAAATAGACTGTACAAACCCATTAAGACCACAGTGGATTCACATTCAATAGGCATGGGTGGCTTAATCTTAAAATACCACATTCAAAAACCAAGAACACACATTATATACTAAAATATAAATGGCATCAGGGTAGTGACTGCGTCCCACTGTGTTAACAATATGTTGAATGCATAGAATGCAATCAACAAATAGGTGCTGAATGAATAAATGAATCAATCTATAAACAAAGCATTATTTAATGGTAGAAAGTCCCAGAAAGCATGTGTTAGACTGAAACAGAAATTCCTATCTAAAATCTTCAAAAGACTAGAGCATTCAAAGTATCGTTATATATTTAATTAAAATGTTAATTAAAATGCCAAATTTCCTGCTTAAAAATGGTTAAAATGGCAAATTTTCGTACATATATTTTACTATAAAACCTCCCCACATCCCCCAAAAAAGGTTAAAATTCTAGAGAAAACATTACTAAGTCAGTAATGTAAAAGCTAGTTGACCACATTTAAAACAACAAAGATCAAAGTAACACAGAGAGGAATATGAAATAAACTGGGCAGCATTTCATTGGTCACAGCTCTTTTTGCTGAAATCCTTCCCCACCCCAGGCCTGTCTGCAGATCTCTCTGGGTTCAGGCTCTCTCCAACTTCAGGGTCTCTCCACATGGTCCTCCCTCAGTGTGGAGTGCCAGTCCCACTGACAGCCCCATATGTAGAGGCTTGGGGGACAAAGTTAAAAAAAAAAAAATGGAATGCTTCAGAAGTTTGTATTTATCCTTGTGCAGGGCCACATTAATCTTCTCAGTATTGTTCCAATTTTAGTATATGTGCTGCCCAAGAGAACACTAGATTTCTTTCTTTCTTTCTTTCTTTTTCTTTTGAGACAGTCTCGCTCTGTTGCCCAGCTAGAGTGCAGTGGCACGATCTCAGCTCACTGCAAACTCTGCCTCCCGGGTTCTAAGCGATTCTCCTGCCTCAGCCTCCTGAGTAGTTGGGATTATAGGTGTGCGCCACCATGCCAGCTAATTTTGTATTTCTAGTAGAAGTGGGGTTTCACTATGTTGGTCAGGCTGGTCTCGAACTCCTGACCTCAGGTGATCCACCCGCCTCAGCCTCCCAAAGTGCTGAGATTACAGGTGTAAGCCACTGTGCCCAGCCACTAGATTCCTTTTATTTGGAGGACAACTCACTATTTTATTCCCAGTGCCTAGCACTGTGCCTGACACAGCCAACAATCAAATATTTGTTGAAAAAAACAATAAATGAATTTAACACTGAGGTGATTTTATAAAGACTCAAGTGCTCCTACATAGAATGAAAGATTTAGTATTGGGTCAGAAATATGTTTTCTCTTTTCTTTTTTGTATTGATCATTAAAATTCCAGAACATTTCTTTATTTAAAAAAAATTTTTGGCTGGGCATGGTGGCTCACCCCTGTAATCCCAATACTTTGTGAGGCTGATGTGGGTGGATCACGAGGTCAGGAGATCCAGGCCAACATGGTGAAACCCCGTCTCCACTAAAAAATACAAAAACCAGCTGGGTGTGGTGGCGCACGCCTGTAATCCCAGCTACTCAGGAGGCTGAGACAGGGAAATCACTTCAACCCGGGAGGCGGAGACTGCAGTGAGCCGAGATCGCACCACTGCACTCCAGCCTGGCGACAGAGCAAGACTCCATCTCAAAAAAAAAAAAAAAAAAGAAAAAAAAATTTATATGGCAAAAAGTGGGGAGAAGGAAATAGAAGCTCATTCTCCCAGTGTTTTAAATTACAGACAGAACATCCACATACTGGTGACAAAAAGCAACTGATGTAGGAAAAGAAATTAAAAACCAGAAATAAAAAAGGGTTCACTTTTAAACATTTCATCAAAGAGAATTTTGAAGACACAGAAAAGTAGAGAAGTATCATTTCACCAAAGAGGAGATACGGATGGCAAATAAGCACATGAAAAGATTAGCCACTATGGAAATGCAAAGTAAAACCACAATCAGCACCATAGACCTACCAGAATGCCTAAAATAAAAAATAGTGACAACAACAAATGTTGGAGAAGATGTAGAAAAACAGGATCACTCATACATTGGCTGGTGGGAATTTAAACCTGTACACTTTTATAGCAGCTTTATTCATAATAGCCAACAACTGGAAGCAACTGAGAAGGCCTACAATGGGTAAATGGTTAAATAAACTGGTATATCCATATAATGGAATACCACTCAGCAATAAAAAGAAATGAACTATGGATACATGTAAACACTTGAGTTAATTTCCATAGAAGTATGCTGAGTGAAAAAAGCCAATCCCAAGAAGTTACATAACTACATAATTCCATTTATACAACATTCTTAAAGTAACAAAATTATAGAAATGGAGAATTAGTGGCTGCTAAGGAGAAGGTGGAGATGGGAGGAAAGTACGTGTGGCTATACAAGGGCAACATGACGGATTCTTGTATTTATGGAAATGTTCTGTAGTTTGATTGCATCGATGGCAATATCCTGATTGTGAGATTGTACTCTGGTTTTGCAAGATGTTACTATCGGGGGAAACTAGGTGAAGGGTACACAGAATCTCTCTGTATTATTTCTTGCAAATACAGGTGTACTACATGTATGTGAGTCTACTATTTTCTAAAAACATAAGCCTTAATTTAAAAAAAATTAAAGCATATAAAAATAAAGTAACATTACATTCCCACACCTGATACAAATGAAAAAAGGATATTGTATGCATAAAACAATTTCTGCTATAAATATGACCATGTTGTAATATCAACAACTAACGCTGGAAGCAAAATAACTAAAAAATTAGTTTCATGGCCAGGAGCAGTGGCTCACGCCTGTAATCCCAGCACTTTGGGAGACTGAGGAGGGCAGATCATGAGGTCAGGAGATCGAGACCATCCTGGCTAACACAGTGAAACCTGGTCTCTACTAAAAATACAAAAAATTAGCTGGGTGTGGTGGCGGGCACCTGTAGTCCCAGCTACTCGGGAGGCTGAGGCAGGAGAATGGCGTGAACCCAGGAGGTGGAGCTTGCAGTGAGCCAAGATCGTGCCACCGCACTCCAGCCTGGGAGACAGAGCGAGACTCCGTCTCAAAAAAAAAAAAAAAAAAAAATTAGTTTCATAATCAGTAGATGTGGAACCCAGTGAAAATATTCTGAAAAGAATCTGGACACCAATAATGAAAGCAACAAAAACAGAGAATTCTCTCTACCTATCACAGGCTCTCATGGGAATTACAGTTAAATTTTTTAAAAATTAGCAAATAAAAATAGGGCCAGGCATAGTGGCTCACACCTGTAATCCCAGCACTTTGAGAGACCCAGGCAAGCGGATCACTTGAGCACAGGAGACCGAGACCAGCCTGGGCAACATGGTGAAACCCCATCTCTACAAAAAACTAGCTGGGTGAGGTGGCTCGTGCTTGTAGTCCCAGATACCCAGGAGGCTGAGGTGGGAGGATCACCTAAGCCACGGAGGTTGAGGCTATGAGAGCCATGATCACACCACTGCACTCCTGACTGGGCAACAGACCCTATCTCAAAAATAAAATGAAGTAAAAATATTGACACACTAGACCAACAGTGTGGGTTTTAAAAGCCAACTTAAAACAGGCATTTACAAACACAATGAATCAGATTATAAGAAAATATGAAATCTTATGACATTTCTGACAAATGAAAGCTCAGAGAAGGGATATTAAAAACATTTGAGCCTCAAAAGTAAAAATCCCTTGAGAGTAAGACAACTTTTCCTTGAAACAAGGTTAAGAAAAAAGAAAAGTTAAAAGGTACATCATGATTTCCAAAGAAATCTCTAACACATAATAATAATGAACAGAAAGATAAAAATCATAAGAAAAAGGAGATAGTACAAACATTCTATAATATGGTGAACCAAAACCAAAAGGATGTCACAAAAGAATGTTGAAACCATGTACATTTCAGAAACTTTAAAAATTTAAAGTCACGTTTATTTATGACTTACATGCCTCCACTTGAAAAAAAATAACTTGAAGCAGTTTATTAAAAAGATGTATATGGCAGATACAATAAAATAAAAAAAGCTCAAAAGTGTGAGTTGATTCCATAAATGTGGGCTGGAGTATCTCAACAACCACACTATTGACAGTCCGGGCTGGGTAATTCTTTTGTTGGAGGCAGCTGTTTTACGCATTCTAGGGTGTTCAGCAGCAGCCCTGGTTTCTGCCCACTAGATGCCAGTAGCAGCACCCCTTTTCCTCCTAGTTGTGACAACCAAAAATGGCCCCAAATACTGCCAAATGTCCCCCAAGGGGCAAAAATGCCCCTAGTTGAGAATCAGTGGCGTAGGCTAATAAAAGCTACTGCAACTGAGATAAAGTTTAGCTGTATCTCAACAGCTAAAACATGAAAGTTAATCATGTTTTGGGTTGCAGGACACTCACTGGTAAAAGCAACACTGTTTCACTGGGAAAAACTTTTTTTCAGGCTAAGTTCTAAGATAAATGTATTCCATGGCTTTTAATATTAAGGAATATTAAAGTATATAATCTTTATTGACTGCACCACTGATTGTATAGACGTTATAGAAATAATCTCCATGTGGCTGTTTCTTATCCACCATAAAAAAGCAAAGGAGGGCCGGGCACGGTGGCTCACGCCTGTAATCCCAGCACTTAGGGAGGCCCAGGCAGGTGGATCACCTGAGGTCAGAAGTTCAAGACCAGGCTCCTCAACATGGTGAAACCCCATCTCTACTAAATATACAAAAATTAGCCAGGCATGGTGGTGGGCACCTGTAATCCCAGCTACTTGGGAGGCTGAGTAGCTTGAACCCAGGAGGCAGAGGTGGCAGTGAGCCGAGATTGTGCCACTGCGCTCCAGCCTGGGCAACAAGAGCAAAACTTCATCTCAAAAAAAAAAAAAAAAGCAAAGGAATACTATGAAAACAGCTCAGCAAAGCCATTTCTGTGGGAAGAAACTGGAGGACGGAAAAGGGTTTCTGAGGATCCAGCTTGCTAACAGGAATTGGACTTTAAAATTCTAGAGGGAAGACTGCCTCATGTCACTCTCACTTAATGCCAATGATGTGTTTTTATATGGTATTTACAGAGTATAAAATAAACATTCATATGAGTATATGAGTATAATGAAAATAAACATTCATACAGTGTAAAATAAACATTCATATGAATAACAACTAAAATATGAAACAATCAGTTTGTGAGGAAGGCAGATGATTTTCACTCCCTTTAAAAATTTCATTTAATGTTGTATTTTGTTTATGCAGGGGAAAATATTTCATTTGAAAAAGACAATTATGAACTGTAGAACTTAAATCTGTAAAAGTTTTGGAGTGGAAAACTTAAAACCCTTGAATAAACACATCATGAACAATACATGACACAGATATGTATTTATTTTAGGAAATTACTTATTATTCAGCAAGCCTTAAAGAAACTGAATTTTAATCTTATATATGCTAGATCACAATTTAATATTAAATGCAAAATCCGTTTATTTAACGGCTCAAATTTGTAGACCTGAGTAATAAATGTGTGTGGTATGTATAAAATGACATAATGTTAGACTAACAAAAGCAAACTGCAGGACAGTTCATATAGCACTTGAATAGTAGTTATCAGTGGGTAAGGGGGCTGAGGCCAAGACAAAGAAATTGGTGAACAATTACTTTTATTTTATATATTTCTGTAGCATTTTTAAAAGCAATGTCAATATTAGTCCATTCTCACACTGCTGTAAAGACATACCTGAGACTGGGTTGTTTATAAAGAAAAGAGGTTTAATCAGCTCACAGTTCTGTGGGCTGTACAGGCTTCTGCTTCTGGGGAGGCCTCAGTAAACTTACACCATGGTGGAAGGCAAAGGGGAAGCAGGCACATCTCCACTGGCCGGCAGGAGACAGAGAGAGAGAGAGAGATAGGGGAGGTGCTATACACTTTCAAACAACCAGATCATGAGAATTCTATCATGAGACACCACTAGGGGGATGGTGCTAAACCATTAGAAACCACCCCCATGATCCAATCACCTCCCACCAGGACCACCTTCAACACTCAGGATCACAATTCAACATGAGATTTAGGTGCAGACACAGAGCCAAATCATATCAAAGTCTGTAACACATAAGTTAAAAATACTAGAACAGTCTTTAAAAATGTGTTTTGATTCAACAAATTGGTTTAAATTTCACAAACGTTATGCTTGACCCCAAAGATCCATACCTTGCAAATTCATTTTCAGGTACTCCAATCAAAGCACAGAACAAAACAAAACAAAAGGACAAAGGTAGCTAGGTGGATGTACTATCCTACCTGGGCCTCCCTTTTATTGCATGGCCTGTCCTTCTAGACACACTGTCATCACTATTGTCAGGCCTCTGAGCCCAAGCCAAGCCATCGCATCCCCTGTGACTTGCACGTATACATCCAGATGGCTTGAAGTAACTGAAGAACCACAAAAGAAGTAAAAATGATGACATTCCACCATTGTGATTTGTTTCTGCCCCACCCTCACTGATCAATGTACTTTGTAATCTCCGCCACCCTTAAGAAGGTTCTTTATAATTTCCCCCACCCTTAAGAAGGTTCTTTGTAATTCTCCCCACCCTTGAGAATGTACTTTGTGAGATCCACCCCTGTCCGCAAAACATTGCTCTTAACTTCACCGCCTATCCCCAAACCTATAAGAACTAATGATAATCCACCACCCTTTGCTGACTCTCTTTTTGGACTCAGCCCACCTGCACCCAGGTGAAATAAACAGCTTTATTGCTCATACAAAGCCTGTTTGGTGGTCTCTTCACATGGACGCGCATGAAAACTATATAAGAGCTTGGAGCTCTCATGCATCTCTGCCACTCAGAATCCCACGATAGCTCAGCACTCACACCTACCCCACTGCTTTAATAGTAAAATATACATAACATAAAATACATTATTTTAACCCAAAATTATACATAACATAAAATTTGTAACTTTTATCCATTTTTAAGTATATAGTTAAGTGGCATTAGGTACATTCATTCACATTTTTGTGTAACCATCACCGCCATCCATCTCCAGAACTTTTCTCATCTTCCCAAACTGAACCTCTGCACCATCACTCAATCAATCCCCATTTCCCCTTACCCTTGGCAACCAACACTCTACTTTCTGCCTCTACATTTGAGAATTCAAGGTACATCATATAAGTGGAATCACGTAGTATTCATCCTTTTTTGAGGTGCTCATTTCACTTAGCATAATGCCTTCAAGATTCGTCCATATTGTTGTAGCATAAGTCAGAATTTCCTCCCTTTTTACGGCTGAATAATATTCTATTATACAGACATATCACATTTTGTTTACCCATTCATCTGTCAATGGACACTTGGGTTGCTTCTACCTTTTGGCTATTGTGAATGCTGCTGCTATGAACACTGGCATCCAAATACCTATTTGAGTCCCTGCCTTCCATTCTTTCGGGTATATCTCAAAAGTGGAATAGCTGGAGCATATGGTAATTCTATTTCCTGCCCCACCTTTGAACCTCTCCCTTAACCCTCTCTTCCAATCAAAACACACTCATCATCTGTCTTACACTGCAAGGAGCTGCTGTCAGAAAGCTGTCACCTGGAAAGCACCTAATCATGACAATGTATTAATAGGTGACAAGGCTGAATAGATTACCCCTCCCCAGAGGCATCTGCATTTTAATAGGGGAACATCTTAAGAAAGAGGAATGACTTTGTCAAATCTTGGCTTTTCAATGCAGCAACAGGCTAGGGGTGGGATGGGGCCATAGAAAGATGACAAAGACATCTCAGGAACTTTGGTTACACTTAGTTTTCTCTTTTTCCACTCCCAAAATGTAGCCTTTTCCTTCCTGCCTTGTCCCAAGTTCTATCCTCGTACCTACTCTGCTGTATTTAATCTCCCAACAAGCAACACTCCACTATAAACCAACACAACAACCCTGTCTAGGAATCCTTCCTGTCAGCAAAAGCTTAGGTGCTGCAGAAGCCAGGTGAACCAAATAGCCACTGATTTCCTGGGGCTAGTCTGGTCAGCCCAAGTGAAGATTCCTCTCTTAGACCTGTTCCTCTCCCTGTGTTTCCAGTGTCTGTTAATGGCCCTGCAGTCTCTTTCCAGGCTCAAAGGCTCAGAGCATCTCAGCCTTGTTTATACCTTCACTCTGCACCTGTTCTTCTGTCTTCTACTCCATTCTCACTAGACTAACCTATTCCATTCCCCTACTCCACTCCATTACCTCTTAGGTCCCACTGCCTCCAATCACACTGCACTGTCCCTCCCTGCACCTGTGCTCTGTGCTTATAATGTGCTAAAGCTTTCAAATGTCTACAGAATAATTTAAATTCCTCAGCCTGATATCTCAGAACTCTGACTCCAACTTACCTTTCCAGTCTCACCTCCCACTGCTCCCCTTCATGCATTCCTGTCAAACTGTTTCCTGAACATAGCCTGAAATATTTCAACTGTGCCTTTGTATACCTAATCCCTCTACACTCAGACGCTGCCCTGATTCTCCCCAAAATACTTTTCCTCTTAACTCCCATTGCACTTTATCTGCATTGCTACAGCACGTCTTATTTTGAACTTGTCTTGGAGAAGCATTGCTCTCCTAACAGCTGTAAAAATTGTCATCTTCACCTCCTTGCCCATCCTCTCCAGCTATCCCTCCCACTTGCTCGGTACCCAACCTCCCAGACCTTCCTTCCGTGTTGGGAATGCACAGTTCTTTTTGGCCCCAGGGCCTTCACACATGCTAGCCATCCAAGTTGGCACACCACTTCCCACACCCCCACAAACTTAATAGTTCATCTTCTTTCAGGATTCATCAGTGCCTGAAAGGAGCCATTCCTGACTCTACATTTCTCTTTCACGTTCTCCTAGTGCATATCACAGTAAGCAATTATAAATATCCATTTGATTATTAAATTTATTATTTTTATTTTTTATTATATTTCTTCAATCATCTGCAATTTACCCCATACCTAGAGGGCAGTGATTGCGCCTGTAATATTCACGATTTTAACCCCAGTGCCCAGAAGTATGCCTAGCACATAATAGGGCTAAAAGAGATATTTATTAAATGAATTAACATTTTGGTTTTTGTAGCTCAGTCTATATGCCTGAAAAGACGAGGGAGGGCAGGTACTCAGAAAGCGTATACTTAAATCTAGCTTCCCCTACCCTCCTCCCTTCCACTCTCTCCTCTGCCTCCCTCCCTCCCACCTCTTTCTTTAAAAAGAGAAGTGGGATAGGAAAGAAGAGGATGATTGGGAGAAGCAGTTCTGAGAAACAATACACAGAATGTAAGAAAATTTCAAAAAGACAACTGTCATTAACAAAAGACAATACTGCACCAACGAGGAAGAATGGAATGATTTTTTAAAAAATAAGAAACTGAGAACTTTCTTGAAAATTAAGGTTAAGATAGCCAAAATAAAGAATTCATGAGAAAAAATGGAAAATAAAGTTGAGGAAATTTTGCAGAAAGTAGATTACACAGACAAAATTGATCATGATAATGATGATAATATTTAGAACCTATATATACAGCAATTACTATGCCAGGCAATGAAGTGAGCCTCACAACCTGCTTATGAGGAAGGTACTAACTATTATTATCCTCAAAATGGAACATGGGAAAGGTAAGAAAATTAAAGGAACAGTCTGAGAAATCCAATAACTAAGACTGTTTGCTTTCAGAAAGAAACAGAAAATACAGTGCAAAGGCAATGTACATGCACACATCCAAGCACTGTAGGATACAAGTCCCCAGGACTGAAAGGATGCACCAAGGAATAGAAGGATACAACACTTTTCTTTTAGAAATCCATATGTAAATACTTATAGATGAAATTACAGTTGGTCCTCCATATCTGTGGGTTCAGTGTTTGTAAATTCAACCAACCAAAGACAACAAAATATTCAATATCAAAAATATTCAACAACAACGAAAATGAAAGGCTGTGTCTGTACCAAACACGTATAAGCTTTTTGTCATTATTCCCTAAACAATATAGTATAACTATTATTTACATAGCATTTGCATTGTATTAGGTATTATATAATTAATCTAGAGGTTAAAGTATACAGGAAGATATGTGTAGGTTATATGCAAATACTACCTCATTTTATATAAGGGACTTGAACATCCACAAATTTTGGTATCTGTGGGGATCCTGGAACCAATCCCCTGTGGACACCGAGGGATAAATGTATATGGATTCCCAGAGGAAAATATAGGGACTAGGTGGGATGAATATAAATTCAGTAAAATCAGCCAAGAGTTGACAATTGTTTAAGCTGGGTGATAGGTACATAGAGATTCATTTGGGTATTCACTCTGCTTTTGTATATGCTTAATATTTCCATAATAAGAAGTTAAAGAGAAAACAATACAGGATGATTCAAACAATCCAACTTCTCTCCTCAGAAGTGAACCTTTTTCAGACCTCTGTTTATCCATTTATCATTTATTTACACAACTACACAAACACATCCTCTACTTATTTACAGAGTGCTATCATGCTATATATACTGTTCTGCAACTTGCTTTCTTATTAAATGATGCATCATTAACATCTTTCTGTAGCTGAATACTATGCTGAAACCTAAATAAATCATAATTTACTGATTCAGTCCTCCACTGAAGAAAAATAAAATGTTAGCAGTTCCCCTGTTACCAATAACTTTCTGTTGTTGGCTTTAATTATGTGTATTTTACTAATTGGGTAAAAATTCCCAATGCCTATAATTGTACAATTATAAAACTATTTCAAAAACAAAATTAAATACAAAAAACTTCAAAATCAATAAAATTCACATTAACAACGTAAATTTCATGTGATACTTTGCTGAACTAAAACACCACTTATAATGTGGGTTACGCTACAGGTAAAATACTTGATAACTATGCATATATATACTGTTCTCATCTATCTGTCTGGTGACTCCTTTCCCGCTTTTCTCCATTAAGACTACTGAGGTTGCAGTGAGCCGAGATGGCACCACTGCACTCCAGCCTGGGCGACAGTGCGAGATCTTGTCTCAAAAAAAAAAAAAAAAACTACTTAAAATCCTTGCATCAGATGGGATTCCCTCGGCAAGGACATTTACACAGTAAGTTGGGTTTTGCTCTTTTCACACTGGATTGCCACAGTGAAATTTGACACCAAACCTCATAAACAAAAATGCAAATGGGGGATTCAAGTCTCATGAAACTCATCAATTATAAGGTAACCCAGAGTATACATATGTTTAATTTTTTAATGATGCCAAAAATTAAAATAAAAAAAAATTCTCATAGTAGAAAGACTGGAAGAAGACAAAGTGGTGGGAGAAGGAAAATCAAGATTTTTTTATATCAATTTTGAGATACCCCTTGAGACATCTGAGTGGAGATGCCAATTACGCACTTAGAGATAAAGTCAGCCCTGAAGATAAAACTCAATGGCATTTAAAGGCATGGGGTTAGATAAGATCGACTACTGGGAGTAAAGATGGAAAGGAGCAGAGGATCTAGAATAGAGCCCTCGAGCACCTTAACATTCAGAGGCCAAAGAGCAAATACTTTACTTTTCAATTCTGGTAAAGCTACAGTATATATGAAATGAACAACTTAACATATTGTTATGGGTGTACATTTAAACGATAGGCTCTTATGTGCAGTGCACAGGGAAGCTTTTGTTATGTATACTGCTGAAAGTGTATGATAAAAGAGTTTTTGCATGCAGACTAATGATTACTTACTATGACGATAACTGGCTGAAAAGGTATTTTGGAATCAGGACACAGGAAGAAAGGGCAAAGAAAAGAGAATGCTCGAGTTTAGTAGCTCTGAGAGAACTATTAACACAAGATAACATTTCTCAAAAATAAAAAAGTCTGACAATACCAAGTCAAAAAGGTGAAAAGGTATGGAAAAAAAGAACTCATGAACTGCTGCTGGAAATATAAATTAGTAAAGCTTCTTTGGAGAGCAATTTTGTAATTCTAGCAAAATTTAAACCCAGCTACTTACTTAGCAATTCTACTTCTGAGTATACAACTGTCCTAAACCTTTACACACAGCAAAAACTGAAAATAACCTTAATATCCATCAAAAGGGGAACAGAAAAATAAAATGTGATACATCAATGTAATTTCATCTAGTAGTTCAAATCAATGGACTAGAGCATGCTCTCTCTCTCTCTCTCTCTCTATATATATATACACATACACATAGATAATTTTATTGTGGTTGCTGTTGTTTTGTTTTGTCTTGTTTTATAGAGACAGGGTTTCATTATGTTTCCCAGGCTGGTTTTGAACTCCTGGCTCAAGTGATCCTCCTGCCACAGCCTCCCAAAGGGCTGGCATTACAGGTATGAGCCACTGCACCCTGCCTACATTTATCCACATGAACATATTTCAAAAACGATGATAAATGGAGCAAAAAGACGCAGAATGGTATCTATAGTATGATACCATTCATAAAAATTTTAAGATTCATGATAGTGGCTTTCTCTGGAGAGGTTGGGAGAGAAGAGAATGAAACTGGGAAGGTGTATTAAAGGAGCTTCAACTTTTGTAATAATGCTTTTTTTATATATATATAATATAGAAGCAGGCAAATACAACAAAACGTTAAATTGTATTAGTTCTGGGCCAGGTGCAGCGGCTCACAACTATAATCCCAGCACTTTGGAAGACTGAGGCAGTGGATCACTTGAGCTCAGCAGTTCAAGACCATCCTGGGCAACATGGTAAAACCCCGTCTCTACCAAAAAAAAAAAAGATAAATTTTATTAGTTCTGTATAATAGGTACATAAAGACTTATTACATTATCCTCTGCTTTCATCTCTACAATTGGAAAAAAAAGAGGCTGTGCATACACTGCTTTATTCATAGAGGGAAAAAGGCAAAATAAGCAATAAGGAAAGAGTGAAAAATGTTTAAACAAGCTTATCATGGTCAACTGAACATGTGTCTTTTGAGCATGTTGCAGGAAAAATTGAGAATCAATCTGAATTTTTCAAGCTGGCTATAAAAGACAATAATACTTGAGCTTTCAACATGACAGGATTAAACTATTTCTTTATGGCACTGATACTCAGTTTGATCAAAAGGCATATCTAGGTGATATATCCAGTATTTCAAGAGCCTAAAATCATCATTTTAGGGCTGTAATAACATGGCATTTAAAAGTGAAGATAGGCCGGAAGTGGTGGCTCATGCCTGTAATCCCAGCACTTTGCAGAGCCGAGGAAGGTAGATCACCTGAGGTCAGGAGTTTGAGACCAGCCTGGGTAACATGGCGAAACCCCGTCTCTACTAAAAATACAAAAATTAGCTGGGAGTAGTGGTGGGCACCTGTAATCCCAGCTACTTGGGAGGGTGAGGCGGGCGAATCGCTTGAGCCTGGGAGGCGCAGATTGCATTTAGCCGAGATCACACCACTGCACTCCAGCCTGGGTGACAGAGAAAGACTCTATCTCAAAAAAACAAAAATAAATAAATAAAAGATAATCTTGATAGATTTTTTAAAGGATGATGTGGTACAAACATTTTGTCATTTTTTTTTTACTCTTTCCCAGCCCATGATTATTCTCTTCAGTATCTCGAGAAAGAAACTAATGATACATTCATGGTTAGGCATATTTTAAAACCACATTCGAATGTTAAAATTGAATGTGAAGAAAATACCTTCAGAACGAAATACAACCAAATAATGCATTAGAAACCCATTTGGCACCATCCTATAAATTAAAACACTTCATCTTCTAACTTCTTTTGAGTGTGATCAATGAAGTATCTGACAGAGAGTTGAAAATATTCTTCAGTGAAAAATTTCTCCATAATTTATTTCTTTTTTAGACACAGTCTTGCTATATTTATTGTCCAGGCTCAGGCACAGTGGTTATTCACAGGTGTAATCAGAGCTCACTGTGGCCTCAAACCCCTGGGCTCAAGCACTTAATTCTCCTTGCTCAGCCTCCTGAGCAGCTGGGACTACAACTGCATGCCACCATGCCTGGCTCTCCATGATTTCTGAGTCTGTATTCAATCTAAATATCTGACAGTCACTTGCTGCCATTACCAAAGAACTATAGTTCTGAGTTAGGACTACTTCATAATTTAATGGAAATTAAGAAAAGAAACCAACTAGATGAACGACCACAAACAGTACTGTACTGGACACTGAAAGGAAACAATGTTTATTCCTATTTTAAATATCATGAGTTCCTAAAAGTCATCTAAAATGGAGAGTTCACATGTATGCTGAATACCCATCACGTGGTCTACAGATTCCTAAGATGTGAGGAAGCATTAGGTAGGCAGAGATGAAGCAGAAAAGGAGGTGAACCAAAGCCCCACAGCCTGTTGTAACATTTTGCCTGGGGCTGCTCTGGACCTAGGACAAAGGTAGAAAGCTCTTTTCTTCATCCTCCCTCCAAACATCTAGGCTGGCCTCTTACTCCTACAACTCAATTCTCAGGCCACGTGATAACACTGTTCAATACATTCTAACTTCTAAACAAAGCAGATTTATATGTAGATTTCATTACTATTTAGAAAATACTAACAAAAGAAAACAAACAACAT
Organism: Homo sapiens; assembly: GCF_000001405.40. Classification (NCBI taxonomy): domain Eukaryota; kingdom Metazoa; phylum Chordata; class Mammalia; order Primates; family Hominidae; genus Homo; species Homo sapiens. Next base: position 86,529,069 of record NC_000002.12, read on the forward strand.
TATTATATTTTGCATTTCTACAACACTCAACACTAAGAAAATACAAAGAATAAAAACCAGAGTTGAGTTTTTCCTATTCAAGGAACCCGTGTTGATAATAACAGCAACCCCGGCATTATGAGGTGACTGTAAGGTAAGTGCAGCCTTACCGAGCTGGTTCTTCATCCCCATGAGCACTGAGTTCATGTGTGCTTTGGATGCATACAGCTTGCTCACAGCCTTCCTTGACCTGATCATCTCCTTGGCCAGAACTATGCAGACATCCTTCTGGCCCTTCTTGGCAGCATCTTTCACAGATCGTTTCACTTTTTCTTCTTCTCTTTGGATATCTAAATTTAGAACAGAACACCAAAAATCAAGGGTAAGTCAGGTTTATTGGCACTCAAATACATTCTTATTGTGATCTAAATGTATCTATTAAATAGAAAAACATATAGAAGGATATACATAAAATCAAAATAACGTAGTGAATATTCATCATTTCCAGAAACAACATCAAAGTTTAAAAGAAAAGTACGATCCTATTATACTTGAATTTCTAAACACCTTTCTAACATTTGTTGGTACTGGCCCTAAGAATTTTTAAAAAATTACTGTAAATGCATTCCAGAGCTTGCTCCAATAATCAATAAGTAGTATTCCCACAATTATAAGAGTACAGTTTCTATACAGTCACCAATCATTTCTAAAAACCTGCAACTTAAGGAAAGCCTGAACATATTATAAGTCTCATACTGGCATCAGCTAAAGGTAAGATAAGTCTTTATTATATGCTTTATGATCAGTAGTGTTTTCTCCAATTTTTAAAACTGTGGTAAAATACATAAAATATAACATCTTAACCATTTTTAAGTATACAATCAGTGGAATAAAGTAACATTCACATTGTTGTGCAACCGTCACCTCCACCCAGACACCCCGAACTCTTTTTTTTTTATTTTTTGAGATGGAGTTTCACTCTTGTTGCCCACGCTGGAGTGCAATGGTGCAGTCTCAGCTCACTGCAACCTCCACCTCCCGGGTTTGAAGTGATTCTGCCTCAGCCTCCCAAGTAGCTGGGATTACAAGCACCCACCACGATGCCTGGCTAATTTTTGCATTTTTAGCAGAGATGGGGTTTCACCATGTTGGCCAGGCTGGTCTCGAACTGCTGACCTCAGGTGATCCACCTGCCTCGGCCTCCCAAAGTGCTGAAATTACAGGCATGAGCCACCGCACCTGGCCCAGAACTCTTCATCTTTCCCAAAACTAAAATTCTGCACCCATTGAACAGTAACTCCCCATTTCTCCTTTCCCCTAACTCCTGGCATCCACCATTCTGTTTTCTGTCTTTACGAATTTTACTACCCTTGGTACTTCCTTTAAGTGGAATCATAATATTTTTCTTTTTCTGACTGGCTTATTTCACTAAGCATAATATTTTTAAGGTTCAAGCATTTTGTAGCATATGTCAGAACTTTCTTTTTAAAGCTCAATAATATTCCATTGTATGTATATACGACATTTTACTTAACCATTCGTCAGTGGACACTTGGGTTACTTCCAACTTTTAGCTATTGTGAAGAACATGAATGTACAAATGTCTTTGAGACCCTGCTATCTTTTGTGTATATGCCTAAAAGTAGAACTGTTAGGTTATAGGGTAATTCTATTTTTAATTTTTTGAGGAACAGCTGTACTGTTTTTCACAGTGGCTTCATCATTTTACATTCTCACTAACAGTATACAAAGTTCCAATTTTACCACATACTCACCAACACTGGTTATTTCCTGGGGGTTTTGTTGTTGTTGTTTTGATAGTAGTCATCCTAACGGGTATGAGGTCGTTTTGATTTGCATTTCCCTAATAATTAGTGATGTTAAACATCTTTTCATGTACTTACTGACAATTTGTACAGCTTATTTGGAGAAATTCCAAAAGTCTATTGAAGTCTTTTGCCCATTTTTGAATTAAGTCGTTTTATTGTTGTGGCATTTTAGGTGTTCTGTATATACTCTGAATACAACCTCTCATCAGATAAATGATTTGCAAATGCTTTCTCCCATTCTATGAGTTGCCTTTTCCTCCGTTGGTAACATCTTTTTATTTTTTTAATGTACAATTTTTCTTTTTCTTTTTTTGTAGAGATGGGGTTTCGCCACGTTGCCCAGGCTGGTCTCAAACACCTGGGCTCAAGCAATCTACCCACCACAGCCTCCCAAAGTGCTGGAATTACAGGTGTGAACCACTGTGCCCTGCCAGGTAATCTTTTTAAGATGCACAAAAATTTTTGATTTTCATGAAGTCCAGTTTGTCTACTCTTTTTTATTTTTTGGAGATGGATCTATGTTGCTCAGGGTGTAGTGCAGTGGCTATTCACAGGCATGATTATAGCACATTACAGCTTCATACTCCTGGCCTCAACTGGTCTTCCAGCCTCAGCCTCCCGAGTAGCTGGGACTACAGGCACACATCACCACGCCCAGCAGTTTGTTCTTCAAGTTGTGAAGTTTTACTCTGTGTTTTTTTCTAAGAGTTTTATAGTTTTAGCTCTTACATTTAGGTCTTTGATCCATTTGGGGTTAGTTTCTGTATACATTGTTAGGTAAAGGTCCAACTGAATTCTTTTGCATATGGATATCCAGTTTTCCCAGCACCATTTGCTGAAAACTGTCCTTTCCTCCACTGAATGGTCTTGCTACCCTTGTCAAAAATCAGTTGACAACAGACACATAGTTTTTCTGGATACCTATTTCTATTCCATTCGTTTATATGTCTTTATGTCAGTACTACATTGATTTTATCTCTGTAGCTTTGTGGCAAGTTTTGAAACCAGGAAGTGAGTTGTTAAACTTTCTTTTTTTAAGACTATTTTGATTATTTAGGGTCTCTTAAGATTCTATAAGAATTTTAGGACAGATATCTCTATTTCTACAAAAAATGTCATTGGGATTTTGATAAGGATTGCACTTTGAATGTATAAGATTGCTTTGGGGTACTACTGACATCTTAACAATATCTAATCTCCCAATACATGAAAATGTGATGTCTTTCCATTTATTTATGTCCAATTCCTTTCAGTAATATTTCATCATTTTCATTATACAAGTCTTTTGCCTCCTTGGTTAAGTAAATTCCTAAGTATTTGATTATTTTTGATGCTATTGAGAATGGGTTTTCTTAATTTCCTTTTCAGATTGTCCATCGTTAATATAGAGAAATACAATTTTTTTTGGTGCTGATTTTGTATCTTGCTGCTTAATGAATTTATTAGTTCTAATAGGTCTTTTTTGAAAAATCTTTAGGGTATTATACATATAGTATCAGCTGCAAACAGAGATTTTTACTTATTCCTTTCCAATTTACATACTTTTAACTATTTTTTTCTTGTCCAACTCCTTTGGCTAGAAGTTCAGTATCGTGTTAAAGAGAAGTGGCAAAAGTGGGTATCCTTGCCTTGTTCCTGATCTTAGACGAAAAGCTTTTAGTCTTTCACCATTTATTTTGATAGTCCCTGTGGTTTTTTTCATACATGGTTTTTACTATGTTCAGGTAATTTCTTTCTATTCCTAGTTGTTGTTTTTAGCATGAAAGGGTGCTAAATTTGGCCAAATGCTTTTTCTGCATCAATTGAGATGATAATGTGAGTTTCTTTTCCCCTTCATGCTGTTAATGTGATATATTACACTGATCAAATTTTACATGTTGAATCATTCTTGCATTCCAGGATAAATCCCACTGGCCGTGATGTATACTCATTTTAATGTGTTGCTGGATTTGGTTTGCTAGTATTCTGTTGAAGATTTTTGCACCAATGTTCATAAGAGACACTGGTCTATAGTTTTCTTGCAGCATCTTTGTCTGATATGATATCAGGACAATACTGGCAACATAGAATGAATAAGGAAGTGTTTTCTTCTCTTCAATTTCTTGAAGTTTGAGAAGCATTGGTGTTAGTTCTTCTTTAACTGTTTGATAGAATTTACCAGTGAAGTCATCAGGTCCACAGCTTTTCTTTGTCAGGATATTTTTGATCACTGATTCACTCTCCCTACTAGGTATAAGTCTGTTCACATTTTCTATTTCTTTATGTTTCAATCTTGGTAAGTTTCATGTTTCTAGTAATTTGTCCATCACATCTAGGTTACACAATTTATTAACATACAATTGTCCATCGTATTCTTATAATCTTTATTTCTGTGGAATCAGTAGTAATGTCTCCACTTTCAACTCTGATTTTAGTACTTTCAACTTTCTCTTCTTCCTTAGTCAATCTAGTTAAGGTGTATACATTTTTTTGTCTTTTTCAAGAACCAACTATGGATTTTGTTAATGCTCTCTATTCTTTTTCTGTTCTGTCTCTGCTTTAATCTTTATTATTTTCTTCCTTCTGCTAGATTTGGGTTGACTTTGTTCTTGTTCTGTTTCCTTTAAGTTGAAAGCCAGGTTGCTCATCTGAGATTTTTTTTTTTGAGACAGGGTTTCACTCCCGTCACCCAGGCTGGAGTGCAAGGTTGGTCACCATCACAACTCACTGTAACTTCTGCCTCTGGGTTCAAGCAATCTTCCCTCCTCAGCCTCCCAAGTAGCTGCGACTACCCACAGACCACAGCACCTAGCTAACTTTTGTATTTTTGATAGAGACAGGGTTTCGCCATGTTGCCTAGGCTGGCCTCAAACTCCTGGGCTCAAGTGATCTGCCCGCCTTGGCCTCCCAAAGTGTTGGGATTAAGCCACCACACCTGGCCTTCATTCTTAATGTAAGCATTTATAGCTATTAATTTTCCTCTGAGTGTTGCTTTTGCTGCACCTTCTAACTTTAGGTATGTTCTGATTTGGTTTTTACTTGTCTGTAAGTATTTTCTGATTTGCTTTGTGATTTCTTTTTTCACCCATTGGTTAAGAATGTGTTGCTTAATTTCCATACATCTGTGAATTTTCCAGTATTCTTTCTGTTACTGATTTCTAATTTCATCCTGTTGTGGTCAGAGAAGATACCTTATATATCTTTTAAATTTGACTGAGACTTGATTTACAGTCTAACATATGGTCTATCCTAAAGAATGTCTTGTGTATATGTGAGAAGAATGTGTAGTTTGTTGTTGGGTAGTATTCTGTATACATCTTTAGATCCAATTGCTTTATTTCTTTTTTTTTTTTTTTTTTTTTTTTTTGAGATGGAGCCTGTCTCCCAGGCTGGACTGTGGTGGCACAATCTCGGCTCACTGCAACCTCCACCTCCCAGGTTCAAGCAATTCTCCTACCTCAGCCTCCCGTACCTGGGATTACAGGCACACACCATGACACCCAGCAATTTTTGTATTTTTAGTAGAGACAGGGTTTTGCCAAGTTGGCCAGGCTGGTCTCAAACTCCTGACATCAGGTGATCCAACTGCCTCGGCCTCCCAAAGTGCTAGGATTACAGGTGTGAGCCACTGCACTCTGCCTTCGTTCTTCAAGTCCCCTGTTTTCCTACCTAATTCCTATCTAGTTGATATACCCATTGTTGACAGTGCAGTATTATCTAACTATTATGGAAGAACTATTTCTGTCTTCAATTCTGTCCACTTTTGCTGCATATGTTTTGACAGTCTGTTACTGTATACAAAAATATGTACACTTGTATTATCTTCTTGCTGTATTTAATCTTTAATTAATATATAATGTCCTTTGTCTCATATAATCTTTATTTAAAATCTATTTTATCTGATAATAACATAGCTGTCCCTGCTGTCTTTTATTTACTATGTCCACAAAATATCTTTTTCCATCCTTTTGCTTCCAATCTATTTGTGTTTTTGGATCTAAAGTCTCACTCTTGTAGACAGTATATATGTTTTTAAATATAATATTATGTTTTGTAAAATCCATTCTGCCAATTTGATTAGAGACTTTAAATCCATTTACATTCAAAGTAATTACTGTGGGCTGGGCACAGTGGCTCATGCCTGTAATCCTAGCACTTTGGGAGGCCAAGGCAGGAGGATTGCTTGAGTCCAGGAGTTCCAGACTAGCCTAGGCAACATGATGAAACCCTGTCTCTACAAAAAATATAAAAATTAGCTGGTGCAGTGGCATGCATCTATAGTCCCAGGTACTTGGCAGGCTGAGATGGGAGGATTGCTAGAGCCCAGGAGGTCGAGGCTGCTGTGAGCTGTGTCACGACGCTGCACTCCAGCCTGGGTGACAGAGCAAGACCCTATCTCCAAAAAAAAAAAAAAAAAAGGAATTATTGATAAGGACAAATTTTCTTCTGCCAACTTGCCATTTATTTTCTGTATGGCATAGCTATTTTGTCCCTTATTTCCTGCATTAATGTTTTCTTGTGTGTTTACTTGATTTTTTTGGTTAATGAAATGTTTTTATTCCCTTCTTATTTCCTTTTGTACAGCCATTTTCTTTGTGGATACCATGAGGATTATGCTTAACATCCTAAACTTATAACACTCTAATGTGAATCTGCATGAGCTTCTCTTTTTGAGTCTCACTTTATCACTCAGGCTAGAGTGCAGTGGCATCATGATCTCAGCTCACTGCAACCTCCGGCCCCCAGGTTCAAGCGATTCTCCTGCCTCAGCCTCCACAGTAGTTGCTATTACAGGCGCGCACCACACGCCCAGCTAATTTTTGTATTTTTAGTAGAAACTGGGTTTCACCATGTTGGTCAGTCTGGTCTCGAACTCCTGGCCTTAGGTGATCCGCCCACCTTGGCCTCCCAAAGTGCAGGGATTACAGGTATAAGCCACTGCGCCCAGCCTGCATGAGCTTAATTTCAAAAGCAGTAAGAAAACTATGCTCTCATAAAACTCTGTCTCTACCCCAGTTCAGTTACTGATGTCACAATGTTACATTTAGGCACTATGTGTCCAAAAACAGACTACCTTTTATTTCTTATTCATGTCTCTTAAATCATGTAGAATACAAAAAGTAGAGTTATAAACCTTTCTTTTTTTTTTTTTTTTTTTGAGACGGAGTCTCGCTCTGTCGCCCAGGCTGGAGTGCAGTGGCGGGATCTCGGCTCACTGCAAGCTCCGCCTCCCGGGTTCACGCCATTCTCCTGCCTCAGCCTCCCAAGTAGCTGGGACTACAGGCGCCCGCCACTACGCCCGGCTAATTTTTTTTTGTATTTTTAGTAGAGACGGGGTTTCACCGTTTTAGCCGGGATGGTCTCGATCTCCTGACCTCGTGATCCGCCCGCCTCGGCCTCCCAAAGTGCTGGGATTACAGGCGTGAGCCACCACGCCCGGCCTAAACCTTTCTAATTGTCCATGAATCTACCTTTAATGGAGATACTTATTTCTTCATACATCATCAAGTTACTGTATAATGTCCTTTCATTTCAACCTGAAGGACTCCCTTTATTACCTCTTGCAAGTCAGGTCTAGCTGTAATAAACTCCCATGGCTTTTGTTTATCTGACAGTTTTGCTAGACATAAAATTTTGGTTGATAGGCCTTTTCTTTCAGTATTGAATCCACTGCTTTCTGGCCTCTAATGTTTCGGATGAGAAATCTTCTAAAATCTTACGAGGATCCTTTGTATGTGACAAGATGTTTCTCTCTTGCTCCTTTTAAGATTCTCTCACTGTCTATGGCTTTCTACAGTTTGATTATAATGTGTCTTTCTTGGCAAGATCTCACTTGAGTTTATCCTACCTGGAGTTCACTGAACTTCTTGGATGTTTATATTCCTATCTTTCATCAAATCTAGGAAGTTTTTAGCCATTATTTCTTCAAATAATCTCTCTGCACCTTTCTCTCTCTCTTCTCCTAAAGTTTCCACAATGCATGTTGGTCTACTTGATGATGTCTGACAGGTCTCTTAGGCTCTGCCCATTTTTTTTTCTTTTTCTTTTTTTTCAGTAGACAGGGTCTTGCTCTGTTGCCCATGCTGGAGTGCAATGGCATGATCATGGCTTACTACAGCCTCAACTTCCTGGGTAGGTAGGACTACAGGCATGTACCACCACACCTGGCTAATTTTTGTTTTTATTTTTTGTAGAGATGAGGTTTTGCCGTGTTGCCCAGGCTGGTCTCAAACTCCTGGCCTCAAGCAACACACCTGCCTCAGCCTCCCAAAGTGTTGGGATTACAGGCGTTAGCCATTGCACCCAGTCTCTTTTTTTTCTTTCTGTTCCTCAGACTTGATAATTTCAATTGCTCTATTTTGAAGTCTGCTGATGCTTTATTTTACCTGCTCAAATATGCTTTTGAATCATTCTAGTAAGGTTTTCACTTCAGTTATTGTACTTTTCAGCTCTGGAATTTTGGGGTTTCTTTTCTTGTTTTCTAGCTTTCCATCGATTATTTCCATTTTGTTCACACTTCGTTTTTTAACTTAATCCACCTTTTCCTTTAGTTCTTTGCACATCGATACTTGCTTTAAGTCTTTGTTTAGCAAATCTACCATCTAGTCTTTCTCAGCAAGTTTCTGGTGACTTACTTTTTCCTGCTTTGAGTAGGCCATATTTTCCTGTTTCTTTGTATGCCTTATGATTTTACTGTTGTTGAAAACTGAATGTTTGAATCTTCTAATGTGGTAACTCTGGAGATCAGATGCTGATTCCCCAGGGCTCATCAGGTTTGGTTTGGTTTTCTTTTTTGCTTTTTTAAAATTGGCATAGGGTGTCTGTAGTAAAGATCAGCACAAGGTATAAACTCAAGGTCTTCTGAGCTATTTTATGAGCCTGTACCATTCCCTGGGCACGCACAGTGACTTCTACATTCCCTCATATATACAGTTACTTTTGAGTAGCCTAGCTCTTGATGATAGGAATGTAAAATGGCACAGCTGCCATGGAAAACAGTAAATGGTTCCCCCCAAAATTAAAGATACAATTATTTGATCCAGTAATGCTACTTTTGTTTATGTACGCAAAAGTACTGAAAAGAATTGAAAGCAAAACAGATATCTGTACATCCATCTTCAGAGCAGCATTATTCACAATAGCCAAAAGGTGGACACAATCTAAATGTCCATCAGCAGATGAGTATATAAATAAAATATGGTATATACAGACAACGGAATATTACTCAGCCTTAAAAAGGAATGAAATTCTGATACCTGCTACAACATGGATGATCCTTAAAAACATTATGTTAAGTGAAATAAGCCAGACACAAAAAGACAAAAATTATTTGATTCTACTTATATGAGGTACTTAGAATCGTCAAATACTTAGATACAGAAAGTAGAATAGTGGTTACCAGGGGCTGGGGGTAGAGAGAAATAGGAAGTTATTGTTTAATAGGTACAGAGTTTCAGTATGGATGAGGAAACAGATCTGGAGATGGATAGTGGTGATGGTTGCACAACATTATGAATGCACCTAATGCCACTGAACTGTACACTTAAAAATGGTTAAGATGGTCAGCTTTATGTAAATTTTACAATATAAATAAAAATCAGCAGCAAGACTAGTATGACTCACTTATAAACAAATGTTTGGGTATAAATACAAAAACAGAGAGAAATATATCTGGAAAAGGATGATCACCAAAGTGTTTGTGGTGGTTATCTCTAAGTGGTCGAACTTCAGGGTGATTTTAACTTTCTACTTTTCTGCATTTTCACATGTGTATAACTACCTTTATAGTCATGAGTGCTCACCCAAGCTGATTATTTTCATTTGAGGAGCAGATGAAATGAATTACCTAAATTCTTTCCAATTATTGCCTATAATGAGTGTTCAAAATGTGTTACATTTGACTGAAAACTAAAAATGTGGACTACCATAAATCTTCCATGAGAAGCTAGAACTCCCTATAGTTATATTTTGCTTTAAGTTGCTATTATTTTTCTTTAACTTGTTATTTAAGTATAACATATATACAGAAAAGTAAACATAACTGTACAGCTATATACATTTTCACAAATTAAACACACTCATGTAACCAGGACCTAGATTAAGAAACAGAATATTACGAACATGCCACAAGGCCCCCTTACGTTACCTTTAATCCACCATTCCCCCCGAGTAAGTATAGCCAATAGCTTGACTTCTGAGAACATAAATTCATTTTGCAGTTGCTCATTTTTACCCTAGTATTTCTTTTTAGATCCATTCACCTTGACTGCTAGCATAAAACCAAATGAAAGATCCTGATAGTGTTTCTGTGATAAATCCTCACATGCTTTCTTTCACAAGTAACATTTAAAGCAATCACATTACTTCATAGTCACACTTTATCAAAGTGCCCCATCCCCTTTTTTGGTATCACCATCAAGTAGTGAAGTCTCTACTGCATGCCAGGTACTGTCCTAAACACTTTATACATATTCACAGACTTAACTGTCACAACAATTCTATGAGATTCAAAGAAGTTTACTAAGGACAGGTGATATCAGAGTTTAAACCTGGTAATGTTAAGACTCCAAAATCCATGATCTTTTTCCTATATCATGTTAGAGTAAATTAATAAATTACTATTAATGACAAATAACAGGAAACCTACATGAAAGATATTGGGCTTGAAGATCATCATTTAAAAGGAAAAATGAGCTATGGATGTGAGAAGAATTATAGTAAGCATAGCACAAAAAAGGAATATGCAAGGCTGTGAGACACTAATGAAACTTATGAAGTTTCTAACATTTATTTTTGACACTGATCAATTATTATCATTGTCATACATTTTACCTCTACATGTTACAAGCCCCACAATACATTATTATTTTTACTTTTAAGAGTCAGTAAGTTAAAAACATTCTTAAGAGGAAAAAATAATTTATATTTACTTACATATTTACCATTTCCAGCATGCTTTATTCCTTCATATAAATCCAAGTTTCTATCTGGTATGATTTTTCTTCAGCCTACAACTTCTTTTAACATTTATTGTATTGGCAACAAATTCTTTCTGGCTTTTGTTTGAAAATATCTTTATTTCACCTTCACCTATGAATGTTATTTTCATTGGACTTAAGTCTAGGATAACATAGGGTTGTTTTGTGGGGTTTTTCTCACCATATGAAAGATATTCTAGTTTGCATCGTTTCTAATAAGAATTTTAAAATCATTCTTATCACTGTTTATTGGACCTAAATTTGTCTTTTTGGGGGGTTATCTTTTCGGTTTTCAGTAATCTTTTTGGTTTTCAGTAATTTGATTATGCTTTGCCTTTGTATGGTTTTGTGTTTATTCAATTTGGAGATGAGTTCCTTGGATCTGCAAGCTTAATAGTTTTCATCATGTTTGAAAAACATTCAGCTACAATTTCATATGATCCTTCCTGACCCCTCTTCTCCTGAGACTCAAATTATACACATTAGCTCACTTGATACTAGAAGCTCTGTGTTGTTGTTTTTTTCTTTTTTCTGTCTGTACTACAGTTTGGATAATTTGTATTACAGGTTGAATATCTCTTATCCAACATGCTTGGGACCAAATGTCTTTCAGGCTTTAGATTTTGGAATGTTTGCATCATACCATGCATCATACCAGTTGTGTATCCCTAATCAGAAAATCCGAAATCCAAAATCTGAAATATTTGGGTTGCTGACAGGATACTCAAAGGAAATGTTCATTTGAACATTTTGGATTTTGTATATCTTCAATTTCACTGATCTTGTTTTCTGTAGTGTCTAATTTGCTGTTAAACCCATTCAGTGATTCTTCATTTAATTTCACTTCATTTCAGATCTTTCAACTCTAGAAATTCCATTTTGTTGTTTTCTGTATTTTGTATTTATCTCCTCATTATGTTTAAGTTATCCTTTAATCTCAACATATTTATAATAGCTGCTTAAAAATCCTTGACTGCAAATTCAATCATCTTTTTTTGTGGGGGTTTTGGGTGTTTTTTTTTTTTAAATCTATTTCTATTACCTGGCTTTTCTCCTGTTTTGGGGTCACATTTTCCTGCTTCTTCATAATAGTATCTTATTGGATGCTGGCCACTGTATATGTTTCATTGTTGGGTGCCTGCATTTTGTAGTCTTCCCTTAAACAGTGTTAATCTTTACTTTGGCAGGCAGTCAAATTACCTGCAAATCAGCCGTGAAGTCTTTTAAGTCTTGTTGGTTGGTTGGTATGGGCTTGTGGTAGCCTTTTTTCTAGGACTACCTACCTGATCCTTATTATTAAGGTGTGACTCTTCTGAGGTCTCTATTGAACATCCCAGAGGTTCAACAAAGTCTCTTTTCTGTGTCTGATCAGAGCTCAACCACTTCTCAATCCTTTATTAGCTCTAAGAATTATTCAGCTTACAGCTTCCTGGTAGTTGTTCTGTTCCTAGTAATTGTTCTTTGCCCAGTCTCTTGAAATTTCACTCTAAGCATGCACAGCTTAGTATTCAGCCAAAGACTCCAATGGATCCTATGGAGACATTTGAAGTTCTTTCTCTGAGTATTTCCATTCTCTCTGATACTCGGCCCCACAAATTCCAGCCACTCCCTGAACCCTTATCTCTATTCTCAACCCAGTGAAACCACTATGCTCTGCTTGGAATGTCCTTCCATGGGCTATAATCCAGAAAGTATCTCCAAGCAGAATGACAGGGTCATATTAAGACTCTCTGTCTTTGTTTCTATTCTCTCAGTGATCACAACCCTGTACTGCCAGCTGCCCAATGTTTGAAAACAGCTGTTTCACAGATTTTTGTCCAGTTTTTTTCTCTCTTGCTTTGTCCAAATTTTTATTTACGATGAGAATGCAAGTTGAAAAGCAATTACTCCTTCATGGCTGGGAGTGGAATTTCCCTCTCCAATTCTTTTTAAAGAAAGTGATACTGGGATACCTTTATGATATTAACTCTTCTCCAATCATGAAAGTGTTAAAAACCTTAAAAGTTTTAAATATTACCATCCCTTTGCAAATCATCTTAAATGGTACTAAACAAAAAAAATCAACTTTATTTATAAACATACTGTCCTCAATTTACAGTCATGCTAAGATAGAGCAGTGACAATGAAATTGTATTTCTTACTTATGTATAATTTATTTAATTTGAATTCCATAAAAGGCATTTCTTTATAAGTAGCAAGAGGTTTCTTTTGCTCTTCCAAAATATAAAGTTTCTTCTAACTCATTATCTTTTTTTAATACTGATTACAGAATTAAAAAGCAAAATCAGTCAGACAGCTATAAATAACTGATATAGGAATAAACTATGTCTTATGATATATAAATGCAGTTTATTTTTATGAACTGAAGCAAAATATACCAAGAGGGTGAAAAATAGAAGACATAAAATGATAACTTACCCCTTATTTGCCTGTCAACAACTCTCATTTCCTTTCTTATCTTCAATGACCACTCATTGACCTGGGAAAATTTTTAGAAAAGGAATGAGGAGAAAAGCCGAAACTCCTAACTCAATCTAATTTAAGAATTTTGTATTAACTCCACATTTATTACAGACACAAAATTTAAAAAGCCATTTTCAAAGACAGAGCTTTAGGGTCAAATTTTACTTTTTTTTAATTTCACCTCTTTTTATTCACAGTGCACAGGAGTTTTAAGTTATTCAAAGATTCGTAGCCGAGGGCAGGCTGTAAGCAGCACTTTATATAAAACCTCGGAAAGAGTACGGTACTGTCTAGGTACACAAAGATTTGAAGAGGTCCAAGTGCACAGTTAGCTTTAAGAGCATCAGAAAATTTTCATCTTTCACAGGTAGTCATTTCAAAAACTACTCTGTCTGTGTCATGAGAACTCATCTTTCCCTTTTTCCCTTTAAAAATAATGCTTTTCCATTTTACAAAAGAAAAACATTCCCCTAACCTATGTCTCTTATTACCATGGTAGTTTCCTGACAGGCAAAAATTTCTGAAGCACTAAACATAGGGTGGACTGGAAATGCTGGTGGAGGTGTTGAGAAAGTAGTAAATTACTCTAATGATTACCAAATTATTATGCAAGTGAACTGTTTTCCAATTCTTCACGTTTCAAAAACACTGAAGGAAAACCTGAGTTATGAGTCAATTAATCATTAAAAGTCAATTTTATGCTAAATTACTATGTGCTTTTTAGTACATGACTCAGAAGCTCAAAAAACTGAGTGACACTGCTATAACTAAACTCCTTCCATTACCATTTTATTACATCAACAAGGTTTCTCAGCACTTGAGTCTGATAAATCATAAAACAGAACAGAATTTATGCTGAACCCTTGTAGCATTCATTCATGTAGCAGTCATCCATGGACATACAGACTAAATGGCATTTTTTAAAAGTCCATACCATTAGAAGATGAATTTCCAATAAATTTCATTTTTAATGTTTAATATTGAACAAAATCTGTAAAATATTTATTATGCAACAACAATTGTAATAATTTGTGAAAGTTGTCAGAATCAAAATGAAGTCACTAGTGTATTAAAAAATCTGACATATAGAGCTGGAAAGGCTAAGAGGGTTCTCACACTTGTATACCTAAACAAAACCTATCACAAAAGATTCTGCAAAAACCACAGCCTTGCTTGCTCAAAGGCACTGCAATCTTACACAAAAAATACTTCCACAAGGACATCTGCCCAGCAACTGCCTGTCCAAACTTGGACTGGCATCACTCTTGTTATTGACCTCTGTAGCCTATCATAATCATTTTAAAACAATTACATAATCCTCCTTTTCCCTTTAAAAATCTGTCTTCCTTTACGTCCTTGAATATATACATAGTTTACCACGGCAAGTACATTCCCACTGCAATGCTGTTGCCAAATAACCATCATTTTCTTCTAGGGAACCTCTCTCTGTTTTTTATTTAGGTTGACCAACTCCACTCAGAAAAAATACTTATGCACTTAAAACTGTGTGGTCATACAAGTTTTAAAAATCTAATCAGGTTTATGTACTTTTTTTGGAAGTGAAATTTATATAATTAACCATTTTAAAGTATACAATTCACTGGCATTTAGTGCATTTACAATGTCATACAACCACCACCTCCCTATACCCTTTAAATAATCTCTTCCTATCTCCCCCTCCCCAGTTCCCTGGCAACCACTAATTTGCTTCCTGTCTCTATGGGATTGCTTATTCTGAATATGAAAGGAATCACACAATGTGTTAACTTTTCGTTTCTGGTTTATTTAACATGATGTTTTCAAGGTGCCTCCATGTTGTAGCCTGTATCAGTACTTCAGTCCTTTTTATGGCTGGAAATTATTCTTTTATATGTGTATAACACAACTCGTTTATCCATTCAACTGTTAATGGAAATCTGGGTTGTTTACACCTTTTGGTTACCATTTCTACCACATCTCACCAATACCTGTTATTTTCTAATTTTTTTATGATAGCTGTCTGCTGAGTGTGAAGTGGTATCTCACTGTTTTGATTTACATTTTCTTTTTTTTTTTTTTTTAGTACTTATTGATCATTCTTGGGTGTTTCTCAAAGAGGGGGATGTGGCAGGGTCATAGGATAATAGTGGAGAGAAGGTCAGCAGATAAACACGTGAACAAAGGTCTCTGGTTTTCCTAGGCAGAGGTCCCTGAGGCCTTCCGCAGTGTTTGTGTCCCTGGGTACTTGAGATTAGGGAGTGGTGATGACTCTTAACGAGCATGCTGCCTTCAAGCATCTGTTTAACAAAGCACATCTTGCACCACCCTTAATCCATTTAACCCTGAGTTGACACAGCACATGTTTCAGAGAGCACCGGGTTTGGGGTAAGGTTATAGATTAACAGCATCCCAAGGCAGAAGAATTTTTCTTAGTACAGAACAAAATGGAGTCTCCTATGTCTACTTCTTTCTACACAGACACAGTAACATCTGATCTCTCTTTTCCCCACATTTGCCCCTTTTCTTTTTGACAAAACTGCCATCGTCATCATGGCCCGTTCTTGATGGTTGCTGTCTCTTCGGAGCTGTTGGGTACACTTCCCAGACGGGGCGACCGGGCAGAGGCGCTCCTCACTTCCCAGACGGGGCAGCCGGGCAGAGACGCTCACTTCCTAGACGGGGCGGCCGGGCAGAGGCGCTCCTCACCTCCCAGACGAAGGGCGGCCGGGCAGAGGCGCTCCTCACCTCCCGGACGAAGGGCGGCCGGGCAGAGGCGCTCCTCACCTCCCGGACGAAGGGCGGCCGGGCAGAGGCGCTCCTCACCTCCCGGACGAAGGGCGGCCGGGCAGAGGCGCTCCTCACCTCCCGGACGAAGGGCGGCCGGGCAGAGGCGCTCCTCACCTCCCGGACGAAGGGCGGCCGGGCAGAGGCGCTCCTCACCTCCCGGACGAAGGGCGGCCGGGCAGAGGCGCTCCTCACCTCCCGGACGAAGGGCGGCCGGGCAGAGGCGCTCCTCACCTCCCGGACGAAGGGCGGCCGGGCAGAGGCGCTCCTCACCTCCCGGACGAAGGGCGGCCGGGCAGAGGCGCTCCTCACCTCCCGGACGGGGTGGCCGGGCAGAGGCGCTCCCCACTTCCCAGACGGGGTGGCCGGGCAGAGGCGCTCCTCACTCCCCACTTCCTGGACGGGGCGGCCGGGCAGAGGCGCTCCTCACATCCCAGATGGGGCGACTGCCGGGCAGAGGCGCTCCTCACTTCCCAGACGGGGCGACTGCCGGGCAGAGGCGCTCCTCACTTCCCAGACGGGGCGACTGCCGGGCAGAGGCGCTCCTCACTTCTCAGATGGGGTGGCCGGGCAGAGGCGCTCCTCAGTTCCCAGACGGGGTGGCCGGGCAGAGG
This sequence comes from Homo sapiens, assembly GCF_000001405.40. Taxonomy (NCBI): domain Eukaryota; kingdom Metazoa; phylum Chordata; class Mammalia; order Primates; family Hominidae; genus Homo; species Homo sapiens. The sequence goes on from NC_000002.12 coordinate 86,545,674, forward strand.
CACTCCTCAGTTCCCAGATAGGGCGGCCAGGCAGAGGTGCTCCTCACATCCCAGATGGGGCGGCTGGGCAGAGGCGCTCCTCACTTCTCAGACGATGGGTGGCCGGGCAGAGGCGCTCCTCACCTCCCAGATGGGGTGGCCAGGCAGAGGCGCTCCTCACTTCCCAGACAGGGCGGCAGGGCAGAGGCGCTCCTCACTTCCCAGACAGGGCGGCCGGGCAGAGCGGCTCCTCACATCCCAGAGGATGGGCGGCCAGGCAGAGACACTCCTCACTTCCTAGACGGGGTGGTGGCTGGGCAGAGGCTGTAATCTTAGTACTTTGGGAGGCCAAGGCAGGCGGCTGGGAGGTGGAGGTTGTAGCGAGCTGAGATCACGCCACTGCACTCCAGCCTGGGCAACGTTGAGCATTGAGTGAGCGAGACTCCGTCTGCAATCCCAGCACCTCGGGAGGCCGAGGCAGGCAGATCACTCGAGGTCAGGAGCTGGAGACCAGCCCGGTCAACACAGTGAAACCCCGTCGTCTCCACCAGAAATACAAAAACCAGTCAGGTGTGGCGGTGCGTGCCTGCAATCCTAGGCACTCGGCAGGCCGGAGGCAGGAGAATCATGGGAGCCCAAGGCAGGGAGGTTGCAGCGAGCTGAGATCACGGCAGTACAGTCCAGCCTCGGCAACAGAGGGAGACCCGAAGGGAGGGGAAGGGGGGGAGGGGGAGGGGGAGTAGGAGAGCTTGATTTACATTTTCTTAATGCCCAGTGAAGTTGGACTTTTTTTTTTTTTTTTGAGACGGACTTTCGCTCTTGTTGGCCAGGCTGGAGTACAGTGGCGCAATCTCAGCTCACTGCAACCTCCACCTCCAGCGTTTAAGTGATTCTCCTGCCTCAGCCTCCCAAGTAGCTGGGATTACAGGCGCTCACCACCACACCTGGCTAATTTTTGCATTTTCAGTAGAGACGGGATTTCACCACGTTGGCCAGGCTTGTCTACACCTCCTGACCTCAGGTAATCCACCTGCCTCAGCCTCCCAAAGTGCTGGGATTAAAGGTGTGAGCCACTGCACCCAGCCGAAGTTGGACATCTTTTCATGTGCTTGTTGGTCATTTGTATATCTCCTCTGGAGAATTGTTTATTCATATCTTCTGCCCATTTTTTAATTGAGTTGTCTGTTTGTTGGGTTGTATGAGTTCTTTTTACCTTCTGATAGTAGTAGACCCTTTACTGATATGGGATTTGCAAATATTTTCTCCCATTCAAGAAAGTCTTCTTTCTCAATAATGTCCTTTGAAACACAAGTTTTTAATTTTGAAAAAGTCCAGTTTATCTAAAGAATGTGTTTTCTGAACTTCTTCTTAAAGTCTCAGCTTAAATGTTACTTCAGGGAGACATTCCCTGACTCACAGAATAGGTTCAACCCTCCAGGCAGTACAACTGCACAGAACCCTATACCCCCACCTCTTTTGGAGAGCTCATTATACTTATGATTACTTACAAATATAGACTATAAGCTCCAGAAAGTCAAAGACCTTCTCTTATTCACCAAGCCCTTGCATAATGCCTGGCACAAAGGATAATAAATATCTGTTGAATTTGATTGCACGGAATACAAGATGTGATGGGACAAAAAATTTCAGCCATAAATAACACTTATGTAACAATCTTCAGAAACTTTCTATGTATGTTTTTAAATGTCAAAGAGTAAAAGTTTCATAAAATCTGTCAAAAAGAGAAATTCCTTCTAAACTTGTAAAATCAAAAGGGGCTTTGCAAAAAAGAAAAACTTACCTAAGAGAAATCTGAAGAACCAAAAGTATCCAGTCATGTCTCCGACCAGTGCTTCTCAACCTGAACTACACAAAAGTCAACTGGGAAACTTTAAAAATACTAATTTAACTGGGCCAGAGGTAGAGCCCAAATGACAGGTAGCATTTAAAATCTCTTCAGGTGACTATAATGTTATGTTAGAGTTAAGAAACACAGTCTAAGACAAAGAGCTCAAGAAAATGTATCAAGCAAGTCTCATAACTGTAAAGACTACTACAATAAAAGGAAATTTAAAACAGATGTAAAGAAAATTTGACAAATATTTATTTAGTGCCAATAGGATTTCAGTAGTAAATGAGGCCCTTATAATTAAGTAAAACAGAACATAACGTGTACAGAATAAAAAATCAACTAGTAAATTAGACAATATATTTGAAAACCACAAGGAACCTATAGAAAGAGTTTCACACTACCAAAATATTATCCTTTATTCAAATTCATTCACAGAGGTCTATTATATGCGAAACTAGGCAAAGGAAACTAACACCATTAAGAGGTTATTTTCCATGAACAATGCTGAGAGACAGCTTAAGACAAATAGAAAACAAAATGATTGAATTCCTGTTCCATCCTTCACTGAAATTCATTCTAGGTGGACTGAAGACATATGGAATGCAAAACTGTGGTGTTTTAAGAAGACAGTATAGGAGAATACATTTATGATTTCAGGTTAGAGGAGGAGTTCTCTTTTTTTTTTTTTTTTTTTTTAGTATTTATTGATCATTCTTGGGTGTTTCTCAAAGAGGGGGATGTGGCAGGGTCATAGGATAATAGTGGAGAGAAGGTCAGCAGATAAACACGTGAACAAAGGTCTCTGGTTTTCCTAGGCAGAGGTTCCTGCGGCCTTCCGCAGTATTTGTGTCCCTGGGTACGTGAGATTAGGGAGTGGAGATGACTCTTAATGAGCATGCTGCCTTCAAGCATCTGTTTAACAAAGCACATCTTGCACCACCCTTAATCCATTTAACCCTGAGTTGACACAGCACATGTTTCAGAGAGCACGGGGTTGGGGGTAAGGTTATAGATTAACAGCATCCCAAGGCAGAAGAATTTTTCTTAGTACAGAACAAAATGGTGTCTCCTATGTCTCCTTCTTTCTACACAGACACAGTAACCATCTGATCTGTCTTTCTTTTCCCCACATTTCCCCCTTTTCTTTTCAACAAAACCGCCATCGTCATCATGGCCTGTTCTCGATGGTCACTGTCTCTTCGGAGCTATTGGGTACACTTCCCAGATGGGGTGGCCGGGCAGAGGCACTCCTCACTTCCCAGACGGGGCAGCCGGGCAGAGGTGCTCCTCACCTCCCAGACGGGGCGGCCGGGCAGAGGCGCACCTCACTTCCCAGATGGGGTGGTGGCCGGGCAGAGGCGCTCCTCACATCCCAGACGATGGGCAGCCGGGCAGAGGTGCTCCCCACCTCCCAGATGATGGGCCGGGCAGAGGTGCTCCCCACCTCCCAGATGATGGGCAGCTGGGCAGAGGCGCTCCTAGCCTCCCAGATGGGGCGGCCAGGCAGAGGCGCTCCCCACCTCCCAGATGAAGGGCAGCCGGGCAGAGGCGCCCCCCACTTCCCAGACGGGGTGGCGGCCGGGCAGAGACGCCCCTCACCTCCCAGACGGGGCGGCCGGGAAGAGGCGCCCCTCACGTCCCAGACGGGGCGGCCGGGCAGAGGCGCCCACTTCCCAGACTGGGCAGCCGGGCAGAGGCGCTCCTCGCCTCCCAGACAGGGCGGCCGGGCAGAGGCGCTCCTCGCCTCCCAGACGGGGCGGCAGGGCAGAGGCGCTCCTCGCCTCCCAGACGGGGCGGCCGGGCAGAGGCATTTCTCACTTCCCAGATGATGGGCGGCCGGGCAGAGACGCTCCTCACTTCCCAGATGGGGTGGCGGCTGGGCAGAGGCACTCCTCCCTTCCCAGACGGGGCGGCCGGGCAGAGGCGCTCCTCAGTTCCCAGATGGGGTGGCCGGGCAGAGGCGCTCCTCACTTCCCAGACGGGGCGGCCGGGCAGAGGCGCTCCTCACTTCCCAGACAGGGCGGCCAGGCAGAGGCGCTCCTCACTTCCCAGATGGGGTTGCAGTCAGGCAGAGACGCCCCTCCCCTCCCAGAAGGGTCGGCCGGGAAGAGGCACTCCTCACCTCCCAGACGGGGCGGCCGGGCAGAGGCGCCCCTCACTTCCCAGATGGGGTGGCGGCCGGGCAGAGACGCCCCTCACCTCCCAGATGGGGCGGCCGGGCAGAGGCACCCACTTCGCAGACGGGGCGGCCAGGCAGAGGCGCTCCTCGCCTCCCAGACGGGGCGGCCGGGCAGAGGTGCTCCTCGCCTCCCAGGCGGGGTGGCCGGGAAGAGGCGCTCCTCGCCTCCCAGATGGGGCAGCCGGGCAGAGGCGCTCCTCGCCTCCCAGACGGGGCGGCCGGGCAGAGGCGCTTCTCACTTCCCAGACAATGGGCGGCTGGGCTGATACGCTCCTCACTTCCCAGACGGGGTGGCGGCCGGGCAGAGGCTGTAATCTTAGCACTTTGGGAGGCCAAGGCAGGTGGCTGGAAGGTGGAGGTTGCAGCGAGCTGAGATCACGCCACTGCACTCCAGCCTGGGCAACATTGAGCATTGAGTGAGTGAGACTCCGTCTGCAATCCCAGCACCCCGGGAGGCCACGACGGGCAGACCACTTGAGGTCAGGAGCCGGAGACCAGCCAGGTCAACAGGGCAAAACCCCGTCTCCTCCAAAAATGCAAAAACCAGTCAGGCGTGGCGGCGCACGCCCGCAATCCCAGGCACTTGGCAGGCCGAGGTAGGAGAACCACGGGAGCCCGGGGCAGGGAGGCTGCAGCGAGCCGAGACCACGGCAGTACAGTCCAGCCTCGGCAACAGAGGGAGACGGAGACGGAGAGGAGAGGGAGAGAGGGAGAGAGGGGGAGAGGGAGAAAGGGAGAGGGAGAAAGGGAGAGGGAGAAAGGGAGAGGGAGAGAGAGAGGGGAGTTCTTAAACAAGACACAAAGGCAATAACCACTAAAAGGAAAAGGCTTCTTATATTTATCTATATTGAAATTAAGAATTTTTATTCATCATGACTCCATTAAGAAAGTAAAATGTTACAAACTGGGAGATATATTCGTAATCATATAAATGGTAATAAATAAAAGGCATTTACTTATTTTTTAAGAATGGAATTCTCAATATTGTACAGTCAGCCCACTATATCCATGGGTTCTACATGTGTGGATTCAACCAACTACAGCTCAAAAATATTTAAAAAAACAAATGGTTGGCTGCATCTGTATGGAACATGTAGACTTTTCCCATCATTATTCCCTAAATACAGTGTAACAACTATTTACAGAGCATTTACATTGCATTAGGTATTATAAGTAATCTAGAGATTAAAGTACACAGGAGGATGTACATACGTTATATGCAATTACCTTTTTCTTTTTAAATCAAGTACTTCAGCATCCATGGATTTTGGTATGGGCGGAGGGACCCTGGAACCAATCCTCCTCAGATACCGAGAAATGACTACATATGAAAATCTGCAGGATAATTTAAGTTTCTGAATGATATTGTCTTCTTCCAAAGAGGAATTACATTTGCTTCTGGCAAACATATAGCTTAAGTGTCCTGGCAATTGGTTCTTAACTAATCTTAATTAATCCTATCAGGGGATAGAGATTATTTGAAACTGGTCTTCAGTCTTTGTGAAAGCCAGTCTACTTCCAGGTCACTATTATTGCTAAGGGGTATTCTTTCAGAGTCCCAACCACAAGCCCTGAATATCTGCTTATGAACTCCAATTTTTTTTTTTTTTTTGAGATGGAGTCTCTCTCTGTCACCCATCTCGGCTCACTGCAACCTCTGCCTCCCAGGTTCAAGCAATTCTCCTGCCTCAGCCTCCCAAGTAGCTGGGACTATAGATGCCTGCCACCACGCCCAGCTACTTTTTGTATTCTTAGTAGGCACGGGGTTTCACCATGTTGGCCAGGCTGGTCTCAAACAACTGACCTCAGGGGATCTGCCCACCTCGGCCTCCCAAAGTGCTGGGATTACAGGTGTGAGCCACCATGCCCGGCCATGAACTCCAATTTTTATACTCCCCAACCACAGGGTTTGTCAAAAACTCTACTCAAATTCTATTTGTCACCCACTGCATTAGGAATTAGAGGATCTCTTTAGGGGGAAGGTAGTCCCAAATGATTGGGTTCATGTAACTGAGCTTCCCTCTTTGCTGAGATCTTGATTTTGCAATTTCTCACTGCCCTGGTAGCTTTCAGTGATTTCAAATAGTTACACTTTTTGTTTAGCTCTTTTAGTTATTTTTGGCAAAGGGTTGGTTCAAAGCAACTTAGTCTATAAACACCTTCATGATTTTTTAAAGAACATGTTTCCCAGTTCTGTTCCATAAAAAGGCTTAGAAGCAGGGATACTCGAATAGCAAGAAGCATCAGGCTCACTCAAATTTTGGTATCTAAATAGCATTCCCGCTAAAAGAAACCACTGCATCTTGGAGAAATGGCCGATTTCAGGTCTCAGGCTAGGAATTCACAAATCATACCAGGATATATGCTAGAAAACAAGGAAGTATTCAAAGATTAGTAAAGTTATGCTAAAAGCAGATAGGAACTGGCTTGAAATAGCTCCCACTGACCAAATGTATAAGTTTTTCAGTATCAAACAGAATAATGGTTAGAACTATAACACACTAAATATATAAAAATCCATGAGTCCAAAACGGTGCTTCTGAGAGGAACGGGTGGAGAGAGAATGCAGTTGATACCACCGGATATTATTATACCAATTCTTTATTCTAAATATTAGCAATTAAATAAAGAGCATTAAGCACTTATCCTGCATTTTCAATAGAAACTCTATGTCAAGGTAACCAAATAGCCCCAGCTAATAAGGGACAGATCTTTATAGAACACTGCCAGCTAAAAATGAAAAAGAAATCAGAGAATTAGAAAAATCACCACTCTAAAAACCCTTATAGAATAGCTGATTCAGGAAAGGGACACCTATAAATGTTAATGTGTCTAAGTGAAGGATTACTGAAGAGCTGGACATTCACATGGTGCTAAAATATCACCCCTCAGGTTAGTTACTAGCATAAAAAGGAAAACATAATGTAAAGATCTGGTGTGTCACTACCTCAACCAGGTGGCCAAAGTTATTAGCATCATTAATTACAAGACAGACATTATATGCCTCCTGATGTGATACACTATGAATCACACAGGTTACCTGTGAGGCATTCTTGCTAAAATTGTTTAACCTGGATCTTATCAAACTTAGATCCAACTTCCATTTCATAGAAAACACAGGGGGTAGAGAAAAAAGCTAACCACAAAAGGAACAAGATCATGTCCTTTGTAGGGACATGGAAGGAGCTAGAAGCCATTATCCTCAGCAAACTAATGCAGGATCAGAAAACCAAACACTGCATGTTCTCGCTTATAAGTGGGAGTTGAATGATGAGAACACATGGGCACATGGAGGGCAACAACACACACTGGAGCCTGTCAGCCGGGGGTGGAGATCGGGTGGGGGCAGCTTGATGGGGGATGGTGGGGGAGGAACAGCATCAGGAAGAACAGCTAATGGATACTGGGCTTAATACCTAGGTGATGGGATGATGTGCGCGGCAAACCACCATGGCACATGTTTACCTATGTAACAAACCGGCACATCCTGCACATACACCCTTGAACTTAAAAGTTGGAGGAAAAAAAAAAAAAGCGATAACCACAAGACATAGACAAAACCATAACAAGGAACATTCTACAAAACAAATGCTCTATTTTACAAACGAGTCTTTATTCTTACAATGCTATAAGTAGAAAGCAGGGGATATTTATTTATTTATTTATTGAGATGGAGTCTTGCTCTGTCGCCAGCCTGGAGTGCAGTGGCACAATCTAGGCTCACTGCAACCTCCGACTCCCTGGTTAAAGCAATTCTCCTGCCTCAGCCTCCCGAGTAGCTGGGATTATAGGTGCACGCCACCACGCCCAGCTAATTTTTGTATTTTTAGTAGAGATGGGGTTTCGCCATGTTGGCCAGGATGATCTCAATCTCCCGACCTCATGTTCCACCCGCCTCGGCCTCCCAAAGTGCTGGAATTATAGGCGTGAGCCACCGCGCCCGACCCCAAACAGATTTTTAAATAAAATCAAGTAACAGCCAAACACAAACCTCGCTGAATCCTAAGTTTTAAAAAGTTATAAAAGACATACTGGGAACACCTGGGAAAATTTAAATATGGACTAGATATTCAATGATATGAAGGTATTTTTGTTATACAGAATTTCCATATATTCCAGAGATGCAATATGAAATGTTGCAAAATGTGTTATATTTATAATCTATTTCAAACTGACCGAGCTGAAAAATATATATCAAATAATAGCAAAGTGCTATCAACATTTGATTATACAGGTTTTCACTGTACGATCTGCTGTGGTATGAATGTTGGTGCATGTCCCCAAATTCGTATGTTGAAATCCTAATCCTCAAAGTGACAGTATCAGGAGGCGGTGCCTTTTGAGAGGTTATTAGGTCCCTTAGGAATGGAATTAATGCCCTTATAAAATAGGCCCAAGGTAGCTCTTTTGCCCCTTCAACCATGTGAGGACAGCAAGAAGGCACCATCTATGAACCAAAAAGCAGTGCCCTCACCAGACACTGTACCTGTCAGCGCCTTAATCACCGACTTCCTGGTCTCCATAACTGTAGAAAATAAATTTCTATTGTTTATAAATTACTCAGCTGGTAGTATTTTGTGATAGCAACTCAAATGTACTAACCACTGCTATTACTTCTACTTTTCTAAAAATTTAAAAATTTTCATAATAAAACTTTAAAATAAAGTAGTTGGCATTTCATAGGTGTTCTATTTCAAGAAGAAATTAAACTTGACAAAGTCTTTATGATAATATACACAATAATGAAATGACAAGTCACATAACTGGAGAAGATAAAGATGTTCAATCTCACTGATAATCAGGAAAAAGCCTGATATTCATTTCATTCCTCTAAGACTGGCAAAAGTCAAAAATTCAGTTAATAACAAGTGCTAGAGAAGAATATAAAGACAAGCAACTTTCATATATTGCTGATGAATGTACAAATCAGTTCAATCCCTTTAGAAACCAATTTGGCAGTATTTTTGTACAAAGAAGTCATATCCTAAGATCCAAAAATTTCCCTTGTACATAGCCTAAAGAAACTCTCTCACAAATACACAAGCATACAGGTATTAGAATGTTCATTGGATTGTTGTATTACACAAGGAAACAATCTAGAAGTCCATCAATAGAATAAATGTGTGTGCGCGCGTGTGTGTGTGTGTGTGTGTGTGTGTGTGTAGATTTTTTTTTTTTTTTTGAGATGGAGTCCCGCTCTGTCGCCCAGGCTAGAGTGCAGTGGGTGATCTCGGCTCACTGCGACCTCTGCCTCCTGTGTTCAAGCAATTCTCCTGCCTCAGCCTCCGGAGTAGCTGGGATTACAGGTGCCTGCCACCACAACCAGCTAATTTTTGTATTTTTTAGTAGAGACGGGGTTTCACTATGTTGGCCAGGCTGGTCTTGAACTCCTGACCTCAAGTGATCTGCTCGCCCCAGCCTCCCAAAGTGCTGGGATTACAGGCATGAGCCACCGCTCCCGGCCTTAGAACTAATATGTTGTCATAGATTTATACAATCAAACTCCATGAAGTTAAAATACATGAAATACATCTACATATATTGGTATGAATAAACTTCATTTTCAAAATATACAAACAATACTGAGCAGAAAGAAATCATACCAAATTTATGACAGTGACTGTCACTCTGTGTGCTGACGTAAGAAAATGCAATAAAGAGAGTAAGCATGTATATAAGTGTATTGTTTCCTGAGGCTGCCATAACAAAGTACTTAAAACATAAATGAGAATCAACTGAACCCAGGAGGTGGAGACTGCAGTGAGCCGAGATCGCACCACTGCACTCCAGCCTGGCGACAGAGCAAGACTCCATCTCAAAAAAAAAAATAAATAAATAAATAATAAATGTGCTGTTTCACAGTTCTAAAGCCAGAAATCTGAGTATCACTAAGCCAAAATCAAGGTAGCAGGAAGGCCATGCTTCCTCCAGTGGATCTAGGGAAGAATCCATTTCTTGCCTTCCAACTTTTAATGGCTACCAGCATTCCTTAGTTTGCAGTCTCACCATCCAATCTTCAAGGCCAGCATCTTCAGTGCTGTCTCTGCTCCATCCTCACATTGCCTTCTCTTCTTCTGTGTATGTCAAATCTCCCTCTAAATCCCTCTTATAAGGATACAGGTGATTGCATTTAGGAGCCACCTGAATAACTCCCCATCTCAAGAACCTTAATTTATTCATACCTGCAAGGACTCTTTTTCCAAATAAGGAACATAAATAGGTTCCAGGGATTAGGACCTGATCTCTTTGGGGGTGGGGAGCTTTTTCAGCCTACCACAATGGATATGTTATCCTCTGTTTTTTAACTTAAAATATTAAAGATTTTTTTACATATTTAAGAGCGAAATTAAAGGACTGGAAAAATATAACAAGCAAATCCTTAAAATACAGAAATACATAAAATCAATTTAAAGTAGGAAAATAACTACTGACTCCAGAAAACATTTTTAAGATAATTCCAGACTAGATAATACATTTTAATGGTACAAATTCAACAGCTATAGAAAGGCAAATAGTGAAAAGTTTCCCTCCCATTTTTGACCCTCAGCTACGTAGCTCCTCTCCTGGAGGCAATCTAGGATTTTGCATATCTTTCAAGACAATCTAAAATATACATAAAACTAGAAATCAGCCAAAAGCAACAAATACAAGTGACCTTAGATCAAAATCTGCCTATTCCTGTCACTGTCAGCTGAGTATATATCAGCTCAATCATGCTAGATTTCAAATGTCCAGGTGTTTTCTCTCACCATTGTAGGAGATCGGTCAGGGTGGTGGGAAAAATTGTAAAAAGATGCAAAGCTTCATGGAAGGTCGGGAGGTTTTTACAAAAGCTTCAGAAAAGGATTTGGCTGAAGGCAGCCAGATTCTCTTACCTGGGAGATGTAAGGGGATGTAAAGAAACTGATCTAGATAAGTTAGTTTACTTAGGCCTCGGAACCTGGCCTTTAATCATCCGCCAGCAGGACTGCTCTCTCGGGGAAGGCGGGGAGGGACCATGTTAATTACCCACAAGTGTGTTGACTCAAAGCCTTTGTCATTACATCTGTACTGAATAAATACTCGCAGCGCCGGCTTGTCAGGGCCGCGGTTGCTACAACACCCTCCTCGGGGTCTGTGAGCAGCCTGGTCCCCTAGCCCGCTTTTTCACTGGATACCTGTGTCTGAGTGTATTCTTTCATCCGTCGTTTGGCCAGGATCTGCGGGTCGGACCCGGAACACCATCCCTACTCCTGTCCATGAAACAAGTACCTGACGAGCTCTTTACACTTCCTGAGAAAGTTCAACATTATGCCAGCCCAGTGGATGATAGAGAATAAACAGAAACATAATCCTTGCTCTTAAGTTTACAATTTTGCTGAGGACACAAAGCAGAAGAGAAAAATATTCTTCCAGAATTTCCCTGTGTCTATCTTCTCTCATCTCTTAAATTCTGTCCAAAACTGAGCTCTGGCTCCTTCTCCTCCACTATCACCATTCCCAACAAACTTGCTCCTTTCCTGAATTCTCTCCATTTCAGCTCATGGCACTGCCATTCAGGGGGATGAACAGGTTTGACTGGGGTAGGGTTAAACAGAAACCTAAGAATCATCTTTGCACTCATCCCACATGCAGTAGTTCAGCAAATTCTGACTATCTATGCTAAATATTTCTAAAACTCATCCTATCCTCTCCATTCCCATTGCCATTCTAAGGCTCACATCATCTATCACCTGGGCCACTAACCGGCCTCCCTACCTAAATCTCTTCCTTCTAGTTCATGCCCTAACCCACTGTTCTGATTGCTCCCCATCTTTAGTAGGCATGACACACAGACCTTTATTAATCTGCCCTCTACCTACCTCTCCAATGTTACATCTTACCACTACCATCACTCCTCTTGCATTCCACTCAGAATAGCATTTCATCCTCCAACCATTCTGAATTTTTTCCCTAGTTCCTCTAACATATGTTCCACACTTCTAAACCCTGCATATTCAGTTCACTTTGCTAGGGATGCCTCCCCTTTCCTGATCCTATATCTACCGTCCACCTGGTGAATGCCACTTGTGACAAGACCGAGACCGTCCCTGACCAGCTTCCGTTCCCCATTCTGAATAATCACTCCCTCCACTATGGCATCAAAGACTTTGTATATACTTAAATTATTGCTCCTATCTCCCTACAGTGTTTATTTACATGTCAGTCTCCTCCAGTAAACTATATTCTTTGAAGTCATCTAGTGTCTTATTTTTGTAAGCCTTATTCCAATCCAACGCACACCAAAATCACTCGATATTTGTTGTATGAACTCCATCTCCCTTTCTCATTTTCTTCCCTTTTCTGATAGAATCCCACAACCATGAGTCATGACCCAGTCTAAGAACATAAGTCATATGATTTAAGAATTCTGATGCCATGGAAGGGGGCACTCTACCCCAAGACTAAATTAGTGAAGTCCCTAAGTAAGACAGAACAATTTTCCCAGCAGAACCTCAAGTCTAAGAGAAGAATCTCTTTCCAGCAGAATTCCATGTCCTCCTGATTCCCACCCCAAGACTGTTACAGGTTTCTAAATGGATTTTAAGGCATCCTCATCCTCAGCAGGCCCAGTCTGGTCTTTACTTGCATCCTTTAAAACAGAATAGATTCACCACTAAAATGTCTCCACCACAGTTTGTGCAGGGGCAAAGATTTTAGTCTGCAGAGGCTCCTAACATAGTTAATGTTTCCCTAGAGAGTTCCTTGAAACATTGCTCATCTTGGGACTACCTGACCTTAAACCCTACTAAACCTTATTCTGATACTCACTCATCATTTAACAAATATTTACTTAGCACCCACTGCACGCTGCATATTATATCAGAGCTCTGGAGATACCACCCATAATGTATCTTACTTGCCCGAATTGACCTGTCACCATGGCCTAAATGGTACCATGTGTGACAACCATGATGGTGTGATATGACTACACCTGGCCTCTGCTTATCCTGTGCCAGGACCCAGACCCACCTGCCTGCATCTTTCAGCCCCCAACAGAAGGAGCTGTCTTGTAAGTTTATCCCAACTCAAAAACTGCCCAGCTGAGACTACAGCATTTAGTCAATTCCCTCTCTCTCTAATGCCCCTTCCATTTCTGCCAACATTTTCTTATCTTTGAAAATTTCCTTCACTTGGCCTCTTAAGTATTTTCTTTCTCCCTTAAAAGAAAAAAAAAAAAAAAGCCAAACTAACATTACTTGGCTTCTTATTCATACACAGCTCTCAATACTTTATCAGTGCATCAGCAGTTCTACAGAGAAAAAAGTATTTCCCATCTGTGATGGTTAATTTTAGGTATCTCCTCAGCTGGGTTGAGGGATACCCAGATAGCTGGTAAAGCACTATTTCTGAATATGTCTATGAGGGTGTTTCTGGAAGAGATTGGCATTTCAATCAGTGAACTAAAGAAGATCAGCCCCCACCCAATGTAAGTGGGCACCATCCAATCAGTTGAGGGTCTGGACATAACAAAAAGGCAGAAGAAAGGCAAATTCTTGCTCTCTTCTGCATCTGGGATACCCGTCTCCTGCTCTTAGACATCAGAACTGTAGGTTCTCTACTCTCTGGACTCTGGGACTTCCATCAGTGCTACCCCAACTCACTAGGTTCTCCGGCCTTCAACCCTGGACTGAGCTACACCACTGGCTTCTCTGGGTCTCCAGCTTACAGACAGCATATGATAGTACTTCTCAGCCTTCATAATCCCCAGTCAATTTCCATATTAAATTCCCTCTCAACTACCTATCTATCCATCCATCCTATTGGTTCTACTTCTCTGGAAAACCCTGACTAATACACCATCCCTGCTTTATTGGCACCTTCTTGAATTACAGACTAATGCTAAGTAACCACAGCTGGTGACAAAACACTTTCTTTGTTCACAAGTCACAGGTGTGAGAGAAAGCCTGGCACTTGGTAGAAGCTGACCCTAAAGTGGATGGACATTCTTCTAACAAACTAAAACATATCAAAACTGAATGGGTACCTTGAAGAACTGAGGAGGAACTTGAAGAAAACCTTGGGCAGGGTATCTCCAGCACCAGATAAAGTGGATAATCTAACACTAAAAATCCTACTAAATAGTCAAGAACCCATTCATAGGCAGGAAGAGGATGGAACACATGACAGTGAAAGGTCAAACTGTTTCTGATCATCTCAGCCTGGAGATAATCACTCCAACCACTGAACTCCTATACCTGTGTATGTGGTACTGTATTAGTCGGTTCTTACATTGCTATAAAGAAATACCTGAGACTGCGTAATTCATAAAAAGAAAAGAGGGCCGGGCGCGGTGGCTTACACCTGTAATCCCAGACTTTCGGAGGCCAAGGCGGGCAGATCACGAGGTCAGGAGATCAAGACCATCCTGGCTAACACGGTGAAACTCTGTCTCTACTAAACACACAAAAAATTAGCCAGATGTGGTGGCACGGGCCTGTAGTCCCAGCTACTCAGGAGACTGAGGCAGGAGAATCCCTTGAACCCAGGAGGCGGAGGTTGCAGTGAGCTGAGATCGCGCCACTGCACTGCCTGGGCGACAGAGCGAGACTCCATCTCAAAAAAAAAAAATTATTGCAGCACTATTCACAATAGCAAAGACTTGGAACCAACCCAAATGTCCATCAATCATAGACTGGATTAAGAAAATGTGGCACCATGGAATACTATGAAGCCATAAAAAAGGATGAGTTCACGTCCTTTGCAGGGACATGGATGAAGCTGGAAACCATCATTCTCAGCAAACTATCACAAGATCAGAAAACCGAACACCGCATGTTCTCACTCATAAGTGGGAATTGAACAATGAGAACATATGGACACAGGGAGGGGATCATCACACACCGGGGCCTGTCAGGGGTTGGGGGTTGGGGAGGGATAACATTAGCAAAAATACCTAATGTAGGTGACCAGTTGATGGGTGCAGCAAACCACCACAGCACGTGTATATATGTAACAAAACTGCACGTTCTGCACATGTAACCCAGAACTTAAAGTATAATTTAAAAAAAAAAAAAAGAAAAGAGGTTTAACTGGCTCACAGTTCTGCAGACTGTACGGGAAGCACAGCAGCTTCTGCTTTTGGGGAGGCCTCAGGAAGCTTCCAATCATGGGGGAAGGCAAAGAAATAGGCATCTTACATGGCAGGAGCAAGAGAGAATGAGGGAGAAGGTGCTACACACTTTTAAACAACCAGATCTCATGAGAACTCACTATCTCAAGGACAGTACCAAAGGTGATAGTGCTAAACCACTCATGGGAAATCTGCTCCCATGATCCAATCACCTCATACTAGGTCCCACCTCCAACACTGGGGATGACAATTTGACATGAGATTTGGCGGGGACACAGATCCAAACCATATCAGGTGCCCTATCCAAACCAGCTCTTAAAATGTTTATCTTACTTGCTAGAAGTTAAGTTCTTTGGCTTCTTATTTCACCTTTATAATCCCTCTTTGGGAGGTAGTATAAATGGCATGATAATTCTAAGTATAGGCCTTAGAATACATAACCTCTGGTGCTGTAATTCACAAACTGTATGACCTTGGGCAAATTACCTAAATACTGTATGCCTCAGTTGCCACCTGTAAAGTGGAGACAATAACAGTTCCTACCTCATAACATTGCAGAGTGCTTAACACAATGCCTGGTTCAATATGTTAGCTAAAGGTGGTGGTAGTTAGGGCTAATCTTAATTCACTCTACAATCTTGCTACTCAAGTGTAGACCAGCAGCATCAACATCACCTGGGAGCTTATTAGAAATCTCAGACCCTATCCAAGACCTACTGAATCAGATTTTGAATTCTGACAAGATCCCTAATGATTAGTGTGCACACTAATGCTTGAGAAGCACTGCTCTACAATACCCAGACTTGTCCATAATGGGGGGAAAAACAACTAAAATTTTTTATTCAATAAATGATCTTACCTGTTCGGCTCTGGCAAGCATAGTTTTAAAAACCAATCTCATGCATCAACCCTGCCATTTTCCAGTGTCAATCAGCTTTCTCAGGTAGATTACCCTACTGAAGAGTGTACCAATATCGTGTTCTTAGCAATTTATCATTTAAAAACAATCTAAGTGTACAATATACTAGAGTAGTATAGTAGTACATATACTAGAGACTAGTTTAAACAATAAAGCAACCATTTCCCCAGCATCTTTTTTGCTTCTCCATAATCTTATCTCAATTTACGAATGGCAATGCCAAGGCCAAACACTGAAGACAACAAATAATCTCTCCCTACCACACTTCTACAATAACAAGAATCTTAGAATATACAGATGTCACAAAATGTGCATCTATATAATGTTCTATAGTTTCCAAAGTGATGTTATACCGTTATTTCATTTAAGCGCCACAATTTTTATTTTACCAAGGAGCAAAACTGAGTAAGTTTCCTGACGAAAATAATGAGTGTCTACTGTTCTAGGGCCTTTAACAACAACAACAACAAATTTACATTAACGCACATTATGTGCCAGGAATTGCAAGATGCATAAGATTAGTTTTTAAAATGTGCCTGCTAGAGCTGAACAGGTAAGATCATTTATTAAAGGATTTCAGGATTTTTTTTTTCCATTATGGACAAGCCTAGGTGTTGCAGAGCAGTGCTTCTCAAAGCACTGATGTGCACACTAATCATTAGGGAGCTTGTCAGAATTCAAAATCTGACTCAGTGGGTCTGGAGTGGTGTCCGAGATTTAACAAGCTCCCAGGTGATGTTGATGCTGCTGGTTGGCATTTGAGTAGCAAAGCTGTGCCGTATTTAAAGAATTAGCCCTAACTACCAATATGAAAACTTTACATCCCTGAATCTTCAATTACTCTGAGGTGACACTACTATTATTCTGGCTTCACAGTCGAGAAGGCACTGAGAAGTGAACTTTCCAGAGATCACAGAGCTGAGATGTGGGAAGGCAGGATTCAAACTTAGGTTGACTGACTGCAGGGCATTTTCAACTGTTTGCCTCCCAATATTATCTCAATTAATAGGTAACGAGAGTTCGAAGCCGGGTCCAGAGCTATCTTCTGTAACATTCTTCTGGGTCGAGTCCCTGCCCCGCTACGGTATGTGCCTAGGGTCAACACAAGGGCTGGGGAAAGAGGAAACTGAGCCTCTTTTTCAACACAACAGGGAGGACGGAGAACAGACGGCTCCTCCGGCAGACGCGACCCGGCCCGCTCCAAACAACGCTTCGGGCAGGAGAAGGTTCTCCGGGTGGTCCGCAGCCGGGCTGGAGGGGTGGGGCCTACGCTGGGAAAAGGTTCCGGGCGGGTCGTACCAACGCGCGCAGGGGGAAGAGGTTTCCGAGGCCAGGACGGTGTCGCTGCCTACGCGCTCAGTGGCGAGGTGGAGAAACTCTTCATCCACCCTCGGCTACCTGTTCGAGAGCCATGGCACCAGGAGCTCTCGCGTCCCACAGCCGACTCCTAAAGACTCTTCCTCCGGCCCCCCTGTCGAGTGGGAGTCCCCGGAAATGGGGGCCGGGCGGTATCGGGCAGGCGGTGGGGAGAAGAGTGTCCTGTCATTTACCAACTTCACTACGCCCCACACAGATCCACCCGCTTATCTGCCGCCGCCGTAGCCCTTACCAGTTCTTTGGGCGGCTTCTCCTGGGTCTTTCCAAACAGCCCCATGACGAACTGAACCCGTCTTGCCCCTTCCGGCTTTCAGTTCCCCGCGCCCAGGCAGGTCACGGGCAGCCGCCTGGGCGGGGCCCGCGGAAAAGGAGGTAGTCCCAACCCCCAGAGTAGGGAGCGGCGGCACTAGGGGATGTTGCGCATGCGCCATACGCCTGCGCAGAATCGAGTGAGTGGGAGACTAGTCAAAAAGGCTGACGTCATCGCACATGTTCTGGTCATGTCTGTGTGGGGGAGACCACGGATTCGGTGCTTTTCGTAAGGTGTAGAAATGATTGCTCTGAAAGATACGAATTTGTTGGCTACAACTGCTTCTAATACTTCACCTAAACCTAGATGTTGCACCAGAAGTCTGGATCTCCACGCAGACGTGTACACTTAGCATCACTTTCCCGACAGCTTCATCTTTGTGTCCAGTAGGCAACTCACAGGTGACAAACCAAAAATAACCTCTTTTTCCTCCCGCCAACCCACTCCTCCCCTCTGCTTGCACCACCATCACCTGGTCACTAAACCCTAGGCATCGTCCTCTCTCCCCTCTTACCAAGTCCCAACCATTCTAACTTCAATATGTCTGAACTTCAACCCTCCCCTTTCCATCCCAACTGCGGTCGTTTTTTTTCAGGCCATCGCCCTTTCCAGCGTGGGCGATTCCTGCCTAGCATTTGTCCATGTGTGTCCCGTCCTACACGCCACACTGACCGTGAGCTTAATCACACTCTCAAAGGAATCTGACTAAAGAGAACTAGACACATTTTAGCACGGACAGTTCCTGATTAGGCCTATACGGTGAGCTGATGGTTACTGTCATTAACTCATCCGAGGATGGTGAAGGGGACCATTTGTTACCTCAGCCCCATACTCCTGTCTCTGGTGGAATCATAAAATGGTTCGGCAGCTTTGAAAACATTTTGACAATTTCTTAAAATGCTAAACAAAGCCAGCCTTCCATTCCTAGCTATTTACCCAAGAGGGAAAAAAGCATATGTTCTTACAAAGACTTGTACACAAATGTTCATAGCAGCTCTATTTGTAATAGCCATAAACTGGAAACAATCCAAATGTCTATCAACAAGTGAATGGATAAACCAGTCGTGATTGATCCATACGAAGGAATAGTACTGAGCAATAAAAAAGTAAACTATTGATAAATGCAACAGCATGGATGAATCTCAAAATAATTCTGCCAAGTGAAAGAAGCCAGAACCGTATGATTCCATTTACATAACATTCTGGAAAATGCAAACTAATACATAGTGACAGAGAGTACATGGGCGGTTGCTAGCGGATAGGAGTGGGGTCAGAAAGAGGCAGAAAAGAGGGATTACAAAGAGACACGAAGTTTAGGGGGATGATGGATAATATCTTGATTGTGATGATGGTTTCACAGATGTATACAATATCAAAACTTACCAGGTTGGACACTAAGTATGTGCGATTTATTTTATGTCCAATCATACTTCAATAAAGTTGTTTTTAAAAAAGCACTGCCTGTTCATTGTGAAAAGTTAAACCCTCATTCTCACTTCCTCAGGGGAAAAGGTCTCAAAGGATTCACACCAACTATTAAATATAGTGTGAATCTTCTGAAACCTTTTCCTTTGGAAAATATACTTTTATTTTTATTTATGTATTTGTTTTTGAGACCGGGTATCACTTTGTCACCCAGGCTGGAGTGCAGTGGCAGGATCTTGCCTCACTGCAGCCTCTACCTCCCAGATTCAAGTGATCCTCCCACCTTAGCCTCCTGAGTAGCTGGGTGTCAGCCACCACGCCCACTGTGTTTTTAATTTTTCTGTAGAGACAAGGGTTAGCCATGTTGCCCAGGCGGGTCTCAAACTCCTGGGCTCAAGCGATCCTCCCACCTCAGCCTCTCAAAGTGTTGGGATTACAGGTGTTAGCCACCTTGCCCGGGCCTATTTTTACTTAGTTGAGATTATATTATATACATTGAGCCACCTCTCCCAGCCCTATTTTTATTTAATTGATATTATGTTATATACGTTGTCCTACAATTTCCTTTTAAACACATTTTATGTAGACTTTCATCAGTGTCAATACCTATGGCAGTCCATAGCAAGAATGTACCATAATTTATTTAACCATTTCCCTATTATATAAGATTGTTTCTAGTTTTTCCCTAGTAAATAATCCTGCAAATATAGGCACAGTTAAAAATTTTAAACTTAATACCAGTATCTTCCATATACATTGCACTATTGTGAACTCCTACCAATAGTGTATACCAGCACTCTTATTCCCTAAATCCATGCTAAAAGTGAATTTTAGCAATATTTAAAATTTTTGCCAATCTAAGGGCATAAAATATTGTTTTTAACTTTAATTTCCCGGACTATTAGTCTGGATAAGCATCTTTTCATATATTTGTTGGTCATTTGAATTTCTTCTGTGACTTGCTTCTTCATAACCCTTGTTCATTTTCCATTTATCTCCCTCCTTCCCTTCCTTATTTCCTTTCTTCCTTCCATTTTAAAGGTGAAGGAGTTCCTTGAAAATGTGGAATTTTTTTAAGTCTCTTTCACCTTTTTTTGAGAATAAACTATAAGCATTTTTTTCAAGTAGGAGGATACTGGATCGCCAATTAGTCAACAGTATTTCTCAAATGCCTACTATATGTCAGGCATTTTATAGGCTTCAGGAAAATGGCAGTGAGCAGAAAAAAATCTCCTACAATCTGATGAGAAGGACAATAGTATTAAACAATGGTTATAGACGAAATTGTATTACTACAAATGTGCAAAATTCTGACTATAAGAAGAAAGTGCTGATCAGTGACTCTTCCCTGAACAGATGACAAATAAGCTGAGACCTGAAGGATGAGCTAGCAGAGAGAGGAAGAGTATCCAGAGTAAAAGAAACAGCATGTGCCAAAGAGCCTTCCCTGTTTCTGGGTGGAGGATTTAGGCCACAGCCATTTCAGATCCTAAAGCTGCAGTTGTTCTAAAGCTGGCCATCAATGGCAGAGAGGCCTGGCAGGGTGTGGAGGAAGGTTTGACTTGGCACATGGCCTCTCAATGTCGTACAGAGCTCATAGGTACTGACAGAGCCCTATCAACACATCAGTGCAGTTCCTCTGCACCGTGCATCTTGCTTCCACACATTTTTTAGGCTCTATCTTTAGAGTAACGTGTACTCTCCATTTGTGTCCTGATACTGCTTTTGCATTGGACAGAGCACTCCTTAGTTGCGGCTGGGGCTCAAGTTCGTCCTTCCTACATGGACCTCAGGAAGCAAGCTACAGATCCTCCCACCTGCTAAGACTCACACATCTGAGTGGGTGGGAAGAACTAAGTGAGCAGGCATTCTAGCTCTTTACTCCTGCCAAACACAGCAAGTGTTTAACAGGATCACACTCCCCTGCCATATGTTCACATAGACGTTTGTTCACACACATTTTCAAAGGCTTTATGTGCATTCTCCTCCTGATCTCTGAAAAATATAAATAGATGTGTATCCTTGAGAGGTACTTCAATGCCTATGCTTTAAATCCTCCCCTGAATTTGAAATGAAAAACAGAAAGGACTGTTTTTCCTCCACCTTCCAGTTTTCCTTGCTCATTTCACTAAGATATCCAGTCTTAGGGAGCTTCCTGGCTCACAACTGTTCCCCATTTGCCAGGTAGATTGTTAAATGAAATGCTTTGGGCAAGAAAATCATAACCCAATTCCTGGCAAGACTTTTGGCTTTCTAAAGCCAAGATACACCTTGTTTTATACAACAGATGGACCCTGGAAATGTTAGATATAAATCAATGTTTGGAAACTGAACTCCCTCCCATGACTTATATAATAATTTTGGAGTGGATTTATCTTTATGACTAAACTTCAGGACCAAGGGTCTCCCAACCCACAACTTACGACTTGAGATAAGGCGAAGACAGACCTTGAGTCACCTCCTGTCCATTTCCAACCATTCTCCACCAAACTTACAATAATCCTTGTGTTGATTTCCTAGGACTGCCATAACAAAATGCCACAAACTGGGTGGCTTAAAACAATAGAAATGTATTCTTTCAAAGTTCTGGAGACTAGAAGTCCAAAATCAAGGTGTCAGCAGGGTCATGCTCCCTCTGACACTCTGAATAGAATTCTTACTTGCCTCTTCCTACCTTCTAGTGATGGCTGTCAATCATCAGCATTCCTTGGCTTGCTGCTGCATCGCTCCAATCTGCTATGAACATATAACCCGATTATATGTTCTCCCCATATGTCTCACTCCAGTCATATTGGATTAAGGGCCAATCCTAAATTCAGTATGACCTTATCCCAACTTACTGTTTACATCTGCGGTTATTATACCTTATTTTCAAATAAGGGTCATATTATGAGGTACTAGGGGTTAGGACTTCAACATAATCTTAACAGGTCACAATTCAATCTATTAACAACCCTTATAGACACATATGGGTGCCTCACCTTAAAGAAAAAAGAGTGTGGCCAGGCATGGTGGCTCACACCTGTAATCCCAGCACTTTGGGAGCCCGAGGCCAGCAGATCCTGAGGTCAGGACTTCGAGACCAGCCTGACCAATATGGTGAAACCCCGTCTCTACTAAAAATACAAAAATTAGCCAGGTGTGGTGGCACGCGCCTGTAGTTCCAGCTACTCCAGAGGCTGAGGCAGAAGAATTGCTTGAACCTGGGAGGCGAAGGGTGCAGTGAGCCGAGATTGTGCCATTGCACTTTGGCCGGGAGACAGAGTGAGACTCCATCTCAAAAAAAAAAAAAAAAAAAAAGAAAGAAAGAAAGAAAAGAAAAAAGAGGATGATAGAGGGTGAGGGGAGAATGGTTAGCTGAATCCTTCTAAAATAAACAGACCTCTATCCTCCATGATCAGGAAGGGAAAGTAGAGCTCTCAGGCTTGACCCTAGCTTGGAAGTGGCACCTTCCCCCCGGGAATCATAAAAATCACTGTGGCTGCCTCACATTGCCCTGTAGAGCACGATTTTTACCACTAAAGGTCCTCTCATGGAGGATTCACACACCTTTCCTTATTTCCCTGCAGCAGAGAAAAAGCCTGAAAAATCCAACTGGAATATTTAAACAATACTAAAGTCTCCAAAAACAGTATCAGAATTAGAAGAGTGGCATGTGACTTACACATTCAACATTATGGTAGAGTGGATGAAAAACCCACTACAAACACAGAATTTTGGTAAAATATAACCAGAATTATTTTATGTGCATGGATGATCTCTTTTTAAAAAGTAAGAGAAATCAGGAATGTCTGCCAATAACAGGAACCCAGAACCTGTTTGCATAATTTTTTTGATGTGATAAAGCCTATAGTAAGTAAAATGCACAGATCTTAAGTGTAAAACATGATTAATTTTTACAAATGTGTGTAAAAGCGCTATGTAAATATTTAAAACGTGTTCTAAATCTAAACTGGCTCCTTCATGCCCATTCTCAGGCAGTACCCTCAAAAGATAACCATTATTCTGATTTCTACCTCTGTAGATTAGTGTTGCCTGGGTGCGGTGGCTCATGCCTGTAATCCCAGCACTTTGGGAGGCCCAGGCGGGCGGACCATGAGGTCAGGAGATCGAGACTATCCTGGCCAACACGGTGAAACCCCATCTCTACTAAAAATACAAAAAAAAAAAAAAATTAGCTGGGCATGGTGGCGGGCGCCTGTAGTCCCAGCTACTTGGGAGGCTGAGGCAGGAGAATAGCGTGAACCCAGGAGGCGGAGCTTGCAGTGAGCCGAGATCATGCCATTGCACTCCAGCCTGGGCGACAGAGCGAAACTCCGTCTCAAAAAAAAAAAAAAAAGAAATAAATAAAATAGTGCTTGGTTTTAACGTTTGGGCAGGGGAACAAGAGGCAAGGCTTTTGGCTGGGCAAAATGGTGAAGCAAAATTGAGATGCCCTAAAGCTGGGAGCTTTAAAGACCTCATTCTCAGTGAAAAGACAGGCTAGGGAAAAAAAAAAAAAAAAAAAAAAAAATATATATATATATATATATATATCTGCCAACAAAGGGAGCCAACCAGAAAATGTTTGTTTTAGGCTGTAGCTCTGGTGAAAAAATAAAAATAGAGGTTTCCTTGAGAAACCACAATCATAAGGCTGCCCTCCTATAAGTCTAAATTTAGTCTACTTTCATGGTATTGGAAATCCCAAGCCTAGATATTAATTTAAACTGTTCTTAGGTTGATAACATCCTGGGGATCTGACGAAAGCAGTACAGACTCTTTTTGAATGAACATACTCCAAATCCAGACACTGTAGTATTTCTACAAATTATGGCCAACAAAAATTACCAAATATATGAGACAAACATTAATGGCCAGGAGTAAATTTTAAAAGCATCACATTTATGTTTCAAAGCACTTCAGATACTAGAATTCTCAAATGTAGAGTATAAAATGTTATGCTTAAAATGTTCACAGAAATAAAAGAGAGACTTGGAAGAAACAAGAGACCATTAAAAAATGACCAAGTAAAAGAAAGAAAGAAAAAAAAAAAACAAACAAAAATTGACCAGGTAAAATTAAAAATAAAAGAATTTCTAGACATGAAAAATGTAGTAATTGAAATAAGAAACATAGTCACTAAATAAACCTCAAGGACTAAGTTAAGCAACAGATTACACATAAGAAAGAACAAGTAAATCAGAAGATAGATTTGAATTATCCAAAATAATAACGCCTGAAGATACAAAGACATGAATATATAAGAAAGAAGATGAGATACAGATGTTAGAATATGGATATCAATTACATTAATTGAAGTTCCAGAAAGATTGACATGAGAAACTGGAAGAGACAAGATTTTGAAAAGATAATGGCTAAGAATTTCCCCAGATTTATTAAGATGTTAATCTTGAAGATTCAGGAAGTAGTCATGCATCACTTAATGACGGGGATACATTCTGAGAAATGCATTGTTACGTGATTTCATCATTGTGCAAACATCATAGAGTGTACTTACGCAAATCTAGATGGTATAGCCTACTAGATACCTAGGCTATATAAACTATTGCTACTAAGCTAAAAACATATATGGCATGTTACTATACTGAATACTGTTGGCAGTTGTAACACAATGGTAAGTATTTGTGTATCTAAACATAGAAAAGATACAGGAACAATATATATGATATTATAATCTTGTGGAACCACTGTTGCCTGAAAGGTTGTCATACAATGCATAACTGTACATAAATCTTAGGCAGATTAAATACAAACAGCTACACGTTATAGTGGCAGTGCAGAACATCGAAGACACCAAGATTTTAAAAGCAACCAGAGGCTGGGCCCAGTGGCTCACGCCTGTAATCTGAGCACTTTGGGAGGCCGAGGTGGGCAGATCATGAGATCAGGAGATCGAAACCATCTTGGATAACATGGTGAAAACCCATCTCTACTAAAAATACAAAAACAAAATTAGCCGGGCGTGGTGGTGGGCACCTGTAGTCCCAGCTACTTGGAAGACTGAAGCGGGAGAATGGCGTGAACCCGGGAGGCGGAGCTTGCAGTGAGCCAAGATCGTGCCACTGCACTCCAGCCTGGGCGACAAAGCGAGACTCTGTCTCAAAAAAAAAAAAAAAAAAAAAAAAAAAAAAAACAGAGAGAAAAGATAGAATACATACAAGAAGACAACACACACTGTCAACATCCTACTCAACAGCAACAATGGAAGCTAAAAGAAAGTGAAAGAACGTCTTCAAATACTGAGGGGAAAAAAAATCCCCAAAGATCTAAAAATCAAAACAATTGAACTCATGGAGATCAAGAGCAGAAGGATGGTGACCAGAGGCTGGGAAAAGTAGTGAGGGGTTTGGGGAAGGTGGGGATGGTTAATGGGTACAAAAAAAATTCTAAAGAATGAATAAGACCAAGTATTTGATAGCACAACAGGGTGACTACAGTCAGTAGTAATTTAATTGTACATTTAAAAACAACTAAGAGAGTATAATTGGATTGTTTCTAACACAAAGGATAAATGCTTGAGGGGATGGGTACGCCATTTTCCAGGACATGATTATTTTATATTGCATGTTGTATCAATACATCTCTTGTGTCCCGTAATTATATATACCCTGTGTACCCACAAGAATTAAAAATTAAAACATTTTTAAAATCCTCAAAATAATAACTTATAGTCATGCCCTGCTAAATTATCACCCCTATGTGAAAGTAAAATAAAGACATCTTTAATGGGGACAAAAACCTAACGACAGACACAAAAAGCCCACAAACCAACAGATCAACACTAAACAAAATTCTAAAGAATGTAGTTTAGAAAGAATAACCATGATCTCAGAAGAAAGGCCCTTACATATAAGAAGAAATCATGACAATTTAGTTAACTTGTGGTTAATCTTTAAAAAGCTGATTATATAAAACTCATCTAATTTGGGAAGTTCAAAAAGATGGAAGTAAAGCATTTTACCACAATCATATGAAAAAATAGATGAGAAGTCATTGAAGTTAAAATGATTCTGGACTCTAATTTTTTTTGAGAAAAGGTAAAGACATTGACTAATTTATATACTAAGTAAGTTTGTTAGAATTTTAAGGATAGCTGCTAAAATAAAAGCAGTACTTCCAAATGGTAGAGAAAAAATGGAATTAAGAATATTACTCAAAATAAGGTAGGACGGACAATACAGAAAAGTGGAAGACACAAAAGACAATTACAGAATTAAATTAATTAAGTTAAATTAAAGATACATTTGTATTCATAATAAAATGAACTAAATTCTCCAGTAAAAAGAGAGATTTTCAAACTAGATTTTTTTTACATCTAGTTTTAAGCTATTTAAAAGAGACACACGTACAACATAGGATACAGCAAGACTGAAAGTAAAAAAGTAAGAAAGACATGAAAAATCATATTTACCAGACAAATATTAACCAAAATAAAGCTGTTATAACTATATTATTATCAGATAAAATAGAGTTTCAGGCAAAATAACTTTTTAGGGATAAAAAAGTTTATTACAAAATGATAAATTTTTCAATTTACCCAGATGCTAATCATGTAGTCTCAAAAAAAGTGAAGCAAAAGTGACAGAATTTCAAGGAGAAATATAAACCCACTATATTAGTCTTCTCAGGCTGCCATAACAAAATACCAAACACTGAATGGCTTAAGCAACAAGAATTTATTTTCTCATAATTCTGGAGGATAGAGGACCCAGACTTCTCCCTGTGACCACACATGGCCTCTTCTCCATGTACCCACAAAGGGAGAGAGAGAGAGATCTGTGGGAATCTCGTCCTCCTTTTAGAAGGGCACCATCAGCTCTATCAGATTAGGGCTTCATCCTTATGATTTCATTTAACCTTAATTACCTCTCTAAAGGCCCTATGTGCAAATACAGTTACATTGGGGGTTAAGGCTTAAACATCTGAATTTCATGGGGACACAATTCAGTCCATAACACCCACCATCATGAAGGGAAATTTTAAGATTTTTCTTTCATTAATTAATTGCTTAAGAAGACAAACATTTGATAAAGACAGAGAAGACATGAAAACAAGATATGCTTGATTGAATTGTCACATCCTGCCCACATCAAGTAAATAATAAGTTACCACATATGGAATATTTATAAAAATTGACTATGTATTAGAATATAAAGGAAGTGAAGAAATCACTCTAATGCACATCACATTTCATGACCACATTTCAATTGGGTTAGAAATCAATGACAAAAAAGAAATCAAAACAAATATTTTGTAAATATAAGAACATATTTCCAGGCCGGGCATGGTGGCTCACGCCTGTAATCTCAGCACTTTGGGAGGCTGAGATGGGCAGATCACGAGGTCAGGAGATCGAGACCATCCTGGCTAACAAGGTGAAACCCCGTCTCTACTAAAAATACAAAAAAATTAGCCGGGCGTGGTGGTGGGCGCCTGTAGTCCCAGCTACTCAGGAGGCTGAGGCAGGAGAATGGCGTGAACCTGGGAGGCGGAGCTTGCAGTGAGCCGAGATCGCGCCACTGCACTCCAGCCTGGGCGACTGAGTGAGACTCCATCTCCAAAAAAAAAAAAAAGAAAAAGAAAGAAAGAAAGAAAGAAAGAAAAAAACATATTTCGAAATAACTCAAAAGTTAAAGAAATCATAATGGAAATTGGGGAGGCTGGATTTCCACCACATCTGGTAGTAACAAGACAACCATGGGGTGGTGTCAGAGAGGGCTAGTGGAGACCCAGAACTTTCACCATCACCCAGTGATAATGAGAGCACCCCTACCACTGTGTCTTTTGAAAATGTGTAGAGAACTGGAGCTCCCACCTCTGCTCAGCATTAAGCAGGAAGCTCTCCTAGATCTCACTGGAACTAAGCAGGGAACTTGGACTTCTACGTCCGCCTAGAAGCAACAAGGTGGCTCCCCGACTTTTCCTCCAAAGCAGCATCAGAGAAAGCCAGCAGAAACTGAAGTTTGAGTGGAATGCAGAATCTCAGGGCATAATATGAAAGTCCAGATTTCAAATGAAAATCACTCATCATACCAAGAACCAGGAAGATTTCAAACTCAATGAAAATAGACAATCAATAGATGCTTTACTGGATTGAGGAATGTCTCCCAAAAATTCATGTTCACCCGGAGCCTGTGAATGTGACCTTATTTGGAAATAGGGTCTTTGCAGATAAATCAAGTTAAGATGTCATACAGGGCCAGGCGCAATGGCTCACACCTGTAATCCCAGCACTTTGGGAGGCTGAGGCAGGTGGATCACTTGAGGTCAGGAATTTAAGACCAGCCTGGCCAACATGGTGAATCCCTGTCTCTACTAAAAATACAAAAATTAGCGAGGCATGGTGGCACAGGCCTGTAATCCTAGCTACTCAGGAGACTGAGGCATGAGAATCTCTTGAACCTGTGAGGTGGAGGTTGCAGTGAGCTGAGACCACACCACTGCACTCCAGCCTGGACAACAGAGCTGTCTAAAAAAAAAATGTCATACAAGACTAGAGGAGGCCCTAAATCCAATATGACTGGTGACTGTATATGGGAAATTTGGATATACACACACAGGGAAGAAAGTCATGTAGAGACAGGGGCAGAGACTAGAGATGCATCTAAATGCCAAAGAACACCAAAGGATTGTCTGCAACCACCAGAAGCTGGATGAGGCAAGGGAGGATTCTCCCCTAGCACCTTCACAGGGAGTATGACCATGCCAACAGCTTGATTTCAGACTTCTAGCCTCAACAGCCATGAGAGAATAAATTGATGTTATTTTAAGCCATCTAGTTTATAGTAATTTCTTACTAATATAGATGACAAGACCTAGATGATAGAGATGTTAGAATTATCTAGTAAAGATGTTTAAAATGTATTTTTAATTGAAAAATAAAAAGTATATATTTATGTGTACAACATAATATTTTGAAATATGTATACATTGTGGAATGGCTATATTGAGCTAATTAGTAATATGCATTACCTCATATGTATCATTTTTGTGTGTGCCAAGAACACCTAAAATCTACTCTCTTAGCCATTTTCAAGTATATAATACATTATTATTAACTTACAGTTACCATATTGTCCAATAGGTCTCTTGAGCTTATTCTTCCAGTATAACTAAAATTTTGGATCCTTTAGCCAACATCTCCCCATCCTCCTTCCCACACCCCAAATCCCTGGTAACTATCATTCTATTCTCTGCATCTAGGAATTTGATGTTTTTTCAGATTCCACATATCAGTGAGATCATGCAGTATATCTATGTGGCTGACTTACTGCACTTAATATAATGTCCTCCAGGTTCATCCATGTTGTCAGAAATGACAAGATTTCCTTCTTTTGTTTTTAGGAAATTGGGTAACTATGTTGCTCAGGCTGGTCAAAACTCCTGGCCTCAAGCTATCCCTCCACCTCAGCCTCCCAGAGTGCTGGGATTACAGGCATGAGCCACTGCACCTGGCTTCCTTGTTTTTTTTTTGTTTAAGTCTGAATAGTATTCCATTGTGTATATATGCAACATTTTCTTTATCCATTCACTTGTTGGTAGACATTTAGGTTGATTACGTATCTTGGCTATTGTGAATAATGCTGCAATGAACGTAAGAGTGAAGCTATCTCTTTGACATGCTGATTTCATTTTTTTTGGATATATATCAAATAGTGGATTGCTGGGTCAATCGTAGATCTATTTTTTTTTTTTTTTCACCCAGGCTGGAGTGCAGTGGCACGATCTCGGCTCACAGCAACCTCCACCTCCCAGGTTCAAGCGATTCTCCTGCCTCAGCCTCCTGAGTAGCTGGGACTACAGGCGTGCACCACCACATTTGACTAATTTTTTTTTTTTTTTTTTTTTTTTTTAGCACAGATGGGGTTTCACCACATTGGCCAGGCTGGTCTCAAACTCCTGACCTCAAGTAATTGGCTGGCCTTGGCTTCCCAAAGTGTTGGGATTACAGGTGTGAGCCACTGTGCCCGGCCAATAGTAGATCTGTTTTTAATTATTGAGTAACCTCTATACTGTTGTTTTCCATATGACTGTACTCTAACAAAGGTATAACAGCTACAATTTTTAAAAAATGCTTTAATAAGCGATTAAAAATATGCTTAAAACAAATGAAAAAAATGCAAAGTCTCAGCAATGAAAAGGAATATATAAAGAAGAACCAAATGAAAATTTTATAATTGAAAAATACAATAACCAAAATAAAAAAGCTCAGTGGATGGGCTCAACAGTATATTGGAGAAGACAGAGGAGAAAATTAGTGAAGTAGAAGATAGAACAATAGAAATTACCGACCAGGCACGGTGGCTCCGCCTGTAATCCTAACACTTTGGGAGGCTAGGGTGGGTGGATCATTTGAGGTCAGGAGTTTGAGACTAGCCTGGCCAATATGATGAAACCTTGTCTCTACTAAAAATAAAAATAAAATATATATACCTGGGCATGGTGGCAGGTGCCTGTAATCTCAGCTACTTGGGAGGTTGAGTCAAGAGAATTACTTGAACCTGGGAGGCAGGGGCGGCAGGGGTTGCAGTGAGCCAAGATTATGCCACTGCACTTCAGCCTGAGTGACAGAGTGAGACTCCATCTCAAAAAAAAAAAAAAAAGAAAAAGAAAAAGAAAAAAGAAATCACCCAATCTGACCAACAGAAATAAAATGGACTGGAAAAACAAACAAACAAACAAACAAAAAACAGAACAGAGCCTCAGCAACCTGTGGGACTATAACAAAAGATGTAACATTTATACAATCAGAAAACTGGAAGAAGAAAAGAAAGAGGGAGGGCTAAAAAAGTGCTTGAAAGCAGCAAGAGAAAAACAACACCTTACCTCTACAGAAGAAAACAGTTCAAGTGACAGTGGATTTCTCATCAGAAACCATAAAGGATGGCAGGAAGAGATGCAATATTTTTCCAGTACTAGAAGAAAAGAACTGTCACCCTAGAATCCTGTATCCAGAGAAAATATTCTTCAAGAATGAAAAATGTGGTGACTAATTTTAGGTGGCAACTCGACTAGGTTAGGGGATACCTAGATAGGTGATAAGGCATTATTTCTGGGTGTGTCTGTGAGGCTGTTTCTGGAAGACATTGACATATAAGTCAGTGCACTCAGTGGGGAAAATCTGTCCTCAATGTGGGCGAGCACCATCCAGTCGACTGGGGGCCTTGATAGAACAAAAAGGCAGAGGAAAGGTGAATTCACTCTTTCTGTCTCCTGGAGCTGGGACCCCTTTTTCTCCTGTCTTTGGACATAGAACTCTAGGGTCTCCAGTCTTTGGACTTCAGGGTTTGCACCAGTGGCTCCCTGGTTCTCAGGCCTTTGGCCTTGAACTGAGAGTTATACCATCAGCTTCCTTGGTTCTGAGGCTTTCAGATTTGGACTGAGTCATGCCACCAGCTTTCCTGGGTTTCCAGTTTGCAAATGGCCTATCATGGGACTTCTCAGACTCCATAATCACATGAGCCAATTTTCTTATAAATCTCTTCTCATCCATCTATGTATGTATTTATGTGTGTGTGTGTGTATCAGTCAATCAATTTACCTCCTATTGATTCCATTGCTATGGAGAACACTGATGGGAAATCAAGACATTCTCAGATAAAAGTAAACTAAGAGAATGTGTCACCAGAAGACTACCCTAAAAGAATGGGTAGTCTCTAAACAGAAAGTTCTCTAAACAGGAAAGAAATGATAAAAGAAGGAACCCAGTAACACTAGAAAGGAAGAAAGAACACAGTAGGTAAAAATACGGATAAATATTAATACCATAGGTTTTTATTCTCCTTTCAAATTTTCTAAGATGCATTTGACAACTGAAGCAAAAATTTTAACACTGTCTACCTAATGTGGTTCTAAAAGTACATAAAGGAGATAGTTAAGATAATTATATTGTAAATGGAGAAGAAAAGGGGACTTAAAGGGATGTAAGGTTTCTATACATCATTCAAACTGGTAAAATGATGGCACTAGTAGATTGTAATAAATTTTGTATATATAATATAACACCTACAGCAACCACTAAAAAGCATATGCAAAGACATACACTCAAAAATGCCATAGACATTAACCATCAGGGAAATGCAATCAAAACCACAATGAGATCCACTTCACACACTAGGATTGTATAATAATTTTTAAAAAGACAGATAATACCAAGTGTTTGCAAGAACCTGGAGAAACGGGAACCTTCATACACTGCTTGCAAGAAGGTAAAATGTTGCAGTAATATTGCAAAACAGTTTGGCAGTTCCTCAAAAAGTTAAATATAGAGATACCATATGATCCAGGAATTCCACATTAGGTATATACTGCCAAGAAATTTAAATGTATGCTCACACAAAAACTTGTACACAGATATTCATAGTTGTATTATTCAAAGTAGCCCAATAGTGTAAACAACACAAATATCCATCAACTGATGAATGGATAAATAAAATGTGGTATATCCATATAATGGAATATTACTCAACCATAAAAAGAAATGAAGTACGGGTTCAAGCTACAACACTGATGAAAAATTGAAAACATTACACTAAGTGAAAGAAACCAGACCCAAATGACACATATTATATGATTGCATTTATATGAATTATCTAGAATAGATACCACAGAGAGAGAAAGTAGACTGATGGTTTCCAGGGCCTAGGGGGAAGGCAGACTGGGTTGTAACTGCTAAGATATGGGGTTTCTTTTGGGGGGTGGTGAAAATGTTCTGGAATTAAATAGTGGTAATGATTACACAACCTTGTGAAGACACTAAAAGTCATTAAATTGTATGCTTTAAATGGGTGAATTGTACAGTATGTGGATTCTCTCTCAATAAATCTATTATAAAACCCTATAGAGATATCAAAATGGAATTCTAAAAAATGTTCAAGTTACACACAAGAAAAGAGGGAAAGAAAACAAAGAGGACAAATGGGAAACAAAATATAAAAGACATATTTAGTTCTAACATGTTGATAATTACATTAATTGTAAATGGCTTAAGTATAATAATAGAAGAAATTGGCAGAGTGGATTTAAAAACATGACCCAATTATATGCCATCTACAATACACTCACTTCAAATATAATATGAGAAGGTTGAAAGTAAGAGAATGGAAAAAAAAACTTTATCATGTAAACATTAATCAAAAGCATGAGTGGCTATATATACATACATATATATATATATATATATTTTTTTTTTTTTTTTTTTTTTTTTTTTTTTGAGATAGAGTCTCACTCTGTCCCCCAGGCTGGAGTGTAGTGGTGCAATCTTGGCTCACTGCAACCTCCACCTCCCGGGTTCAAGCAATTCTCCTGCCTCAGCCTCCCAAGTGCTGGGATTACAGGTGCCTGCCACCATGCCTGGCTAATTTTTGTATTTTTAGTAGAGACGGGGTTTCACTATGTTGGCTAGGCTGGTCTTGAACTCCTGACCTCAAGTGATGCACCCGCCTCGGCCTCCCAAAGTGCTGGGATTACAGGTGAGTGGCCATATTAATATCAGATAAAGTAGACCTCAGAAGAAAGAAACTCACCAGAGACAGACATACACATCATGATAAGAGTGTCAGTGCACCAAGAAGATACACCAATCCTAAATGTGCATACACCAATAGTAGAACTGCAAAATATATGAAGTAAATTTGATAGAACTGAAATGAAGAAATATACAGATCCATAATTACAGTTGGTCGCTTCAACACCCTTCTCTCAACGACTGATAGAACAACTAGACAGAAAATACACAAGGATATAGAACATCATCAACCAACAGGATCAAATTGAAATTTATAGGACCCTCCACCCAACAACGAAATACACATTCTTTTCAAGTGCCCACAGAACATCAAGATAGACTCTATCCTGGACCATGAAACAAACCTCCAGAAATTTAAAAGAATTGAAATCATACTGAGTATGTTATTCAACCACAGTGCAATTAAACTAGAAATCAATAACAGAAAAATCCCCCTTAAAACTTGGAAACTAAACAATACACTTCTAAATAATCAATGAATCAAAGAGAAGCCCCTAGGGAAATTTTAAAAGACACATTGAACTGAATGAAAATAAAAATATAACATATCAATGTTTGTGTGGTACAGCTAAAGCTGTGTTGAGAAGGGAATGTATAGTACTAAATTCATATATTAGGAAAAATTTCAGATCAGTAATCTAAGTTTACACCTCAAGAACATAAAAGTGAAGAGCAAAATAAACCCAAAACAAGCAGAAGGAAGGAGAGAAAAATAAGAGCAGAAATCAATAAAATTGAAAACAGAAAAGCAACAAAGAACATTAATGAAACAAAGAGCTGATTTTTTGAAAAGACAAAATTCACAAACCTCTAGAAAGACTGACAAAGAAAAAGAGAGAGGACATAAATGATCAATATCAAGAATTAAATAAAATATCACTACAGATCCTGCAGACATGAAAGGAATACTAAAGGATGAAATGGACTAATTTTCCCCAAACACAAACTGACAACCATCCAATATGAAATATGTAATATAATAGATATTGATAATACAATAGATGATATTTAATTAATAAAATTGAATTTATAATTTTAAAACTCCCAAAAAGAAATCTTTAGGCCAAGATAGTTATTCCACCAATGTTTAAAGAAGAATTAACAACTGTTATCAAAATCTCTCCCAGAAAATAGAAAATCGAGCCTTTCCCAATTCCTTTTATGAAGTTAGTATTACCCTTATATCAAAACTAGATACAGAAAACAGTATAAAATAAGAAAACTACAGACTAAAGTCCCTTGTGACATAGCCATAAAAATTAACAAAATATAGCAAATAGAATTCAGCAATATAGAAAAAGAGTTATAGATCATGATCAAGTAGAGTTTATTTCAGGGATACAAAGATATATCTATCTATCTATCTACATCTATCTATCTATCTATCTATCTATCTAGATAGATAATGGATATCTAGATAGATAGATATGGATATCTAGATAGATATCTCTAGATAGATAGAACTAGATAGATCTAGATAGATAGATAGACAGATGATAGATAGATAGATAGATAGATAGATAGATAGATAGATAGATAGATAATGTCTATATAGTCCCAAACTCCTGGCCTCAAGTGATCTTCCCACCTTGACCTCCCAAAGTGCTGGAATTACAAGTGTGAGCCACTGCACCCAGACTATTTTTAAAAAATAAGTGTAAGCCACCTTATTCATGGACTAAAGGAGAAATATCTCATGACCATATCAACTGATGCTGAAAAAGCATTTGACAAAATTAAATACCTATTCATAATAAAACAAAGCAAAAATCTCTCAGAAAAATAGAAACAGAGGGGAACTTTCTCAACTTGATAAAGATTGTCTACAAAAAACACAGCTAACATTAAACTTAATGGTGAAAGACTGAAAGTTTTCCCATAAGATTGGGATATCCACTTCCACCACTCAACATAGTGCTGGAAGATCTAACTACTGCAATAGGGTAAGAAAAGGAAATAAAAAAAATACCAACCAGAAAGAAAGAAATTAAACTTTTGTTGTTTGAAGACAATATGATTGTCTATGTAGAAATCCCCAGACATCTACCAAAAACTCCTAGAACTAAAGATGAGTTCTGTAAGGTCGCAGAATAAAGATAAATTTACAAAAAAATAATTTTATATATCATTCTATATACTAGCAATGAATACATGAGCACCAAAGTTTAAAATATATACCATTTACAATCACTCAAAAATGAAATACTTAGATCTAAATCTAACAAAACAGGTACAGGACTTGTATGCTAAAAATCACACAACACTAATGAAAGAAATTAATGATCTAAATAAAATGGAGACACATACTATGTTAATAGACTGGAAAATGCAATGTAGTAAAGATGTCAATTCTCCCCACATTGGCATATATAGGTTTAACATAATTTCTACCAATAAAAGCTAGTTATATATATATATATATATATATATATATATATATATATATATAGTGTTTCTATACACAAGCAATAGTTACAAAACGAAATTTATAAAACATTATTATTTGCAATAGCATGAGAAAATCAAATTCCTAAGAATACATTCAAAGAAAGATATACAAGACTCCTTTACAGGCAACCACAAAACACTGATGACAGAAATCAAAGATCTAAAAACATGGAGAAATATACCACGTATTGGAAGACTCAATATTGTAAAGATAACAATTCACCCCAAAAGTGATCTACAGATTTAATGCAATCCAGTTAAAATCACAGAAGTGCTTTTGGTAGTGAGTTTTGATAAGCTAATTCACAAATTTTATGTGGAAATGCAAAATACTAAAGTCAGAAGATTCATGCTACCTGATATGAATGGTATTTTTAAATTCTGAAAACTAAAATTCAATAGTGTTGTGAAATTATTATAGAGAACAATGGAACAGAATAGAG